>NC_000012.12:130715243-131016867 GCF_000001405.40 Homo sapiens | reverse complement strand
AGGCTGGAACGCACTGGCCCGATCTCTGCTCACTGCAACCTCTGCCTCCCGGGTTCAAGTGATTCTCCTGCCTCAGTCTCCCAAGTAGCTGGGATTACAGGCTCGGGCCACCATGCCCGGCTGATTTTTGTATTTTTAGTAGAGACGGGAATTCACCATGTTGGTCACGCTGGTCTCAAACTCCTGACCTCAGGTGATCCGCCCACCTTGGCCTCCCGAAGTGCTGGGATTACAGGCTGAGCCACTGCGCCCAGCTACAGACTCTTGACTACAGGCTTGACACGCCGCGGGGCAGCACTGCCCTACCCTCAAGCCCAGAAGCTCCAAGTGTCTCTGCTGCATGTCGCAGCCACATTTCCAAACATAGGCTGAGCCTGTGGAGTGCACCCTCACTGACATCACGGCAGAGGGGACAGCCTGTGCAGGGGACCAGGATTCTCTCCACACAAAGAGAAGACACAAATGTCAACTGCACAACTGCAAGACAGGGCACTGACTCCGGCACAGCACTCACTCAGCAAGCGTCTCCTGAGCCTCCACGCAGTGCCAAGGCCACTGCGGGCAGGGGGGAAGGGCAGTGGGCTCCATGCTGGATCTGGCAGCCTCTGAGAAGCTGCAGGCCATTTAAGGGATTACTGATTAGCATAAATGATTATAGCATACAGAGCTGAGACTCTGTGCTAATACAGCGCAAAGACCGCGTGGAGGGAGGTTCCCTTCTGTGCAGGCCGCAGAGGGCTTGGAGGAGAGAAGGCTCCTCCTGAGATGGGTGAACTCAGACAGCAGATGGGTGAGACAGGCCCACCAGGCACAGGGAACGACACCAGCAATGACAGCAGCTGTCTGCTGGGCTTGGAAGGAGAGCCAGAGGTGCATGGAAAGCCGGGCGGGAAAGACCTGCTAGACATCTGCCGACAGGCCCAGAGTGTAAATTCTCCTGCAGGGAACCTTGAGTCCCAGAAGGTCTTTGAATAGGTAAGTAGCACCACCTGATCTGTGTGTTTGACAATAAGTCTGTAAACTGTGGGGAGAATGGAGCAGACAGAACACGCGGAGGCTGCTGGTCCAGGTGAGAAGTCACTGGGAAGGAGAGGGACACCGGGAGGGGCGGAGGAAGCAAGGCAGGGGACACACTGAAAACAGGCTCACGGCTGGTCACATGCAGAGAGGAAGGGCAAGGAGGCTGAGGTGACCAGTCTCATCTCCAATCCCCTCTCCATCTCCATTCCCATCTCCATCTCCAACTCCATCTCCATCTCCAACTCCAGTCCCCTCTCCATCTCCATCTCCATTCCCATCTCCATCTCCATCTCCAACTCCAGTCCCCTCTCCATCTCCATTTCCATCTCTATCTCCATCATCTCCAGTCCCCTCTCCATCTCCATTTCCATCTCTATCTCCAACATCTCCAGTCCCCTCTCCATCTCCATCTCTATATCCAGTCCCGTCTCCATCTCCATCTCCATTCCCATGTCCATCTCAATCTCCAATTCCAGTCCCCTCTGCATCTCCATTCCCATCTCCATCCGCACCTCCATCTCCAGTCCCCTCTCCATCTCCATCTTCCACTCCAGTCCCATCTCCGTCTCCAGTACCATCTCTTGACTGCCCCAGCTCACCCAGCAGCACAAGTGTGTGGGCCCCTCCCAGGTGGGGCAGAAACACAGTCACCCTGGAAAGAACAGAAGCACCCACCCAGGTATGCGCACAGAGTCGGCCTTGGCCATAGAGCAGAGTGAAACAGAATGAAATAGAAAATCCTGCCAGGAAATGCCTTTAGTGTTAATTCTGACCAATAACACAGTGAGTTCTTGAATAAACACTTTGAAAAATCTCACTCTTTCAGTGTCACATCAAACACCATACCTCCTGACATGAACCTGGCGTGGGGAACAGCGCACGCGTTTTTTAAAGAACGGCAGCATTATACTCTGGTTTCTCCTCAGATTGTATACATCTTTTGCCTTTTACTAAAGAATGGCAGTGCATCGGTATCCCCAATGTCTCTGTCAGTCCTACTCACTGGCAAAAACAAACGACATGTGGAGAGGAGAGCGGTTATGAAGCATCAGGACCAAGAGCTTATCACGCAATGCCTGAAGCGTAAAAATGGTTTTGCCTGAGCTCTGAAGCATGTTTCTCTCTAACAGAACACAGTGCTGCATCTTGCTGATGGCTAATAACACACATGGTAACTGGGATGGCCAAGGTACCCCCCTCCTCCAGTAAGGACACTTGTTATAAATGAGGAAGATCCGTGATCGCTCCACACGTCTAGGAGAGCCACCTCGACGCCTCTTCCCCAACATCGACACCGCGTGGCCAGCCCAGGCACTATGCGAGGGGCCTCCCACTGCAGCTCAGAAACAAAGGCCCAAGAGAAGGAGCTCCAGGGAGAGGAAGATTCCAGTTCGGGCCGGCACCAAGGCTGTTGGAGATTCTTTATGCAAGCACACAGACAACCCAGCATTCCTCAGTGTGAAACCAGATCAAAGGCGGCGACAAGGGTGAAGGCACCGCCACTCACCAATCTGTGCTTGAGGTGGACCGTAATGAGTGGAGAGCCCGACAGGTTCTGAGACAGGGTGGGTGGTGGGGACACCTCCAGGGAAATCAGGTGGCTGGTGGCGAACAGCAGGCAGTCCTGGTGATGCATGGCCTCCGCGATCCTTGGGAAGAGACGGAAATCATTACAAAATGGGAAACGCAGGGGAGCAGCACACAGCTAGAACCTAGGCTGGGAGCCAGCGTTCCACCCAAAACTATTGAGACGGAAATCTTCTTTGGATGAAGCTTTGATTTCTTTCATTCAGCTCCCGCTGCTCTCCTTCAAGATGTGAAGCTGGTACCTGCAGGCGAGTTCAACTATTCTGTGTTTTAACTCTGTCCCTTGAATTCTTATCTTCAATACCTGCTCTCGTTAAGGTGTGACGCCAGGACCAAGAGGTGAGACAGAGCCCTCGACCTCAAAGAGTTTATAAGAAAAGTAAGATGGCCCAGGAAGCATGGATGAGCAGAAATGCTCAAAATAACAGGGCATGAATCTCACCGATTCCACTTAATCAGCTGTGTGACCTTGGGCAGGTAACTCACCCTGTCTGAGTGTCAATTTCCCTGATTATAGGATGGTGCAGTGGCCATCTGCTGTTTTGCCCACCCAGTATTCATTCATCGTTTTCCTGATCAAAGCACCTGCCTTCCCCTCTAGGTGGCCATCCCCTTCCCCGCTCACAGCCCACACAGCCTGGAGTTGACTCTATCTTGGCTCAGGAGGAAGCCCTGGTATCTGGGTCTGGATCAGTCAGTGCACCGCAGCCCTCAGGCCATGGGGACCATTTAGGAATGACACCCAATCCAGTCAAATCTGAGGAGATGCCAGAAGGCGAGGTGGGGGGAGAATGAGGGCTCAAAGACCCTCATTCTCCCTGCCAGACTTCTCCTCATGCCCTGAGGCACGAGGCCCTGGGAGCTGCTTGCATTCATGAGGAGGGAGACTGATTGAGAAGGGAATTGCTGAGAGATGGAGCCCAGCAACAGCAATGGGATGCTGGATCGAGCTGCTCCTGAAGCCAGCCCTCTGCAGAGCTCTCGGCTTACGTGATCCAATAAACTCCCCCTTGGCCTAAAACTGTTAAAGATGGGTTTTCCGCCCCTTGCAGCCCAATCTAAAGAAGCCTAACTGATGTCTACAGTGGCTGTCTCGTGGGGTTATGAGCTTGAAAAGATATTCAGGGCCAGGAGGAGGGTGAGGGAAGCCAGGTACCTGAAGGGCAAGATTGAAGAAGGTGCTCACACTGGGCACGACCCCAAGGATGACCAGCTCCTTTAATTTTGTGCCCTCAGCCCATTTGCCTGATTTGATCCCAGCCCTGCCTGGCACACAGCAGGTCACCAAGTATCTGTTCCATGAATTTGAATTTGGGGTGACTACACAAAGATGCCTGAGACGTGCTGTCACCGGGCCCCCCGCGGTCACCCAGCCGTCTGCTTCTGTGTGGGCCTCACCCGGGTCCTGTGCACCTCCCCCGTCCACCATCCAAAGCGCTGACTGACTGAGGAACCTGCAGGTCCCTGTTTCGACACCCACTGAACCACCTTTGGGACATCCCACAGGGCTCTGGGAGCTGGGGGCACCATATTTTTCCTCCCTCAACTTGTTTTTCCTTCTAACTAGATTCAAACACCGTGTTCAGTGACCCTGCCTGGGATGGGCGGTGGGGCTCATGGAGCAGGAGCACGTCCCACCTCACCCCCGGCCTCTGCACTGTCTCCTTACACACATCCCTGAGAAAGAGCAGGCCTCCAAGAAGCACGCAGAATTATTCCTGGAATTGTAAATACAAAGTGTTTACAAAGATGGCGCCATAGAGAATGAACACCCTGTCTGTTCCCGCAGAAGCGACTTCCTGCAGATCATCACCAGTTCACAGGGTCTGGAGCAAACCAGGGTCATCGATTCTCAGGCCTGTGAGTAACAACAGACGCGACTGCTCGACCCGGCAATTCCTCTATGTGACCATGTTATTGATCCAAGCCCAAAGTCCAGATGACACACATGGAGTAAAACACAAACTTAAAAAAAAAAAAAAATGAAAAGAAAGCATCACCCTAGGTCCACGTGTCTCAACCATTTTTTTCATTATAGCCCCTCTGAAGAGGCTTTTTAGACATTTTTTTCTAATAAACTTGCCCAGAAAGTTTTAGTCCCACAGAGATACAAGCTGTACGTACAGAACGTACATAAACATTCCACTCTGCAGAGCCGCAGACCCGGGTAGTATCTCAGATGTTTCCCCGGAAGAACAACATTCACCGTCTGAGAACATTCACCACTGGGCATGCGTGGGCTCAGTCCCCACCGCAGAAAGTGAGGGTGGGCTCGAGGCCGCAGAAAGTTGGGGGGGACCAAGGCAAAGCCCCGCGGCGCCCAGCCTGACTCACTCAGCAGAACCTTGTCCCCGCCCCGCACGCGACTCCAAGGCCCTAAGACGTGTGGTGTGTTCGCTTCAGCCAGGAGCCTGGTTCTCACTCTCTGTGCCCAGTGCCCCGATGCTCGTGGCCTTTTCTGCAGAGCTCCATGAACTCAACACGTGTGCAATTCCACCAAACGCGCTGGAAAAACCACGTTGCTAGCAACACTTAGGGCTGTGCCATTAGCCAGAACAGAAAGTCGCAGCTGTGGGCTTCAGGCCCTAAACACGCAGCATGATTTGTCCCTTGACTTTCCCTCCGTGGACATTTCCTGATGGTGCAACCGGTGGTCATCATCTCCCTCCCAGAACAGAAATTCCCCTGGGGCCCGGATGCTTTCCCGTTTGGTTCACTGCTCTCCCCAGCTCCCGGAACCACGCCTGACACAGTGGGTGCTCAGCACACACGTGAGTGAGTGAGCGAGTGGATGAATCTACTCACAGGCAAGCGGCGATGACTTAGATCCATTTCTTAGGAAAAACATAAGGAAAACATTAAGTGAGAACCTTCTATGAACACAAATGATATGAGAGCAAATCTGGAGTGGTTTCCTGGATTCCGCTCCGGGAACACGTGGCCTCCACCAGGCCCAGTTTGGTAATCAGTGCGACGCCAGATGTCGGCCAAGTCAAGATGAGAATGGGGCCAGACGCCTCCTTAGGAGCATTTTCCTCCAGTAAAGGTGGGGACAGAGGTGAGGTGGGGAAGGGTGGGGCAGGGGTGAGGTGGGGCAGGGTGGGGAAGGGGTGAGGTGGGGCAGGGTGGGGAAGGGGTGAGGTGGGGCAGGGTGGGGCAGGGGTGAGGTGGGGCAGGGTGGGGCAGAGGCTGTGCTGGCTCTTCCTCTGCCCCTTATACCCTGCCTCCACCCGCCCCGTCCTGTGCCCATCAGCCAGGCTCTGGGCTCTCTCCCTTCATGTGCTCAGCAAAAGGGAAGCCCCAGAAGGTCAGAGGGCATCGGAGCAGATAGTGGGGCCAGGATTCTTTTCCCTCAGCCTACCAGGGCACAGTCGCTGCCCCGGGGGCCCCTCCATCTCTGCCCGGGGAAAGCCATCTCTTCCAGGGCCTGCCTGGCTGGCCCTGGGGAAAGCAGCGTGCCCCCATTCTTGTTCCTGGCCCGTGACTGTGCTGTCCCCCAGAGCTCTCCACTCCTGATTGCACCTTTGCAAATCCGCCTTCCTTCAATGTGCCCCAAGTTACTACCTGGCCCCACGGAGCCCCACCGATGGTCAGGCTCTGCGTCCTTCACCCCACGCAGCACATCTGAGCCAAAGCCACGCTGCTGCTCCGCCTTCCGTTACACAAAGAGGGGACTTAAAGTTACATGAGGCTTCAGAGGAGTGCTGAAATCTATGAGGAGACACAGAGACTTCCCAGCCTGTGCAGAAGACCGGCTCAGGAACTCAATCCAAAGAAGTCAGACCAAGTGGAGTAAGAAAAAGGGCTGTTATTCGGTTATTTGGAGAATTATCAAGTCCTCACAGTTACCATGTCACATTGGGGAGTGAACAAACATCGCAAATGAAAATATTCCCTGGTAAAGGAACTCCTTGATAACTGGCTCCTGCTGACACATGCCTGTGTGCTCAAGGAATCCCCTCACCCATCCGTCACACACTGCTTGTCACCTTCCCTCAGCGCGAGAATTCAACGCCACCCTGGGAACACAGTGTGAAGGAAACTCCAAATCTTGCCAACAAGGTGGCACATGGCAGCATCTCTGAGTGTGATCTTGGGTGATGGTGAATTCTTGAAGGAGACTGAGCCCCTGACTGACGCAAACAGCAGAAGGAGACAGCATCGAGGGTAACAGGCGACTTCCTCAGCACCGATGCTGCCCAGGTGACGTTGTTCTCTGTTTCGAGCAGCACTGCAGCCAGGGCCTTTCAGAAAGGACGGCAACAGCCACAATTCCTGCCCATGCCAGGAGCCCCCGCAGCTTTGCACTGTTAAAAGTCAAACCAGCAGGAAATCTGCCAGAAAACAGTACAACGCATAGGCTTCACCTACACTCTCAGCTCTTATCATTTGCCATGTTCACTTTATCTGGCAGTGGTCACGCTCACACTTGACACACACATACCACACATGTACACACACACACGCACATGTATGCACATACAACACACAAATGCACACACGCGCATTTGCATGCCCACAGCACACACAAAACACACATGCACATATGTGCACACATAACGCACATACACCACACAAGCACATACATGCACCTGTGTGCACACACACAACACACAAATACACGCACACATGCACATTTCCTTTCTGCTGAAGCACTAGCGGTGTGTTGCAGGCATCACAGCATACTCCATCTCTACCACGTGTCTCCTAAAAATGGAGACTGCCTCCTATATAACCATCAAACAATGATCACACTCAGAAATTTAACGAGGACCCTACAAGATGCTCTAATGCACAGTCCAGAGTCAACTGCACACACCCCCCACCATCACACACGTCCTCCAGAACTCCACTTCTCTCAACCCAGGAATGTGCATTAGCTCAGGCACGAACCTCTTTAGTCTCCCCCAATCCGGAACTGCCCAACTTCTTCTCCCTTGCAATCGAAACCACAGCAGCACACAACATCGCTTAGTTCAGGTGTGTCTGACTGCTTCCTCGTGAGGGGCGTGAGGCCATGCATCTGACAGGAGTATGCCACAGGAGGCATGGACGTCTCCCATGACGTGACAGCAAGAGACACGGGCCCACAACGTGTCCCACGTTGATAATGTTGAGTGTGGCCACCTGGCTGCAGGCGTGCGGCAGACATCCCCATCACCAGGCACCCTCCGACCTGGTACAGCTAGGACTCTGCAGGTCGGTGAGGTCCCCCGCCCCGCAACCCTGCTCCCGCTGGTGTGCACATCCACTGATAGCTTCTGCCTGGGTCAGTTACTGCACTGAGGGCTGCAGAACCGTGACCTACTGGTTCCATCGGTGCTCCGTGTCACTCTATAGTGACTAAGGACACACGCTGAGCCGGGTCCACCTCCCCACTCATCTTTCTCGAGCACCCGTGAGTCCCTCACAGCCTGGGGAGAGGCCCTTCCCTCTGTGGGCTGTGGCTTCCATCTTCACAGGAGGACTGGGAGCAGGCCAGTCTCAGCCCCGTCCACCTGGAGGAACCGGCTGTCCCGGTGCTGGCTGAGCCTAGCACGAGCACCCGTAAAAGCTGAACAGTCTCCATCATTGCGGGGCCAGGCAGCGAGTGAGACTCAAAGGATCCTAGGGGTACAAGCAGCCGGGCAAGAAGCAGCTAAGCCCCCACCGGGCCGTGGGTGGTCAGATATCATCCCCTCCGTCATCACAGGAGCCCTGGAATGGTCTGCCTGGGGCTGGCTGTGGAGACAAAAGTTCCTTCCGGCCCAGGCCCCACCCTTTGTGCACTGAGACTCACGTACTGACTTAGACCCTCACCCTCATCCCTGGAGAAGAAATTAAAGGACACTACGGCACCAAAGCATCCTTTCATCCTCACAACACACTGCGGATGTATGAGGATGACAGCACACAATACAAAGACAAAGACGGAGGGAAGTCCCCTGCAGGCTGGCAGGAACCCGGCATATGTGCGCACATAAACGTGCTGCCCGCACGGCAGCTGCACTAACCTGCTTCTCATCGTGCCCAGGATTTGATAATTACCTCAAAGGCAAAATGGCACAAATGCCCAATCAGCTTACAAAATCACAAAAGCAGGCACTTGTATGTCATGTTTAAGAAAACCAAGCCCTACTTACACCATTAACTCATTCAGTCCTCCTGGCAATCCTCAGAAATCAGTGCTATTATTACTCCTGTTTTAAGAGGAGAACACAGGCCTCCAGGCTCAAGTCACTTGCCCAGGGTCACACAGATAAGGAGGGCACCTGTGAACCAAACTCTTTGTCCCCTCCACTTCCGTCCACCTCTTCTGCTACAGGTACAAGGTACACAGGTACAATGTAACAAGTACAGAGACTTTACTGGATGAGCTGTTTGCATGATTTTTTTCCAGGTGAATTTTGATGACAAGGCATCTTTGCACTAAGTGCTGAAGAGAGCTTCACCTGAGCTGAAGATCCAACTTCACTGCAAATGAAAAACATGTTCCATCGCTGCACAGCCAGTTCTGCTTTGGCTTCAGCACGTAAATGTGCTGCTCATGGAACATGTTGTGGGGCTGGTGTCAATGCTGACGAACCAGGGATGACTTGGCTGTCCAATTTCCAGGCCCTCGGTTTGCAGGGGGACGTCAGAGTTAGCTGCATTGTTCTGGGACACAGTGGCCTGCATCCTGGGGCTCCAGTGTCCTGTCTGCAGACACCTGGGTCCGTGAGGACAGCAGAGGGAGAGTGAAGGCTGAGGCCCTGGGGACAGGCGAGACAGACTGTCTTCCATCTGCAAGGCTGTGGGCTCCCCAGAGCAGGCCCCGCCGGCCTCTCCTCTGCCCATCCCTGCCAGCGCTGATCTAATAGAGGGTCTGGCAAAGATCTGCAAACTGCAGCTCTTGGGCTGGCCGCCTGGTTTTGTAAATAAAGCTGTATTGGAAGGCAGCCACTCCCCCATTTCCCCACGTAGTGTCTCTGGCTGCCTTCACCCTGTGAGGGCAGAGTTCTGGAAAGCCAAGCCGATTTACAAGCTGGCCCTTCATGAAAGAGCTGGCTGACACCTGGCTGGAGTCAGATTCTGGTGGTCACAGTGAATTGCCCCTGAAATGTGTGCACCCTGCATCTGGAAGCAATCCTCCCGCCTTTGTGACGTTGTGGGCCGTGGCACGGATGCCGCTTTCCCACGCAGGTTCTCACTGTGGCCGCACAAGACACAGCGACACCTCACAAATGCACGTCTCATATATTTCACAGCAAGGCCAGCTTCCTGGTGGAAACTTCAGCAGGAGGGGCCAAGGAAGGGTCACCTTTTCATTCACTATCTTGGAAAGATCTCCCCAAATAACTGAGATGGCATCTTTTTGAGGAAAATAGATTGCATTTTTCTTTGACCATTTTCCTGAAGAATTTTGGAAATCACACATAAAGAGTGGCAGGCCCCCCACTTTCTTTCATTAGGAGGAAATCGGTAAGCATGCAGGCTTTCCCCAAGAAATCTGACGCAGAAGACGGTGTTTCCTCCAGATCACAAAATTTAGGACTACATTCCTCAGGAAAGAGGCATCCCCTCCCCTCCCTCCTCATTTCCCTCATCCTCCCCAGCCTCGCCGCCCCCCTCATGGTCCCCACCCTCCTTGCTCTCCTTCTGGGTTCTCAGGACCCAAACCCACATGAGGCGATGCTGCAGGAGCCAGCTCTGCTCCTATGGAGGGGCCTGTCTGGAGGACAGCAGAGGCAGGGGGCAGACAGAGCAGGTCTAGACGGCGTCCTCGGGGTCCCCGGGTCCAGCCATGACTGAGGCCCACCTGCTCCTCCCTTTTCAGTCCCCTGAGCCCTCAGTTTCCTGGCCTTCCACTTAAGCTGATGTGAAATGGCTTTGCCCATCTGTGTGTTTGCCCATGACTGACACAGACAGGTCTGTTGTCTTCCATTACACAGCAGTGGAAACTGAGGCTCAGAGAGGTTAAGTCCCTTGCCCAAGGTCACACAGTTCTGTCCAGGCGGGTGGGTAGGGTCTTCTGGCCCGTGCTCCTGACCTCCACTCCACCAGCCTGGCCCCAGCCTTGCAGTTCCCAAGTGGCCTTCAAAACGCTTCACGTTTCCTTGCCCGAGCAGTGAAGCGCCCGGTACTCGTGTCCAGAGTTCTCAGTGTTGTGCGTGTGGGGCGGGCATCCCTGTGGCCAGCCACCCAGCAAACCCACGCACACCCACGCCCCTGAGCTGAGCACCCCCGAGACTCACTTGGTGTGGGCGGGCCAGATGTTGTTCAGGTAGTAGTGCATGCTGTGGTACAGCAGACCCACGACGGTGCTCCAGGCTGCAGAGAGAGCAGAGGGGCAGGCGCTGTCAGCGCTCCAGGCCACAGGCAGGAAAAACACAAAGCCCCACGCCCCGCCATGCATGGTGCTGCCCCTCACTCCTAAGAACCCTCTGGGGAGAAGGAAGTGAAGGACACTCGGGCAGAATTTGCAAGGACAAAGACTCTGCAGCAACTCAGCAGCGTGACGGTGGATCCCTGCTCCATCCCCTGAGCCAGCTCCAGACATGTGGAGGCTGAAACCCCCCAGGGAGGGCCAGGCTCACCCAGGGCATCACACGGTCTCAGAGCCCCTGCAGGGAGAGCCAGGCTCACCCAGGGCATCACACAGTCTCAGAGCCCCTGCAGGGAGACAGCTCCTGCAAGTCAACAGGGGGCAGTGCCAGCCTCCAGCCTTGCCCCACGAGTGCATCCCGTCTGCCCTCCACACGCAGAGGATTTAGGGCAACACTGAGTGAGGCAGAATGCAGGTTTTCAAGGGGGCAGCAGCCACTGGGAAGTCTGTATGCCTTCACCTGGTCACACCTCTATTATAACCAGCCATGAAGCAGGGTCACATGTGCTTTTGCTATTTCACTCCATGGCTCGGCCACGGCTCTGCCAGGATTGGAAATCAGGGCACTCCCAGCAGATCATGCGGCCAGGAGATGCTGGTAGATGTCGGCACCATCCCTGGGCCCTCCCTGCTGATGCTGGAGGAAGGTGGCATCGTCCCTGGGCCCTTCCCTTGGCTTCTGGGGTAGGGACATCCCTGCCTCTGCCCTAGGAGCAGGGCACACCTGACATCATGCTAGTTGAGGACAGGGCAGAGAACCAGTCGGGGCACCTTTCCCACAGACAATCAAGATGGTGGTGGGTGCAGAGACAGGCTCCCCACTGCAGAGAGAGATGTCTGATGAGGGCTGTCCTGGTCCCCATCCCTAAGGCAGAACCCTGGGAAGGGGGCGTGGCCTCTGGCCAGGGTGGCAGGGGCAAAAATCTGAGGCTCTCCCCTGCTTGCCCGAGGTCCCCAGGGAGGGAAGGAGAGGAAGGAGATGTCTGCAGAGTCATATTCGCTTTTCCAGGAACCAGAGAGGGTGACGGTCATTGTAGCAAAAAATAGCCAGGGCCATCTGGGCTCCCAACAGGGCTCCCTGGTCAGAGGCAGGGGGTCCCCTGAGCCTCTCATTTTTTATTATGTGACTCGACTGAGGCCTGCACAGGAGTGGAACCCCAGGTTCCTGAACAGATGAACCCCTCACCTGGCCCACAGCTACCTGAGCAGGAAGGGGAGGTGGCCCCATCTTTTTATCTTCGGCTGACCAGGTGTGTGCCGATTTAGGAGGATGTAGGTAGGATGACTTCCCAGTGGGCCGGATTCCCCAGGCGAGCAGGTTGAGATGCTCCCAGACCCCACCCCAAATTCCAGTTCAGTGGCCTGGAGTGGGCACAGCATTAGCATCACTAAGGAACCTCTCAAGCGTGTCCATGAGGGTGGCCTGAGGACACGCTTTGAGAACGGCTGCCCACAGTCCCTCTCCTGCAGGACAGGACAGGCAGTCCGGGGGAGCACCGCAGGCGGCCCGGGGGAGCACCGCAGCTCCCTGGCGCGGTGGGCACCCAGCAAAGCTTGGGGACTCTTCAG
Source organism: Homo sapiens (assembly GCF_000001405.40). NCBI lineage: Eukaryota > Metazoa > Chordata > Mammalia > Primates > Hominidae > Homo > Homo sapiens. The sequence goes on along the minus strand of NC_000012.12, from coordinate 131,004,347 downwards.
AAAGACTTGAGGGAGCCGCCCCGGAAGGGAGTCCAGCGCAGCCACACTCACCGTGCCTGTGGAAGGCCTCGTGGGGGATCTGGATGAAGCTCTGCCCGTGGGCCGGGAAGCGGTAATGGGAGGAATTCACGGTCTTGGGCAGGATTTTGGCCACGGAAAACTCTGCGGTGGAAGGAGCGAGAGAGCGGAAGTCCCGTCAGAGCTCACAGGCTGCAGGAAATCAGACTGCAAAACCCCGTCTGCTTTTCTTTTTTGACAGGACAAGCTCCCCACGGGAAGTATAATTACCTTTAGAAAGCATGGCCTCAAAAAAAAAAAAAAAAAGGGTAAAGCAATGAAGAGCCCAGGCAGTGACTGCCACGGGGAGGCTCAGCATTCCGGCCCACGGGCGCGCGGCTCCTCACCTGGGGCGCCCTCCGCCCCAGCACAGCCCCCAGCTCTCAAGGCCGGTGCAAGGATGGGCTGTGCTCAGCGATGCGGTGACATCGGCTCCTCCCCAAGCGCAGCAGGCGAGGGCAACACGGCCAACAAACTGCGACTAAACTAACCCCTGTAGCTTCAGCCCATTTTCCCCAGCTCGGCTCTTGCAGCGAAGTATCAGCAGGATAATGCACTCCTGGTAAAGACTTTTAAAATCGAAAGGTCATCACCTCTGCCTCTACAATTAGACAACTGTGACAATTACCCTGGAGCCCAGCTGAGAGCAAGCTGACGCCAGAAACCCGAGGCCACCCCTTTTATTCCACAGACTCTTGCAGGCACTGCTGCTTCTGCCTCCTGCTCTGAACCGAGACCATCATCCCAGGGCAGGAGCTTGGCTCCCAAGTCACTGGGAAAAGCTTATGGGCCCCATCTGCATATCATGGCCGAACACACCTGCCCTCATCTGACCACGGGTTTTCCTTCCAAATGTGGTTTGTGCCAGGCAGAGCAGTCAGGGAGACAGAGCATGGCTCTCTGCTAAGGGTGTAAAAAGACAGGCAGTGAAACGCAGCCTCCAGCCCCCGCCCCTGCCATGTGGCTCACCCTTACAAGCGACAGCTACCTGCCATGGCAGAGGAGCCCTCCACGGTGACCTGGGGCGTGCTGCCGTGCAGGTTGGAGGATACATGGCCCATGACGGTGTCAATAGTGTCGATGAGACTCAGTACCACGGCGCTGTCCTGCAGCAACACAAGCACCAGGAGCCATGAAAATCCACCCCACTCAGCCAGGGCACCAGGCAGGTGCACCAGGCACACAAAATCAAGTTTCCCCACGTTGGCCACGAGGGAGGAAGAAGTCACACAACTGCCCCTTCCCATGGATCAGGAGGGGACCACACGGAGGCCACACACCCGACTGAGCTCACGGAGCATGGACACAGCCCAGGTGGACCCATCACCCCAGCCATCGCCGGCTCCTGCATTTCTACACTTAGACACGGGGACTGAGGGGACCCAACTCCTGGTCCTGCCTCCTCCCTGAACTCACAGAGGGACCCTCAGCACATCCCAGACCCTCCCCCTACCTCCCTGTGCTTCACGAGGAGGGGCTGATCGCCCCCAGGTCCACTCTGGGATGGGGACACCAGCAGCTCTGTCCCCTTCTCCATGAAGGGTGGCTGCTTCCGAGGTGCCGGCACCCAGAGCTATCTCTGGCTGCCTTGACTTCCCAGGAGCTTGCCTTCTACTCCAAGAGCCCTCTTTCCTTTCTGAGTTCCAGAGCAGAGGATCCTGGTAGACACTGCCCCCAAGAAAGCAGGGGGCCCTCATCCTCAGACACACATCACCAGGGGAGAGGCCTCTCTTAAGCCCTGCTGAGCTGGGCCAGTGAGCTCTGCCTTCACTGCTTCTCTTCCTGCCTTTCTGGGGAAGCACCTGCCTGCTGCTAAGTCCTCAGCATTCTCCCACAAACACGCACTTCAGAAGAGCCTCATGAGCTGGAAATAGAATGCTGAGGCCAATTTTAGATATTTGCTTTTAGGCCCATAGCCTGATTTCAGTCACCAGGCCCAGTTAAGCACATGGAAGTCTGTGTTTCTGGCATGCAGTTCTGTGGGGTAGAGACCGATTCATGCATTCTCTTTAATGCATATTGGACCCTGCCTGAGTCTGGACAGTTTCCTGGTTATTCATATTTTGTAACAGATTTGCATATTTTGCATTCAAAAGCAGTTAATTAAAATCATGCACAAAATACGTCTGCCTGGATACTTCCATTGGCTGTCCTCTGGGTGTTCCCAGCCTGCAGCTTTGGACACAAAGTCCCCTTGAAATCATGAAAGAGGTCAAACCTTTTAAAAAGGAATTGTTTTCTAGGTAAGACTGTATCCATCTTACATTCTTGAGCCTTTTTTTCTCCCTTTGCCACTGTTAAACCTAATCTCATTCCACTTGAAATTATTCAAACAAAAGTTTATCAAATGTAAACTCTAACGCAATCTTATTAATAATGAGAGAATAAAATGCCACTTCTGCCCTCAAACTGGCAAACATTTTCAAATATTATCAGGGCTTAGGAGAATGAGCACTTTAATATCATGGTGGTGTGGTTGGGACCCTTCTGGGCCAAGGCAGTTAAGAGTCCTCCTCACCCTTCTCTGCCCCTGCCTGGCAACCTTGGAAACCACATATTGAGAAGCCAGCACCGGAAGACAGATGGAGCCAGGATCCCTGAGTATCTGGGTGGAGAAGAGGCTCCTCTGACTCACTCTGGACTTTGCATGGCAGAGAAGTAAATTTCTACTGTGCTGAGCCACTGAGATGTAGGGATCTATTTGTTACTGCAGTGCACCCTGGCCTGTCCTGACTAATACAGTGTTGCAGGTGAATACTTAGTATCATTGGAAAGTGTTATTGACATAATTAAGGAAAAACAAATTAAGTCAAATATACAGTATATCTGTTGAATACATATATAAGTGAATTGAAAACTAGACTATAAGGAAATATACAAGAATGTTAATAATCTCAGTTTTAGGATTTGAAGTGATTTTTATTTTGTTTTTTATTATCTGCATTTTCTAACTTCTCCACAACTATTTATTTGTTTTCTTTTTAAATAAGTACAATCAAGTTATTTTCAGAAATATAGGAAAAATTATTTCATTCTCCTTTCTAGCTATTTTGAGTAAAGAGAACAAGAGAAGCTTTTTTTCTGCACCTTAATCATGAAGTACATATTGTCATGTATTCTCCTTTTTCTTACTAAATCCAGTGACTTTTAACATAAAAAGCTTTCTATTGTCATTCAAGAATGATGGGATGGTAAAGAAAAAAAAAATACATATTACATGAAATGACCAGGATGAACCAAGTACACATTTCTCATGGGGAAAAAACCATCATTTCCTTCTTCCATGTTTAGGACAGTAACACATTACTGACACACGTGCATTTCTTTTGCCTTAGAGGACAAGGCATTCTGAATCAGTTGCATGTCTACTCAAAATGAGCTCTTATATCCCAGATGTCAGGACTGGGAGATACATCATTCTTTTTGTGGATGTGACTGGGCCATATTATGCCACTTCTAGGAAGACAAAATGGTTCCCGAGGCACATACGTTTTGAAGATCAAAATGTTCTTTTCTCTCTCTCTCTTTTTTTTTTTTTTTTTTGTTTTTTGAGACAGAGTCTCACTCTGTTGCCCAGGCTGGAGTGCAGTGGCACAACCTCGGCTCACTGCAACCTCCGCCTCCCAGGTTCCAGCAATTCTCCTGCCTCAGCCTCCTGAGTAGCTGGGACTACAGGTGCCCGCCACCACGCCTGGCTAATTTTTGTATTTTTAGTAGAGATGGGGTTTTGCCACATTGGCCAGGCTGGTCTTGACTCCTGACCTCAAGTGATCCACCCGCCTTGGCCTCCCAAAGTGCTGGGATTATAGGTATGAGCCACCATGACCGACCATGTTCTTTTCTCTTACCTCTGACAGAGCAATCCAACCAGGCAGTAGAAGGATCTCTCCCACGGCTTTTAAGAAGGTCTAAAGGTGGACAAAATGACACTGCTCAGCACCTGTCCTTAGGCAACAAACTTGAAGACCTTCAGTTTTCCCCGCATCTTCCAATGGGTCTCTATCAACCACCAGTTCAGTTTTATGCACGGCAGTCAACAAAAATAGCTGAGTCATGGACCACATGATATGTTACGAAGCCCTTTTATGGACGTTATCTTATTTGCTCCTGTGGCAGCCCTGTCGAGTCAGTGACCAGCACCGGAACGTCAGAATGAACACTGCTCAGTGACGGCAGGGGCCCTAGCACAGCGCCTGGGGGACACGGCAGGCCCTCAGTGAAAGCCCGTGGAGTGGAGAGACGTGTGGGAAAATCATGACCTGCTGGATGCGCTTTTCTTGGGGCGAGAAACCAAACTGACGTGGAAGCACTCGTGTTCACTGAAAATGACCTCTCTAGAAAGCAGAAGCTACTCAGGCCCTTGGTCAGGTCACCTTAAAACCATGTTTGGTTCGGCTCACTATTATTCTAAGGAAACAATGAAATTAATTTCTACTGTTTCCTAATCAGGAGACTTAAATGAAAACGTGAATTTTCTACTTCGTTTTAAAAAAGCAGACTCTTGGACACCCCTTAGCCCACATTCCCATAAAACCATAATTGACCACAGCTGAGCGGCACCGGCTTAGTGGATGTGTCCCCAGCCCACTCCAGACCCCGCCATCCCCACTGCCTCATACGCTCATGTCCGTTTCACTCATCTGCATTATTCACACACAGTCTTAACTGTTTGTCTCCAACTATCAGCATCAGAATTAAACTTAGAGGCTGACCGAACTCTCCCATATTTCCACCAAACCGCCATCTCCAGAATACTCACGTTCTTCCTCACACTCTGAGACACTAAATTCTTAGAGCACATCATCAAAACTCATCATGCATTTGTTTATCTTTATGAGATAAATGCTTTTTGAGACCTTAGAGTGCAAGGCCTTAAGAATTAATGAAATAGGGAATAATCACCATCCTGCCTTCACTGAGCCGGAGCAGGGGCAGCAAACTTCTTAAAGTGTCACACAGGAACGAGGTCAGGCCTCATGGGTCACGCCCTGTGTCACAAACACTCAACTCTGCCATGGCAGTGCAAAAGCAGCCACAGACAATATGCAAACAAATGGGCATGCATGAATAAAACTTTATTTCCAAAAGCAAGCAACGGGCCAGATTTGACTCGAGGGCCATAGTTTGCCGACTCTTGATCCAGAGCAGTCTATCACACAGAAACATAATATGGGCCACATCTATCATTTTAAATTTTCTAGCAGCAAGCACATTTTTAAGAAGTAGAATAAAAAAGGTGAAACTAATTTTAATAATGTATTTTTACTTAGCTCAAAAACCTAAAATATTGTCATTTCAACACAGAATCCATATGAAATTACTAATTAGATATTTCCCTTTTCTTTGCACAAAGTTTTAGAAATCCAGTGTGCATCTTACACTCACAGCACATCTCTAGTTGGACGAGCCACACGTAGCTAATCACTGCCTCACGGTACAGTACAGGAAATGACCCCTTGCCATTTTCCCGTCCAGCTGCTAGTGGACAGGTGAGAAGCCAGGACACCATGGAAACTTGTAGAATGGGGCCGGGCGCAGTGGCTCACACCTGTCATCCCAGCACTTTGGGAGGCTGAGACGGGTGGATCATTTGAGGTCAGGAGTTGAAGACCAGCCTGGGAAACATAGTGAGACCCCATCTCTACTAAAAATACAAAAATTAGTCAGGTGTAGTGGTGCATGCCTGTAGTCCCAGCTACTTGGGAGGCTGAGGCAGGAGAATCGCTTGAACTCAGAAGGCAGAGGTTGCAGTGAGCCAAGATCATGCCACTGCACTCCAACCTGGGTGACAGAGCGAGACTCCATCTCAAAAAAAGAAAGGAAAAGAAAAGAAAAGAAAAAAGAAAGAAACTAACTTGTATAATGGATGCCAAAAACTTTGACTTCTCATCAGGTCAGAGATCACTGGGGTTTTGGGTAAATCTGCATGACTCATCCCCAGGGTCCCCAGCCAGATACCCCAAAACAGGTCTACACCAGGGGTCCCACAGGGATGGCACACAGGCTGAGCCTGCCTCGTAGATGTCTTGTATTTGGTCTGCACATAATTTCATTTAAGATTTCTGCTCTCCCTCTCCCTCTCCCCCTCCCCCTCCCTCTCCCCACGGTCTCCCTCTCCCTCTCTTTCCACAGTCTCCCTCTGATGCCGAGCCGAAGCTGGACTGTACTGCTGCCATCTCGGCTCACTGCAACCTCCCTGCCTGATTCTCCTGCCTCAGCCTGCCATGCCTGACTGGTTTTCGTTTTTTTTTGGTGGAGACGGGGTTTCGCTGTGTTGGCCAGGCTGGTCTCCAGCTCCTAACCGCGAGTGATCCGCCAGCCTCAGCCTCCGGAGGTGCGGGGATTGCAGACGGTGTCTGGTTCACTCAGTGCTCAATGGTGCCCAGGCTGGAGTGCAGTGGCGTGATCTGGGCTAGCTACAACCTCCACCTCCCAGCCGCCTGCCTTGGCCTCCCAAAGTGCCGAGATTGCAGCCTCTGCCCGGCCGCCACCCCGTCTGGGAAGTGAGGAGCGTCTCTGCCTGGCCGCCCATCGTCTGGGATGTGAGGAGCCCCTCTGCCTGGCTGCCCAGTCTGGAAAGTGAGGAGCGTCTCTGCCCGGCCGCCATCCCGTCTAGGAAATGAGGAGCGCCTCTTCCCGGCCGCCATCCCATCTAGGAAGCGAGGAGTGTCTCTGCCCGGCCGCCCATCGTCTGAGATGTGGGGAGCGCCTTTGCCCCGCCGCCCCGTCTGGGATGTGAGGAGCGCCTCTGCTCGGCTGTGACCCCATCTGGGAGGTGAGGAGCGTCTCTGCCCAGCCGCCCCGTCTGAGAAGTGAGGAGACCCTCCGCCTGGCAACCGCCCCGTCTGAGAAGTGAGGAGCCCCTCCGCCCGGCAGCCGCCCCGTCTGAGAAGTGAGGAGCCCCTCCGCCCGGCAGCCACCCCGTCTGGGAAGTGAGGAGCGTCTCCGCCCGGCAGCCACCCCGTCCGGGAGGGAGGTGGGGGTCAGCCCCCGCCAGGCCAGCTGCCCCGTCCGGGAGGTGACGGGCGCCTCTGCCCAGCCGCCCCTACTGGGAAGTGAGGAGCCCCTCTGCCCGGCCAGCTGCCCCGTCCGGGGGGGGGGGTCAGCCCCCCGCCCGGCAAGCCGCCCCGTCCGGGAGGGAGGTGGGGGATCAGCCCCCCGCCCGGCCAGCCGCCCCGTCCAGGAGGTGAGGGGTGCCTCTGCCCGGCCGCCCCTACTGGGAAGTGAGGAGCCCCTCTGCCTGGCCAGCCGCCCCGTCCGGGAGGGAGGTGGGGGGGTCAGCCCCCCGCCTGGCCAGCCGCCCCATCCGGGAGGGAGGTTGGGGGGTCAGCCCCCCACCCGGCCAGCCACCCCGTCCGGGAGGTGAGGGGCTCCTCTGCCCGGCCGCCCCTACTGGGAAGTGAGGAGCCCCTCTGCCCGGCCAGCCACCCCGTCCGGGAGGGAGGTGGGGGGGTCAGCCCCCCGCCCGGCCAGCCGCCCCGTCCGGGAGGTGAGGGGCGCCTCTGCCCGGCCACCCCTACTGGGAAGTGAGGAGCCCCTCTGCCCGGCCAGCCACCCCGTCCGGGAGGGTGGTGGGGGGGTCAGCCCCCCGCCCGGCCAGCCGCCCCGTCTGGGAGGGAGGTGGGGGGGTCAGCCCCCCGCCCGGCCAGCCGCCTCGTCCGGGAGGTGAGGGGCGCCTCTGCCCGGCCGCCCCTACTGGGAAGTGAGGAGCCCCTCTGCCCGGCCAGCCGCCCCGTCCGGGAGGGAGGTGGAGGGTCAGCCCCCCGCCCGGCCAGCCGCCCCGTCCAGGAGGTGAGGGGCGCCTCTGCCCGGCCGCCCCTACTGGGAAGTGAGGAGCCCCTCTACCCGGCCAGCCGCCCCGTCCGGGAGGGAGGTGGGGGGTCAGCCCCCCGCCCGGCCAGCCGCCCCGTCCAGGAGGTGAGGGGCGCCTCTGCCCGGCCGCCCCTACTGGGAAGTGAGGAGCCCCTCTGCCCGGCCACCACCCCGTCTGGGAGGTGTACCCAACAGCTCATTGAGAACGGGCCAGGATGACAATCGCGGCTTTGTGGAATAGAAAGGGGGAAAGGTGGGGAAAAGATTGAGAAATCAGATGGTTGCCGTGTCTGTGTAGAAAGAAGTAGACATGGGAGACTTTTCATTTTGTTCTGTACTAAGAAAAATTCTTCTACCTTGGGATCCTGTTGATCTATGACCTTACCCCCAAACCTGTGCTCTCTGAAACATGTGCTGTGTCCACTCAGGGTTAAATGGATTAAGGGCGGTGCAAGATGTGCTTTGTTAAACAGATGCTTGAAGGCAGCATGCTCGTTAAGAGTCATCACCACTCCCTAATCTCAAGTAATCAGGGACACAAACACTGCGGAAGGCCGCAGGGTCCTCTGCCTAGGAAAACCAGAGACCTTTGTTCACTTGTTTCTTTGTTCACTTGTTTATCTGCTGACCTTCCCTCCACTATTGTCCTATGACCCTGCCAAATCCCCCTCTGCGAGAAACACCCAAGAATGATCAATAAAAAATTAAAAAAAATAAAATAAAACAGGTTGAAAAAAAAAAAAGATTTCAGTTCACTGCCCATTTCTTAAAATTGGGAGATGTTCCATTTTAAAAATCCAGGTCTGGGGTTTTTCTTGCAAAATCAGAATCAGTCACCCTAACGGTTACAGACAGGTGGCCTTGAGTTGCTAGCAACTGCTGGCTGCAGAGGAGGCGGTGCATTCAGGCTGCCACTACCTCTCTCTACTCCCCACTGTTGCTCTGTCTGGCCCATGCCATCCATTTCCTTTGGCCCCTGAAGCCACATGAGTTTGCAACCTCTGACTCTCAGGTATAGCTGAGGGAGAGAAGGAAGAAAAGCAGCAAGGAAAGTAAAAGTGACCAAGCTTAAAAAGAAAGTGTTTCCTGTGTAGACCTGCATTGCCTTGTGTTGCAAACCAGACAGCCAATAAGGATACGGAGCTGCCTTGGCCTCCACCCACCTCACTGCGCATACGCCATCCCCACCCAACAACCCCAGCCCCCACACCTGGGCTCCGCAGAGGGCAGCCCTGCCTGGCCTTTTCTGGGGTGCGTGCCTGTCTGGCCTTGGCCCCAAGTTCTGCTTGTCCTACTTTGTCCCTGTCTCACTCCTGCCAGCCCCACCACCAACTCTTCCCACAGACCTGCCAGCCTGGCCACACCCTATCACACTCAGTTCAGGGACCTGCTGGGTGGTGTGGGCCACAATGACACGGCTAACTGCTGCCACTGCAGTGTCAGGTGCGAGACAGACCCTTCTAGCCCGTGATGAAGAGATCACAGAGCCAGGCAGGCGGTGGGCCACAGTGGCTCCGGCCTGCCCTAGGGCAGGACACACACTTCTAGAAGGTTCTGAGGAGTGACCTTTAGGACCAGCATCCCACAGGCAGCTTTCCAGCTAACTGGACATGCCCCTGGCCACAAGCCCCACGAGGGCAGGGGCAATGCCCGGCACATCCATCACACATCCCCAGCACCAAGCCCAGCATCTGGCAGAGAGCGGAGGCTGCACAATGTGCTTAATTAATAAAGTCATCAGTGAACCCACTCATGAGCATGCAACTGTGGCTCATTAAGCCATCCATTTTATAATTAATGAAGCAACCCACCCACAAGTAGGTGTTTAATCAACATTCGTCTAATTAATTTATCCTCACTCGGACTCCCTCCTTCCCTAGACACCCGGAAACACAGAGGGAGCCTGCTAAGTGTCTGCTGCACATTCCTGAGGATGCTGCAGGGTACCCATGGCTAGTCAGACGGGAGGGCGCCCGTGCCCAGAGTGGGTGTTTATTGAGCGCCGACTGTGTACCACGGCTAGAGGGGAGGGTGCCAGTGCCAAGTGGGCATGAAGCCCCGACTGCATACCTTAGCTACAGGCAGGGCACTAGTGCCCGGAGTGTGAGTGTTTACTAAGTGCTAACTGCATAGAAGGCACCGCCTGCCACAGTCACCCCTTGTAGCCCATCTCAACAAAAACAAGAGTGTTCGTATTAATAAAGCACTTACTGCATACCAAGCCCTGTCTCGGGGCCTCACGCCCGGTCCTGTGCATACATGCATAAGGACCTTCCAGCTTGTCTATACCCGCTCTTTCCACCCAACACCCCGCGGGTCCTTCCCTTCGGAGCCCGGAAGCGCTCCCACACTGGGCAGCCTTGGCCCCACCCTAGAGCTCCTTCATGATTGGCTGAGCTGGTTGCTAATCCCACTCCCCTTGGTTAGTGATTGGCCCAGGTGTGGTCATGTGGCCCAGCTCTGGCCACTGAGATGTGAGGGGGTGTCTCAGCAAAGGGAACCATGGGAAAGATTTCCCCCTGACGAGGAGGGAGTCTCCCGACCCGTTCTTTCCCTCCTGGACGTGCCAGGGTAAGGCGAGGGTGCTGGGGGCCTGCAGCTGGGCGAGAAAAGGGCCGAGTGCCGAGAGAATTGTGGCGGTGCCTATCCAGCCCCTGCTGTGAGTGAAGACTGAGTTAGTGACTCCTAGGATTCCCGCCTCTGGGCCTCTTGTTGCCTGAAGCGAGTACATGGCCTGAAGTCTAAGTCCGCTAAGCAGAGGGCCCTGTTTCTCACAGCCAGAAGTACCTGAGACACATGGGCGATCTCACTGTCCCCATGTCACAGTGGGAAGCAGGTGTGCTGAGGTTAAATAACCTTCCCACGGACACAGAGCCGGGAGTGGTGGAGCTGGGGTCAAAGCCAGGTCTCTGTGACTCCAGGACCGCTGAGTCCCGCAGCTCCATGTAGTTCCCTTTAAAGCCCCTCTCAGACTCCATGACCTGTCATCACTCCCTCAACCCTGAGCCTCTTGAAAGCAGGGAGTATTAGCACTTGGTCATCCTGCACTCCCAGAATCTAGTATGGTCTATGAATGAATGAATGAATGAATGAATGAATGAATGAAATCTGAGAAGTCTAACTTCTCTTACGTGGACAGAAAAGCTGAGGGCAACCTCCCTCCATTCCAAGATGTCTCAAGTCCCTGAACACATGGCTCTGCATGTGCTTCTTTGGGTGTGACTTCAGCAAGGAAATCAGTAAGAATTAAGAACCCTTGAAAAGTGCTCACCACGTACCCAGCACTGTTCTGTGCACATAGGAACCCACTTATCCCCGATGAAGTGGGCGCTGTTATTATTTCCTCCACATCTCAGGAGCCAAGTGAGGCAGAGATGTTAGGTCACTTGACCAAGGACACAGAGTAACTGCAGATCAAAGGTCAGTGCAGCCGTGGGACTTCATATACCCTGCTCCTAACCCATATGCTGTGCTTTCAAGGTGAGCCAATCTCAAAACCCCTTCTGTCTTCGCATCCACCAAGATAAGCCCTAGCCCTAAAACAGAAGACAGCAAGTCCACGAGAGCCCACGATCCACCCTCTGCCTTCACCTGGAAACTATTTGGAGGAGCAGAAAGAGAAACCATCTTGATTTTAATGCCATAAATGTTGCATTCTCTAAGTGTTTAGATAGCTTTGGGGACTCCCACTGTGCACAGGCTGTGGCCCACGCCCCACGGCTGGATCTGCCAGTGAGGCCTCTCCACCTTTTACCTGTTGCCAGGAGGCAGCAGAGTTTATTTAGTCTAGGAGTTGCCAACCACACGCCCGCGGGGGCCAGGTGGCTGCACAGGGGGGACCAGGCAGGTTGGGCATTGGGAAACCACAGCAAAGACTCAAGTGCCCATAAAGGAAGCTCCGCTGAGCTGTACAGAGCTGGCCAGGAGGGCCACACCAGCTGGTTGTTCATGAGAAGCCTGAAACCCAAACGTTTCAGTAAAAGTTCCTGCTTTTTTTAAACTCGATCTAGGTCAAACAGAAACATCTATGGTCCCGGTAAGGGTGCCACGCCCGGTCCACCAGACACAGACATCAAATAGCCTTACCTTGGTGAGATTCAAGGCTGTCTGCTCCGAGAGGGACTTACTGGGTAAGCTGAGGGATACATTTTGGAGGTAACTCAGTATCACTCCGGGACTTTGGAAGGTTTTTCTCTCTTCTGTCAGGTTGGTTATGATGGGATGGTAGGCATCTGTGGGCATCTGAAAGAAATTGGCAACATGAGTTTCTACTAAGAACTAAAACCAAAATATTATACAGAAGTTTAATGTGTCCTACTCTGGGTCGAATGCTTTTTTTAATTTTTTTTTTTTTTTTTGAGACTGAGTCTTGCTCTGTTGCCCAGGCTGGAGTGCAGTGGCGCAATCTCGGCTCACTGCAGCCTCTGCCTCCCGGGTTCAAGCGAGTCTCTTGCCTCAGCCTCCCAAGTAGCTGAGACTACAGGCGTGCACCACCATGCCTGGCTAATTTTTGTATTTTTAGTAGAGACAGGGTTTCACTGTGTTGGCCAGGCTGGTCTCGAGCTCCGGACCTCAAGTGATCCTTCTGCCTCGACCTCCCAAATTGCTGGGATTACAGGCATGAGCAACTGTGCCTGGCTGCTCTTTTTTTTATTTATAGAGATGGGGTTTCACTGTGTTTCCCAGGCTGGACTCGAGCAGTCCTCCTGTCTCAGCTTTCTGAGCAGCTGGGACTACAGGTGCAACCACCACACCCAGCTGGTCAAATGTTTTTATACCATGATAGTAATATAGCTCCTACCATGTATCTGACACTTTTGTGAATATTTTGCTTATATTAACATTTCATCCTCACAACAACCTTACAAAATAAGTCCCCATTTGATGGATGACACTAAGCGCAGAGAGGCTTACTCAAAAATAAGTGGTAGAACTTGGATTTGAACCCAAGCAGATGGGTCAGAGTCTGTGCACTCACTATTATATTAACGTTCTCAAGAAAGGACAGTTCTTTAACTACAAACACTAATTCCAGACAAGAATTTTTCTATATGAATTGAACTTTTCTCTAACATCAAACGAAAAGGGCATAGAGAGAAGCCAAGCAGGGCAGATTCCTCACTCCCCACTCACGGCGCCCACGTCCCATGAATGAGCCCGGTATTTCCTTTTGGGCACCTGAGGTTCCTGGTGGCAGGAGTTGAGAGTTTTCCCTTCAGTCACTCTTAGCACCAAGAATTAGTACTGCAGTTGGCTTCCCCTCCATTTGTTATTTCTTCCCAGACAATGTACTGCCGATAACAGAGAGCCCAGACACCTAATGGAATTTTCTCTCTCCCAGCAAACAGCCCAAGCAGAAGAACATCAGCAAGGGGGACCAAGGAAGATGTGTCTGCTCACCACGGGGCTTGCTGTGGATGTCATGAAGAGGCTTGGCAGCGTTGAAGACAATAAAGCATGCTTTCCTGGAAGAAACAATGCTGGATTAAGGACTAAAACATGGTCACTTTTTTCACCACGAGGAAGACCTGTCCTTGTTAAAAATGTACTGGCTTCAGACACATGGAAGAGAGTCTGAGAATGTTTTGAGTAGGAATGTTGCTGGAGATAAATTATGGGCTAAGAAATCAGCTGACTGAGTCGACCGTATAGATTTTCCCAGGTCACATTACTTTTCCATTTGTATTCTCAATCGCTTTTGAACACCCTTCATGCAAGTCAGCATATCAAAAGATGATTTTATACAAGGATTACCGATTTCAAATAAATAAAGAACCAAAAGAAATAGATTTCAATTGCATCCAGACTGGTTGGAGATAAAATGAGGAGTGCTACAACTCGCTGGGCCAGCACAGACAGGAGCCCTGGGAGCGCTCTCCTCTGAGATCGATGAAGTGAGAATAGGCCCCAGTAAAGCAGTGGAGAAAACTGTCTTCCTGAGCCCCCTCTAGCCCAAGGATTCCAGCTATTCTTTGCACTCAGCCCCCATGGGGTTAATGATGAATTATTACAAACAATGAAGACATTTAAGGCTGAAGACTAAGCCATGATTTGCTGTTCTCTGCCTGTTCACCCCCAACTATTTCTAATCCCACTATTTCCTGATGAGAACACACACTTAACCAGATATTCTACTTCATTTTTGGAAAATCTCTTGAAGTTGCTTTGGATGAGCTGAGGAAATGACATCATCACCCCTTGCTGGCTGCAGGAGTGACTGAGCCCTTGGGTTTGGGTGGGGTTGGGCTGCTGGTGAACGCAGAAGGTGTGGCGCTGCCGAGAGAACTGGACCCCAGAACCGCTCTGTTCTCCAAGTCAGAGTGACATTCACTCCTCAGGTGCCAATGAGTTACAGAGGAGTCATGTCAAACTCACATTTAACTCGTGTGTGTCCACAAAGCAGAGTGAGGGATAGTGAAAATCGGTCCAGCGATCCTGCCAACGCTTGCAAGCGATGACCATGGAGACTGGGGTGAAAATGAGAATCTGCCAGGTCCTCAGTCGGTCCCAGTTCCCACGTGTTGAGTGTGTTTCCAGTGCCCAAAGGTACATGCTTTCCGATTACACGTATCTGAACATAACCTTCTTCCTCCTCTACAGAAAGAGCTGCTGTCCATTCCAGTGGTAAGGGAGAGGGGACACCTGGCCAGGGTGACAGACGGTCAGCACTGTGCCTTTGTATCAGGAAAGGCCACCACACCTGGACGGACCGGTCAGCAAATGGTGCCAGCTCTGGCTCATGAGATTAGAGGAGGTGTCACCTCTGCCCAGGTCACTCAGAAAAAAGCCCCCTCTGGGCACCTACAGCCCCAGCACAGCTTCAAATGCAGACAGGTCTTCATGTAAAGAAAGACTTCTACCTACTTGTGTGGCCATGTCCCCACCGAGGCCCGGCCTGGCTGGGAGCAGACTGGATTTCAGTTCCAGTTGTCACTCTGCATGGCTGCCCTGAACTCGGCTGTGTCAGACTCACTGAGCAGTGGTACACGGGGCCCCACACAGGCCTTCCAGGGACTTCAAGAGCCATTCTCCTATACATGCTTTACGTCGTATGCCTTGTCTTCAGACCAGGTCACCAGGTGCAATGGGATTCTGGTCGATCCAGTTCTGGTTCAGTTCTGGTTCTGGCGATGAGGGTTTGCTCTGACAAGAACAAGAACCAGAAACAAGGGCACCTCTTTCCAGTGTTACTAAAACAAGTAAACTGTCAGGAGGGCAGGCTTTGTTTGAAGCTTTTCATAACATAAATACAAGTGATATCTTGGTTTCAAAGTGACAACTCTAAACCCTAGGCAATAAAATGCAGTAGATTGGTCCATTTTTTTCTTCTGAAGGATGCTATCATTTGCCCTCTGTCAGTGCTAGGAGAGGGAATGCATTCCGTTTTCCTGGGTGGAAGCTGGAAGATGTAAATGTCGAAGGCTGTAGTGGACACAGGCTGTTTTGCCTGCACAGCATCTGTTCCTTCTGAGACCAGCATACCTGATTGTCCCCTGGGAGTCCCCTCTCCTCCACATGTTCTGGACAAGGCTGACCTCACTGTCATTTCAGGGGGGCTGGGGATGGGGGACTATGACAGAGACCTAAGCCAGTCAGCATATTCTGCACTCCCAGACACAGAAAATGACTCATGGAAGGTGCATGGATAAATGTGAGCCAATGTGAGTCCTGCCCAGCCCCAGCATGGGAAGTGATAAGAGAAAGAAGCTCCCTCTTTTCCACAGAGGCTGCTGAGGGCAGAGGATGCAACACTAGAAGCATGACAGCCACCTTGGCACCAGGAGGAGGCTAACAAAAGAGGGCAGGGTCAAACGCAGAGATTCCCACTGACATCATGTGAGCACCTGGACCAAACCAGTTCTGAAGCAGTTTCCCCTAGAGCTTCCATTGCAAGAGATGAAAAAGAAACACATGGCTTTCTTGGCTAAAGTTATCTTGAATTGGGTTTTCTGTCATGCAATCAATAGGGTCCTAACAACTGAGGGACTCAACGTCAGAAGCGGAACGAGGGCAGGCAGCGTCTGGAACTCAGGCCTTTCTCTCCTGGTCCTGACATCCGCTGTGCTGGGTCCCAATGAAGCAGCAGCCACATGTTTGTGAGTGCCTACATGGGGTCTGTCATTTTTTAGCAGATTATTTTATGTGGAAATAAAGAAACCCATTGGGGAAAAAATGGTGCATTCACTTGTGGGCAGCATGAAAATGGAATTGTAGGGGAAAGATGAATATTAATTTTAAAAACAGCTAAGAACCACTGGATTCTTGCCATATGCCAGGCATTGTGCTAATGGCCTTTATTATCAACACCTCCCCCAGAAAGGGAGTATTTTTATCCATTTAACAGAGCAAAAAAAAAATCTGAGAGATTAAGACAAAAAGGTTATACGTTACACATTTCCATTTATGTGGAATCTCCAAAATAGGTAAAGACAGAAAGTAGATTCGTGGTTGCCAGAGTCTGGGGGAGGGGAAGGCGGGGAGTGACTGTACTCACCGGGTGCGGGGTTTCCTTTTGGGGGGATGAAAATGTTTCCAAGCCAGGTAGAGGTGGCAGCTGCATAACACCGTGAATGTGCCAAGTGTACTGACTTGTTCATTTTTAAATGGTTATGTTTATGATATATGAATTTGACCTCAGTTTTTAAAAATGACTTCCCAAAGTCTCACGGCTCATTATGGCACAATGAATATTTGAACCCCAGTCCACCTACCCACAGGCCCCTGCCCCGAACAACTGCCCTGTGCTGAATAGGAAGAGGTATCTTCGGGGCTTTCCAAGGGCCCATCCCCTGGGAGGCACACGGCTAACATTTGTTGATCAAAAACACTAATGGATCTGGAATACTTGCTCTCCAAAGCCTTCTATAATCGTCCATCACATATACCTTGAAACCCCGTGATGATCAACAGAACAATATTCATCTCAAAGCATCTCTAGTAAATTATTAACTCCTCTATCTCAGGGAACAGGTGTTCTAACACACAACTGTGTTTATAAGGTTCATTAGGACACATCTCACGCCTGCAGTGCTGATAGCTGCAACGGGAGAGTGGGGAGAAAGGAGGCCGATACCAGGGTGACCCTGGGAACAGACAGCGGATCTGCCCCAGCCCTTCACACTCACTGACCAATGGCAGCAGTGAAGTACATGGCGATCTCATCCGGAGTCAGAGCCCGCTCCCAGATGATGAACTCATCGAAAGCACCGTTCTCATAACACTTGGCCTGGTCCTGCTCAGACCCTATCACGAGGTTGACGTTGGACTCTCCATAGTCACGAGACACTTTTCCACTCGGATCAGAGGTGCTCAGGGTCCCGTTGACGTAGACTTTCAGGCCCTCCTTGGATTTCCATGTAAATAGGACATGAGTCCAATAGGGGCCTGGAAAAGAGTGAAGATCGCCATTCTGAGTACTGTGGGAATGAGCTCCCCATGCACAGGTTTTTCCTGTTTGTAGGCACATCCTTCTTTCTTAAGGTGATCAATCACTGTTAACTGTGGTGCGTCCTAATACAAGGTATAACACAGACCTGACTTTCCCCAGTCCTTTGGAGCACAGGAAGGATGTTATCTTTTTGTCCTTATGCCCTAAATTCCAGAAGCAGTTCAAGGAGACTCCTTGTTATTTTAACATAGTAGTTACAAATTCAAATGCCCACAAGCAAGTGTGATTAAAATATTTGAAAAATGGCAGGGCACAAGTGCCAACCAATCAGACCATAAGCTCAGTTAAGAAAAAATGGTCAGGAGCGAGACAAGGATGTCCCCTTTTACCACTCCTTTTTAACATTGTACTGAAAGTCCTAACTAATGCAATAAGGCAAAAAAGGAAAAAAAAGGAAATAAGAATATAAATATTGGGAAGGATGCAATAAAACTATATTTATTCACAGATGATGTGATTGTCTATGTAGAAAATCCAAAAGAATCAACAACAAAGCTGAAACTAATGAGTGAGCATAGCAAGATTACAGGCTACAAGGTTAATATACAAGTCAATTGCTCCCCATCTGCCAGCAACGAACAAGTAGAATTTACAATTAAAAAACACATTACCATTGTCATTGGTGCCAAAAAAGGAAAAAGAAATACATATATTATAACAATACATTTATAAGCTATATATAAAGAAAACTATATAACTCTGATGAAAGAAATTAAACAAGAACTAAATAAATGGAGAGATATTCCATATTCATGGACAGAAAGACTCAATGTTGTGAAGATGTCAGTTCTTCCCAAATTGATCTATATATTCAACACAATCCCAATAAAAATCTCATCAAGTTATTTTGTGGATATTGATAAACTATGGAGAAGGAAGAGAGCCAGAATAGCCAATACAATATTGAAGGAGAAAAACAACATTGGAGGAACAACACTACCCAATTTCCAGACTTACTATAAAAAGTTACAGTAGTCAAGACAGTGTGGCATTGGAAAAAAACAGATGAATAGATCTGTGGGACAGAATAAACAGCCCAGAGATAGACCAATAAAAATACAGTCAACCAATCTTTGACAAAGGAGAAAAGGCAGTACAATGAACAAACAGAACCATTTGTTGCAACAAATGGTGCTGCAACAACTGAATATCCACGTTCCAAAAAATAAAAAGAATCTTGGCCGGACGCAGTGGCTCACGCCTGTAACCTCAGCACTTTGGGAGGCCGAGGCAGGTGGATCACCTGAAGTCAGGAGTTCGAGACCAGCCTAGCCAACATGGCAAAACCCCGTCTCCACAAAAATACAAAAAATTAGCTGGGCGTGGTGGCAGGTGTCTGTAATCCCAGCTACTCAGGAGGCTGAGGCAGGAAGAATTGCTTGAACCCGGGAGGTGGAGGTTGCAGTGAGCCGAGATCGCCCCATTGCACTCCAGCCTGGACAACAAGAGCCAAACTCCATCTCAAAAAAAACAAAAAAAAAATCTTAAACCTGTCATAAAAATTAATTCAAAATGGACTATAGGTCTAATATAAAATGCAAAACTATAAAACCCTTAGAAGATAATATAGGAAAAACATCTAGATGACCTTGGGTTTAGTGATGACTTATTAGATCCAACACCAAAGGCACAATCCATGAAAGAAATAATTGACAAGCTGGACTTCCTTACAACTAAAAATGTCTGCTCTGTGAAAGACACTGTCAAGAGAATGAGAAGACAAGTCACGGATGGGGAGAAAATATTTGGAAAAGACATGATAAAGGACTATTATCCAAAATACACCCAAAAACTCTTAAAATTCAACAGTAAGAAAACAAACGACCCGCATTTTGGGAGGCTGAGATGGGAGGATCGCTTGAAGCCAGGAGTTTGAGACCAGCCTGGGCAACCAAGTAAGACCTCACCTGTACCAAAAAAAAAAAAAAACTAGTGAGACATGGTGGCACATGCCGGTAATCCCAGCTACTTGGGCAACTGAGGTAGGAGGATCACCTGAGCCCTGGAGTTAAACGCTGCAGTAAGCTGTGATTGCACCACTGTACTCCAGCCTGGATGACAGATCCTGTCAGAAAGAAAAAGAAAGAAAGAGAGAAAGAGAGAAGAGAGGAGAGAGAGAGTGAGAGAGAGAGAGAAGAGAAGAAAGAAGGAAGGAAAGAAGGAAAGGAAGGGAGCAAGGGAGGATGGAAGGCAAGAAGGAAGGAAGGAAGGGAGGGAGGAAGGGAGGGAGGGAAAGAAGGAAAAGAGAGAGGAGGGGAAGAAGAAAGGGAGGAAGGAAAAAAGAAAGAAAAACAATCCAATTTTTAAAATGGGCGAAAGATCAACCTCACCAACCCATAGAATGTACAACACCGAGAGCAAATGCTAATGTGAACTATGGACTTTGGGTGACAATGATGTGTCACTGTAGGTTCATCACATGTAACAAATGGATCATTCTGGTGGGGGAATGTCCATAGTGGGGGAAGCTGTGCCTGTGTAGAGGCGGAGGGTAATGGGAATTCTCTGAACTTTGCACTCAATTTTTCTGTGAATCTAAAACTGTTCTAAAAAATAAAATCTATTAAAATCTAACAGCAATACAGGCACTCCATGGCGCCCACCAACCCAGTCTGCAGAGGCCAGGGAGCGGGTAAGCACAGTAACGAGCTTTCCCTGAGGACGTGGCTTCTGTGCTGACTGCAGTGCGTGGAAGGGCGGCTGCCCCATCACGAGGTGGCCCCTACTCACCTCCCCCATCAGTAACATGAGAGATGAAGAGCCTGCCTTGCCAGTCTTTTTATTTCCAAAAGAAATTGGAAAATCTTAATTTTAAAATAAAATCATAACTAATGATCGTAAATCATTCCAAATATTTTTCTTACAAACTTGGCCTAGGCAATCACAATATAGGACCATAAAACCCATCTGAGGACCCAACTCAGCCCACAGGCCATTGGCATCAGCCTGTGCTCTAAGCGAGGGCGTATAATGTTAACCAACATGGGAGTGAGTTGGTAGAGGGAAGACCAACCTCCCTGCTCATTCAGGAACCTCCATCAACCAGCATTTGTGTTACTCTTCTCTCTGGCACAAGAACCACGCTCATCAACAAGAATGTTCATCAGACTTTGACTGTTGATTCCCCCACAAAGGTTCCCTTTGTTCTGCCAGCATGTGTGGTAAGCTGTCCTCCTGAGCTTGCTGCTGGAAGGAACAGGGCAGCCCTTTTAAAGGACACACATCACCTCTAGCCAGCTATGCATCTTAGATCACCCAGAATGACATCAGGGCTTCTTGCTCAAGATTGTGCAACTTTCTGATAATTTTGAGTCTCTGGAGCACGCTTGGACCCTAGGTTGGTCCAAAGTATTATTGCCCCTGAGTTTGAAAGTAAGAATAACAAACGCCTTCAATGCACAAAAGAGAGCACATTGCCAGCCAGAAGTGTTTCTAATTCTCGCCCTTTCCCTGGGTGGAAAAGCAGCCAGAGTTGAGCATACTTTACCTTTGTTCAAGGTCAAAGAACCTAATGGATGCCTGAAACCACGTTCCACCAGCCCCAAGGAGCAGAGAGATAAGCTGCTTACAATCGGACTCTGATAGCAAGTGGAACAGGAAGGTCACGGAAAAGGTTCAGATGGTTCTGTGTCAGGGGAGGGAGGCAGAGATTATTTCTGACCTTAGGGATCACAGAGGGCAAATTTGAAGTAGATGTTTGCTGAACTGCCCCACTTTACAGAGGTGGAGGTACAAGCTGGTCCGAGCACACCGAGCATCCACAGAAGAAGGCAAACACCTTCTGGGCCCACTGTGCCATCATTCCACGCTTTATGCCTAGCAGCCCACTTAGTTCTCACAGTCACCCTATGATGTGATACTGCTATTACTGCCATATTATGAATGAGGAAACTGAGGCATAGGGCAGTTAGGGAAGGTGCCCAGGTTCACACAACTACCAACGTCCAGAGGCGGGATTTGATCCAGCCTGTTTGGGTCCAGAGTTCACGCTTTTTAATAACTGGGCCATGCAGCCTCCCTTAAGAATGAGCCAGAAAATGGATTTCCCTTAAATACATCAAAGATGTTTCCTACCGGAGGAGATCATCCTAGGCTTTTGTGCTGCCCCCTCCACCTCTGCCCTTCCCTTGTTGGGCTCCAGTCCTGACTTGGCCCCCACTCCATGCCACCCTGAGTCCTTCTGTGTCCCCAGCCACCTGTTCCCCTTCTCCAGCTTCCACTTCAGACCTTCGTCAGCCTCTGCAGCCTACTGCCCCACGTCCATGTCTCAACACCCACCTGCAAACTCAGCCAATGTGCAGGGACTCCTGTTCTCTTCCCACACATCCAGGGCCCCTCCCTCCTCCAAGACCACGCACAGTCCAGTGCTTCATGCGCTCTCCCCTAGCCCCTTCCTCTGCTCCCCGATTCTTCAGCCTCTCTCTCCAAAAGCTTCTTCTCGTCATGCTTTAAACAATTTCAAGTCTATACCACTAAGAAGAAGGAAGAAGAGGAGGGGGAGGAAGAGAAAGAGGAAGAGACAAAGACTGTGAGAGAAAAAGGAGGCAGATGAGGAGGAAGAGGGAAAATGAGAAGGAAAAGAAGGAGAAATGTAACCACTGCTTGCACTTTGCACACCATATCTTCAGCTTAATGTCCTGGAAACCGTGAGGTAAGTACTGTCAATATCATCTGCACATCACAGGTGTGATCACTGAGGTCAGTGTGGTCAGGTAACCTACAGCAGGCACACAGTGCACGGGCAGACGGAGCCCAGGCTCTGCACCAACCAAAGGCGGCTTACCAAGGGCACCTCCTTGCCTCTCCCCATGCACCTCCCCAACAACCCTTAAAGGAAAGGAGCTCGGGTGCCAGGAGGCAGCAGCATCCCTGGGCTCCTTGGGCTGCGTTGGGCTTCTCAGCGTCCATTCTCAGAGAAGACTCCACTCCTCCAGGCAGAGCCTCCCGGGACCGATGCTGTCACTCACCTGGGGGGCTGAAGGAGGCCTCCCATGTCATGGAATTGTCCCGCGTATACAGCTCCACAGAGCCTCTGCCACCGCTGGAGCAGACTTTGAACCCATTGGAGATGACCTGTCCCCCATACGCAGAAGGGATTGGTCTAGACTGTTCTCCTTGTGTCTTCCAGAAAAAAGAAAACGTGACCCCTGAGGAAAGTCACAAGATCAGTTATTCACAGAGAGCAGGGGACTTGACTTCTCGCAAGCACATGGTTCTCTTTGCTTTTTATTTTTCATTCGAAAAGCATTTTGTCCCCATTCTAAAGGCAGTGTATGTTCAGTTCAGAAAATCCAGACAGTGATATTTGCTCATGTTTATTAAGGGCTCACACAGTGCCAGGCACTTTTCTAGGAGTTTGAAATGAATTCTCGCCTTTTAAAAAGTACAAAAATCCTGCTTCATCCCCACTATACAGATGAAGGAACTGAGGCTCATTCACTCAAGGTCACCAGTGACTGATGAAGATCGCTGCAGCCCCAGGCAGTTCCCCGCCCCCACTCCCCGGGATCATGCAAATGTGAAGACCTACACCCTCCAGGTTTCTCTCCTATTCCTCCAGAAATGTGGTTAGGGCGGCTCCTTCCTAAGCCTCTTCTATAAATAGATTTTACAAAGACACGAACCATCTCAGGCACACTGGTTTATAAACAACATTTCTATAAAGTTTACTCCACCGTGAACTTCCTCCGATGTCCATAAATACACTGTCACGTTGTCACTTTTATGTCTGCACAGCGGCGCATTCTAAACAAGCACCACAGTCTTTTTTTTAAACAGCAATCCCCTGTTGCTGGATCTTAAGGTTTTCTTCCACTTTTTGAAGAAATTTTCAAACAGAACTTGAAGCAAATTCTTTTGCATATCTCAGACTATATGCCTTTAGGATACATTCCCAAGAGGGCATTTCTTGCCAAAGGGAAGCACACTTTTAAGGTTGTTGATATCTTCAATTGTTCATTTCCCGCAGTTGGATACAGAGGGGGCAGCAGCTGAAACCTTTTTCAAGACTCTAGTCTGCACATTCGTGGTAAGTCCTGACCCCAGGCCCACGCTGCGGGGGAGGAGGGATTGCACCTGGACTAAATGGTCTGAGCGACGCATGTTAGCATGAATGAGCTGGCTCATTAGTTCATGTTGCCTCCGCCACCAGCAGCAGATAGGACATACCTCAAATGTGTTGTGGCAGTATATTACAGTAAATTATGACAATTAGATATTGTACCTTTGTGGGTGCAAAGTCCTACTGTGATCAATGTAAACATGGAAAAACAATGTAATTTTTATGATCCTCATGTGGGATTTCTCCATGTTTTTACTATAAGAGGAACTGCAGGCCGGGCGCGGTGGCTCACGCCTGTAATCCCAGCACTTTGGGAGGCCGAGGCAAGTGGATCACCTGAGGTCAGGAGTTTGAGACCAGCCTGGCCAGCATAGTGAAATGCCGTCTCTACTAAAAATATAAAAATTGGCCGGGTGTGGTGGCATGCACCTGTAGTCCCAGCTACTCAGGAGGCTGAGGCAGGAGAATTGTTTGAACCACGGAGGCAGAGGTTGCAGTGAGCCGAGACCACGCCATTGCACTCCAGCCTGGGCAACAGAGCAAGACTCTGTCTCAAAAAAAAGAGGGTCCAGGCATGGTGGCTCACGCCTGTAATCCCAGCACTTAGGGAGGCCGAGGCGGGTGGATCATGAGGTCAGGAGATCGAGACCATCTTTACTAACATGGTGAAACCCCGTCTCTACTAAAAATACAAAAAATTAGCCAGGCGTGGTGGCAGGTGCCTGTCGTCCCAGCTGCTCAGGAGGCTGAGGCAGGAGAATGGCGTGAACCCGGGAGGCAGAGCTTGCAGTGAGCCGAGATTGTGCCACTGCACTCCAGCCTGGGCGACAGAGCGAGACTCCGTCTCAAAAAAAAAAAAAGAGGAACCGCAAAAGCCCAGCTCCTGAGCATGCCCCGCACCCACCCCGACCGCTGTTCTGCACTCACACCCACTGGTCTGGGGGCCGGGCTCTCTGCTGAAGGGGAAGTCAGGGCAGGGCCTGGCTGGAGGCTCTGTGGAGCTTGGGCCTCTCTGGCGTTGCATTTTGGAGCTCTGGTTGTCTCTATTCCACTTCTCTGCCTCCAGTAGCATCTGCCCACCTGGCCCTTCTTTGTGTGTAAACTCCAGTGTGTGTGTGTGTGTGTGTGTGTGTGTGTGTGTGTGTGTGTGTGAGACACTAGCTGCCTGTCTGGATTCTGCCCCTGACAGCTGGAAATACATCCAGCTGCCTCACCCCCGCCAAGCCTGGCCCAGGCACATGGGTAAGAGGGTTCAGTGGTGCTGAGAGAGAACACGTGCCCAGAACTGGTCCAAAGAGGCCCATGATGGGACGGTGGGTGCAGGGGAGAGGCAGAAGGATATTTGCCCTGGGCTTTATTTCTATAAATGGTGCCAAATTTAGACTTTAGACCTTACCTTCACATGAGGTTATGGACACAGTCTTAGAGAGTCACTGAATTCAAAGAAGACATTTGTCATTCGTGTATAAGGCAGTGTCTCATTGCCCACCATGCTTTCTGTGATGCCTTATGAATTAACATATCTGTTAGAAGTCCTTCAAATGTCTTGTGACAATATATCAAGACAACTATACCTTTGTGAGTTCAAAGCCCTCGCAGGATTCAGGAAAAACACAGCATACATTTTATAACCCTGGTATGGAATTTCCCCATTTTATTTTTTAAGAGAAGAAGAACCTCAAAAAAATTGGAAGAGGCCTGGACCTTTCTGGACCTCTGAGAGGCTACGGGGTACAACTCCAAGCCCTGCGGCATCTGTCCTTAGGGCTCCTGGGAAAGAAAACAGCCTTCCCGAGTGCCCAGTAATGTGGGTTACCGCAAAAGGGTGCGACTGTGGGGGTTGCACAGAGGCCTGGGGCAGCTGACGCTGGTGTCCCCAGACCTGGCTGGCACCACCCACACCCACCTCATGAACGGGCTTCCTGCAACACCTGCCTTGGGCGCTGAGGGGTACAGAAGCCAGGACAACCCCCCGAGCCTCCCGCCACTTCCCTGCCTTGGGCGCTGAGGGGTACAGAAGCCAGGACAAACCCCCAAGCCTCCCGCCACTTCCCTGCACACTCAGAAACAACCCGTTTCACAAGGAAGTCAGCACAGTGCGTTGTGAAATTTTTGTTATGAAACAAATTCCCAGTAGGATTCATGGAAGTTAATTTTTTCCAAAAACTTTGCTGCATTTTAAAATTTCTTTCACTCAATTCAAAATGAGCCTGTCTTGGCCAAATGTCTTTCTGTTCAGGAAGAAAAATAAAAATAAAAAAATTCCATGTGGTGTTAGGTAAGGGTAGATCGAAGGCCATCCATGGTGCCGGTAACCAAGCTTTTCATTTAGTTAACTCAACGCACAAAACAATGACTTCTACCTGAGCAACAGCTTATATTTAAGTATCAATTCACGTCTTCATAGAGTCATAACAAATTCACAATGTGCCTTCCATATTAGCCTTTTAAGGAACTTTGCCTCATGGAGTTGGGCCATCAATACAACAAGGAAAAATCTGAAGGAAAAAGAAACAAGCACAATATTGACAAACTAATTTGATAATTTTTTCTTGTTATAAGCACTGAATCCTAAAACATCCAAAAAATAAAATGAGGAAAGATCTTTTTTGACAAGACAAAAAAAGGAAAAATAAAAATCTAGGAGTCATAAGAAAAGACTAATAAATTTAAGTGCATAAATATAATATTCTGCAAGGCAAAAAAAATTACCGTAACAAACTCAAAGACAGACAACCATCCAGGGAAAGAATATTTGTCACAGATTTACTAGATGAGAAGTTAATTCCCTTCATATGTAGAGACCACGGCATAAGACAAAGGATGATTTCTAGCAGGTGAGGAGAACTTATATGGGCTGAGGTTAAATCCTCCCAACAACCTGTGAACTAGGGGTCATTACTGTCCCCATTTCACAGGGGAGAAAACTGAAGCACAGGGAGGTGCGGTAACTTGCCCAAGGCCACACAGCTGGTCTGGGACGAGTCAGGATTTGAACCCAGGCAGCCTGGATCTGGAGTCTGCGTTTGTAATCACTGTGCTGTGGCTCCCGCCCTTCCCTTGGAGATCATGCATGCAGCTGCCCTTCCCAGGCCCACAGACTCAGCACCCTGCAAGAGCATGATCAACACATGCCAACAAAGCAGCGGCCCAGGAGGGCGCGAGGTTATACAGGCATGCGGGCCCGCCTGGCGTCTGTACCCACACCCCAGTCACCACAGACCACACAGCTGAAGGCTGACTCGGGCTGGGCCTATCAGAATCACCAGGACTGACCCAGGCATGGGCAGGCTCACCTGACAAAACCAGAACTTGGAGCTTCTGAGCGGATGCTGCTCCCACACCAGGAAAGCAGCCTTGAGAACAGAGCTGGAGCAAGGCAGGGACAGGGTCTGATGGCCGTTCTGGCACCCGGACCAGCCTGTGGCCCACCACGTTTCCCAAAGAGCCACGAGGATGCGCGTCCCATACGCTTTCACGCAAGACTCAGAGCCCGTTTCCCGGCTGCCTCATGGGCCCTGTGCCTGGTGTGGCCAGGAGGAGACACTCGTTTGCATATCGAGCCTTTAAAATTCTCACTCCACACCCCCACCCCAAAGCCCCACTCTAATCGCTTCCTGAAATGACTGGGGCTGTAGGACACCCACTTTCCCCATGGGAATAAGAAATTCTTCCCTTTCCCCTTTCCCTGCTCCTCTAACAAAGCCACACGCAGGCCATCCTGGGGAATGGCCACCACCTTCAGTCACAGCGACAGACAGCAGAGAGTCCTGCAGGCTGAGGAAAACTGGAAAATGCTGGCCCTGCCTTAAGGGGCAGTCACTCCTTACCCCTGACCAACTGCTGCCAGTGGGGTGCAGGGGAGCAGTTCTCATATTTTAAGAGAAGTCAGAAGTGTAGATTTTTAAATGAAATTTTCCCATATATAAAGGTTGAATTTTTTTGAGACAGTGTCTTGCCCTGTGGTCCAGGCTGGAGTGCAGTGGTGCAATCATGGCTCACTGCAGGCTTGACCTCCTGGGCCCAAGTGATCCTCCCACCTCAGCCTCCTGAGTAGCTAGGATGACAGGTACACACCACCTCGCCCTGCTAAATTTTTTTTTTTTTTTTCATTGAGACAGGGTCTTCCTGTGGTGCCCAGGCTGGTCTGAAACTCTTGGGTTCAAACAATCCTCCTGCCTCGGCCTCCTAAAGTGTTGGGATTACAGGTGTGAGCCACTGTGTCCTGCCAGAATTGAATGTTAATTTTAAAAGAAAAACACTGAAAGCACCGGGAGAAATTCCATTTCTGGAAACCTCGTGGGCTGGGGTATTTGGATCCACCCACCTGGCAGGAGACAATGTAGAAAGTCTCACTCTAAAAACAGAAGATCAACACGGCGCCCACCAAACCAAGCACGTATAGTCAGCCGCGGATTCCGGGATGTGGTATCACATGAGTTGCGAGAATCACCTGGAGAGACTGGCTAAAAATGCCGATTCCCAGGCCTTGTCCACTGAGACTCAGAATCAGCACGTCCTGGTTGGGGCCTGGGAACCTGCAGTTGCTGCCACCCAGGGCCTACGAGCTGTACTTGGAGATACACTGTGCCACAGCATCGTGGCAGCTCAGGCTCATCTTGCATCCTCTCTGGGCCTCAGTTTCCCCATCTGTTCAAGGAGTGTGCTGAATGAATGCTTCTCTGAGGATCATCTGCTCCACAGGCCTCCAAGCCCCCTGACCCCAGATCGCCTGAGTAAGAGAGTAGCTAGATCCCTGCCAGGCCCGTGTCCCCCAGGCCCCTCTGGAAATTTCTATCCTAAAACTCCACCTGCAAGTATCTTAGCAAATTGTTGACAGCGTTTTAAATTTAGGAAACAAATGCAAAGGGGGAAAAAGTCAACTCAAAGCTGAGAAGAGGGAAATGGCCGTGCGGAGATGCTCCAGCTGCTGCCTCGGGACCTCAGCAGCCTCTCTGGGGTTTATAAGCAGAAGAAGTTCTTAATGCATGTGAGGAAAAAGCAAAGGAAACATTCACAGAGGGAGGAAGGTGAAGCTGAGGGGCTAATCGGGGAGGCTGCCTTTCCCAGGAGCTGCCAAAGCCATTCACAGGAGAGCTGGAACTAGAAGCAATGGGCCGAAGTTACTCGAGACGGAATTTAGCCCAATATCAGAAATAACACACTAAAAGTCAGAGGAGTCCAATAGCGGAATGGGCTTCTTTTTCTGCCGTTGTCTGTGTTTTTACTTGTTATATCAAATAACATCATCTTAACCGACACAGCAATAAATCAGAGGTAGAAATGAGAGTAAGCAAGGAAGAATTACCTAATAATCTGCACCTTGATGCTGGAAATGACCTTTTTTGGATTTTATGCAATCAGTTCCCTTTCATTTAACTTTATTATGGTCACAGACTTCACATGAGATCTACCTCCTAGCAACATGCTTGAGTGTCCAGTCAGTATTGACTATAGGTTCAATGTAGGGGAAATGATTTCTCTAGGAGTCGTGAATGGCCCTTGTTCAGTATTCAAGTGAAGGTGCAGCAAACCCTGGATGGAGATGCATTCAGTGTGCAGTATCTATGGTGTGCCAGGCACTGAGAACTCATCACTGGCCAAGGCAGACTCAGTCCTCGTCCTCACTGAGCTGAAGACCAAGTAAGGGAGACGGAAGTGACAGGCCATCGTCGGCCGTGCAAGTTGTGGGAAGAAATGTAGGGGGAGCAATAAGGGCATGAGA
This sequence comes from Homo sapiens, assembly GCF_000001405.40. Taxonomy (NCBI): domain Eukaryota; kingdom Metazoa; phylum Chordata; class Mammalia; order Primates; family Hominidae; genus Homo; species Homo sapiens. Next base: position 130,975,244 of record NC_000012.12, on the reverse strand, counting down.
CAGAGGAACTCACCTGGACTGGAGCTCATCCCCGTAAAGTTTACACTTGAGCTGAGCCTTCAAGGTCTCCAGGTAGGTGAAAGAAGGTGCCAGAACATTCCAGCAAGTGCCCCTTCCTATTTTCAGCTTCCCCACCTGTGTGCTCACTGGTCAGGGGAGTTGAAAGACAGAATCCTGAGTATTGAGGGAACAGACTGTGTTTTCTAAGCTTAACATTCAAGAATGGCCAGGGATCCAAACAGCCTTTTTCTCTCCAATGTCCTCCAAAGCTTGCCCCATTAGCAGCAAGTGACCTTAAGAACATGTCCCCAGAAGGCACCATTTGCCAAAAGACAGGACCCACAGTAGCTCCTAGAATGAAGGCAGGCAGACAAGCAGCAGAGAGGCTCTGGAAGAAGCAGGGGTGGAGGGAGGGCCGGGAGCGGGGGTCCGGAGCAGGGCCACAGCAGGGACCTCTGCCTTCTATGGGCACCCTCGGGGGACAGCCACATTTCTCAGCATCAACCCTGTCCCCTAAAACATTATTTGTTAAAAAATCGCTGAAAATATGAACAGAGACCACATCAGGATTTGGAAATCAGAAATATAAAAGCAGTGGGCCTGTTAGGCAGGGGCTGGAGAGCATTTCTCTATTTAAGCGTTGTTTTTCGTTATAAGAATAACAGGTTATAAGTTTGTGCCCACACCAATAAGTGTGGCGGAGGACTCGCTGAACACATCTGAAAAGGCTAATTCAATGCTTCCCACGTTCTAATCATTCACAATTTTTATGAGATCTGAATAACACCTGAATTATGATTATTAGGGAATATTTTCCTTTAAATCTACCCATTTTTAAAGCTCAATGCTCACTGAAGTCTCCTCTTAAATAATATATGTGAAAACTCGTTTCTGATGCGCCCAGTATATTAAAATAAAAACATAACCATTGATTTTTGTTTTAGTTGCTCCAGGTGCCCCCTGAGAAGGCCTCCTCTGCCTCCTGCTACAGGGACTTTAATTTGGAAAATGCTGGGCAGGTCTTCCCTGTTCACGGCTTGTTTTCCCGCACACAGAAGTACAAGCTCATCAGGGCCCCAGGAGAATCCGCCTGAGCCAAGGATACAGCAGAGGAAAGCGGGAAAGGCATGCCATGGCCCTCGCACAGGCTCATGGCCCGGTCACCTTGTGAGGCTGAACTCAAGACCCAGGGGGGCACAGTGAGAAATGCCCCACCTACCCTCTGCGTCTGCATCAGGCCTCACGAGAGCAGCCTCTCACCGAGCCAGCGTTGATTGAAGGTTTCCTGACTTTGTTTCCTTTCTTTTCTTTTTCTTTAAGTTAGAGACAAGATCTCACTGTGTTGCCGAGGCTGGTCTCGAACTCCTGGGCTCATGCAATCATCCTGCCTCTGCCTCCCAAAACACTGGGATTACAGGTGTGAGCCACCGCACCCCCGGTTTATATCTGGCCATGCTCTAAAGAAAGTGGCCACATGAACAGTATCTTAAAAGTTCTGCTTAACCATGACACAAAAGAAATTGTCAACAGCGGGACATGAAGCCCGAGTTCATGGCTCTTTCTTCACCCATGTTCTTGTGTGTCTCATGTTGGGGGCATGAAATGAGTGAATACATGTTTGGGATTAGACCAAGGATTGGTGCAGAGTCGGGGCTCAACAAGGGTATGCAGCTATTATGATCAGTTCAACCACAACGGCCCGTCTGTCAGAAGTCACCCTCCAAGCAGGCAAAGTGGTGTTCTTAGAAAAGATACCCTAGTGATGAAGGGGAAGTTTGGAATCATGGACACATGAGCGATAAACCCAAAAGGCCTCCCGACAGCTGGACCAACCACATGCCAGGAACATGCTGTAATAGTTCTTCCAGTCTTCACAGCAACTGTATGGGAAGGTCCTTTTATTCACTCACTTTACAGATGAGGCTTTTCAAAGGGAAGCAGTGGTTGCCCAAGATCCCCACAAACAGGTCGGAACCGGAAGTGGAACCCACGCCTTCTGGCCCCAGAGCTCATGCTGCGGACAGGCTCTGTTCGACCTGAAGATTATTGAAGAGTCGAGAAGTCTGGTGGGGACTGAGGGGAACTGGAGACGGAAGTCCAGGGCCACCGCGACTTAGCTCCAGCCAGCCAGAGAAGTCAGGAGAGATTTATCAAGAAAAACTGGAAATCTGTGGAAATTTCCTATTTTTCAGTGTTGACAGCTAATTTTAAAATTTTAACCCGATGCCCGTCCAACCGAACACAGCCACAGGCCAGAATCAGCTCAAAGGCCTCTCATGTGTGACCTCGGCGTGCAGATAAAACTTGTCCAGTAGCTCTGATTTCCCGCTGGTCCCATCACTGTCTCCTTTCTTGGGTTCATTATCTGTGATAGTCCCAGGCATTGGAACCCCTGGCACCTGCACCATCCTTGTCCTCAAATGAGATCAATTCCAGTGTGGTTGCTGGAGCTTTCTGGATGCCTCTACTCCAAAGAGAAGCCGTTCTCTAGAAACCCAGAAAAAGCCACCACAGATATGCCCCCGCCCTTCCCGAATCCAATGCAAGGAAGGAGCACATATTACTCTCCCGTCCTCCTCGCCCCTGCCACCGAGCTCACGCCGAGCCCATGGTTGTTTTTTACTTTGTAAAAATAAATAAGCCTGGGATGTTTATGGAGCTGCTTGAACTCAGGAACAGCATAAACTATGAGTTTGTAAACCTGACCGTGGTTTTGGGCCTCATAACCATTGCTCAAAATTCTGGTTTCCACAAAGCCCAAGATGTGTCCTCCCACATGTTTTTGCCTTGCTAAGCTGTTGTTTATTTTTACTGGAACAAAGTCCATTTTGTCCTACAATCATGTACAATGAACTCATCACAGAAGGCCATCTGATGTCCAAAATGCCTTAGAGCTTCCTACGAGGACTGCATTAAGCTTTGTTCCTCCCTAGAAATCATAACTTTCATTTTGCCTAGGAGAAAGGAACTTGAAGGCTCCAAGCTGGTTTGGAAGGCAGAGAACAATTTCCCAGAAAATTTGCAATGTGATCCAGACGTGCATTGCCTGAAGCCTAGATACGAGAGAGCAGGTTACACTTCACACGGTAAAAGCAAACGAAAGCAAGTCGATTGCCAGTTTTTCTTTTGCATCTCTGCTCTGTCCATGGCATGACTTTAGCCACAAGCCTGCGACCGCTTGCCGGGACAGTTCGAGCCACTGCCCAGCCCCTCTCGATGAATGTAAAAGAACCAAAACCAGGCGCAAGTGTTCTTGGGTATGCCCTGCCCGCTCACCGTCAACATCCCAGAGCCAGAAATCACACTGCAGGTGCCATGCCATCAATTTCCTTCCCACAAACGCCACGGCCCTGTCCAGTCCCCACTGTGACATCGCTGTGTCTGTTTTTTAGGAAGGTTTTTTTTCATCCTTTACAAGATTAAGTATTTTGATCTCACATCTCTGTAAGAGGATGTTATAACTTCCAGCCACCAGGACAAGTCTCTGCTTAGTAACCTCCTTGCCTGTATTCCTCCCTCCCCTGCCCTCCGATCCATCGTTGACATTCTCACGCATTCTGCAATTGATGAGAACCTCAGGTTCACATCTTCCAGTCACCAGAGGAGCAGGTGCTCCCTGAGAATGAAATGCTTGACAAAGATGCCGCAGGGATCAGCCACTCACCTTCAGGGCCACACTGCTCTGGCTTGCTGATGCAGGAGCTGTTGTACCTGCCGTAATAGAGAAGCGTGACTCCCTTTTCCTCTTTCAGGTAAATGCCTTTGTTGACCTTCCCTTCCACAATATCTAAGGAAGAAAAATGACAACATCATATGTTAATAACCTTCCGAGATTAAAAGTCTGAAGATGTGTGTCAGACCTACAAATAACTTATGTGTAAGTATGCATTATTATTTATCTAAGTATATATTTATAACATCATATATTATTCTATGATAATATTCATAGCATCAGTAATATTATTAGTAATTAAATTGTAAATTATTAATGTGTATGTCAGATAAAAATTTAATATTAAATGATATTAATGTATTTGTATATAATATGCATGTATTATATACAAATGCATACAGACCTTTGCATATGGATTTCATATTGCATATCATATCGTATGATGATGTGATAATTGTGATATTTGCCAACAGATGGGTTACCAAGCGTGGCGTGGCGACCGCCTCCTGTCCTGGACTTTGTGCCGACCTGCTTTTCGAGCCCTCCCCACTCCCGTCCTCATGCTGAGTGTTCCAAGTGGAACGTTTCAGTGCAAGTGTGAACGTGAAGCTACAGCTGAACTCCTTCTCCTTTTGAGTTTTAATTGAAATCCCCTGAACCTGGACAGGTAGATTCGGGATTTTAGCAGAACCCATTTTCAGGCGCCAGGAGGAAAACCCCGAGCAACATTTTGCATAGTCCCAGGAGAGCCTGTGGGTGACAAGCCCAGCTGGCCGCAAATCCCGAGGGGCACTGCCCCGTCCAATCATCTTGTGTCCCGTTCCCATGGCCAGGGTATCTGATGGTGAGTGTGTGGGGTAAATCGTTTACAGAATAAATAAGTGAAGACTGTAAAAATCAGGAGCGAGTAGGATTTACTGTTAACTGGGGTCATAATCGCTCAGAGATCTTTGCTACCACATGGGTCAGGGAGAATGTCTGAGCCCCCGGCAGCCGTCAGCCCAGCTGAAGACACACGGGAGAGCTAACAGGGTCTGTGGACCTGACCCCAACCCCAGCTCAGGCTTTCCAGCTATATTGTCACATGGATAACCGACTCAAGGGACCTCAGTGTTTTTCCTTACTGCTTTTAAACTCATTTTTAAATTTTATCCCATTTTTGCTGAGGGACACCTATATATTGCAAGGTTAAATGGATCACTAGTGGTTGCGTAATTGAGCTAGGCTGTATAAACCCCTAAGTCAGACTGCTTGACTGGAAACATTAATTTTGGAAGCCAATCACCTTACAGTTGAAAGAGCAGTCAGTTTTTGTGTTGAAAAGGATCACAGGGTAAGATTGACAGGGTCAGAACTGGCTTCTATGCTGATCTAATAAATGCCTCAGTTGCTACTACCCCTTTTGCTTTGAGCTTCATGTTGAGCCATGTAGGCTCTGGAGGTTATCAGATAAGACAATAATTTAACTATGATTCTTGTGGGTATATGTTTCACAAACAGCTTTTAATGATTTTTTTAAAGTCCAGCTACAGACGAAATGCTGATTTTAATGTTTATAAGAAATCAAATGTTTGATGAGGTATTTTTAAATTAACTTTAATTTTCCATTAAAATGGCATGCTTTTCCTCCCCCAAAGAAGACAATTCATTTAAAAATCCAAACAATCTCTATGTCTAGAAAAGGTCTCATCTTGGGTCTGTTTTGTTCTGAAAACAAGCAGCTGGCTTAGACAATCCTGGGAACTTGAAAGAATATATATACCTTCTAGTGCAGTGGTCCCCAGCATTTTTGGCACCAGGGACCGGTTTCATGGAAGACAATTTTTCCATGGATGGGTTGGAGAGGTTGGTTTCGGGATGATTCAAGTGCATTACATTTATTGTGCACTTTATTTCTGTTATTATTATATTACAATATGTAATGAAATAATTGTACAACTCACCATCACGTAGAATCGGGGGAGCCCTGAGCTTATTTTCCTGCAACTAGACGGTCCCCTCTGGGGGTGATGGGAGACAGTGACAGATCATCGGGCATTAGATTCTCATAAGGAGCATGCAACCTAGATCCCTCACATGTGCAGTTCACAGTAGGGTTTGTGCTCCCAAGAGAATTTAATGCTGCTGCTGATCTGACAGGAGGTGGAGCTCGGGCGGTAATGTGAGCGATAGGGAGCAGCTGTAAATACAGGTGAAGCTTCACTCACTCACCCACCACTCACTTCCTGCTGTGCAGCCCAGTTCCTAACAGGCTACGGATTGCTGCCAGTCTGTGGCCCAGGGACTGGGGACCCCTGTTCTAATGTATTGCAATCTTCCTTTAGACTTAACCCTAGTGGTTATTTTTTAACACCTTGGATCTGCTGTCTTGACTGGGACATTTGCTCACTTGCTAGCCAAGACATAGTGAATTCAGATACTACCAAACAGAATTGGCCTTAGAATTCATCGTAGATCCAAACTTGACAGAACGAAGAACAAAAGTACATAAATGCTCACCTACAGTTGCAGAGAGATTTGAGTAGGCAGAATCATTGGAATACACAAAAGTAGCATTACGGGAAGGAAGCACAGTGAGCTTGTGGGTTCGGGACGCTGGGTGAAACAACAAAAAGAAAAAGCACAGCAAGTGAGTGAGACAAAAGACAAATGGGACCAACATATCTCTCAACCTGCAGCAGGCACCAGGAGGGGCTCTTTCATCCAAGAGCACCCTGGACTTTCTCTTCGGACCTCACATCCCCCAGCCTCCACCACCCTTGTTTACTTTGGTCAGCAGCTCGGCCACTCCAGTGGCCCCACTCAGTTCCCACACCAGGGCGTGATGGCTGCTGAATTTGGCCGCAAGCGATAGTTCTAATTTTCTGGCTCCAACACATAGGCAGATACTTAGTTGAGAGATATGAAATTGAACTTGGCCACTCATAACACAGGCTCAACAAAAGGATGAATGGTTATGATGTCACAAGAACTGATGAGACAGACACTCTGCATGAAAATGACTGCGTGAGATGATGACAAATGGACAAAACGACGGAGAGTTCGGCAACAAACGACAAAGCCGCACATCCTCAAAAGGCTTGCCAAAGCTATTCACCTGTTCCCCGCAGCAAAATGTGCTGATGGGGTCTATTCTTTTCTTTTCTCCCTTAAGAAGGCTGTAATCAATTCAAATATGCCAGCATAGCATTACAACCTAGAGAATGCATCCAGTAGGGAAGTGCAGAGAAACCTTCCACATTGCAATGTTCCAGGACTAACACGGATATATTAGTGCTTTACTGGAAGTCAATATATTCAGGGAGCAAAATTCAGCCACAGTGTGTAACTGTATCTGTGTGAATATATCACCTTAGGAGAAGAATTTTTCATAGGTAAAGGTTTCAAAGCACCAAGAGTTACTGATTTAAGCCACCACAATGAGTTCAGGTATAGGGGTGAAGAGAGAAAGACACTGACAGTTATTCAAGCTTTTGTTTGAAAAAACTCCTAGCATTTTAGTTGCTGGGTCCTGGAACAGTGAGCTGTTTCAAGAAGGCATTTCCACTTGGTGAAATGACCCCCTTTCCATGGCTTTAAAATAAAGGCCTTGAAAAAAGAAAACTGGATGCCAACAAGGGAACGTGGTTCGTTTGAACCCGAGCCAGTGGTGAAACAAACTTGCACAAGGGCTTTCTCAGCCCTGCCAGGCCGACCCTTTGGAAAAGACATCTGGCTGTAGGGTGGTTTCCAAATGTGGCCATGTTGCTGCCCTACAGGCAGGCGGATGAGAGCGATGCTGGGCAGGGAGCGCGTGGCACCCACGCAGGTGCCCTTCACGGAGCGCGTGCTCCTCAACGGCGCCCCAGTCTGAGAACACCAGCAACAGAGGCAGCACCGATGGGTCTCAGTTTGCAAATTTTAAGGAAACATTTCAGAAGCTTCAGCGGTGATGTCCAGCAACACATTAAATCACAGGAGTAAGGAAAATGCCAGTGTGTCAATGTGGAAATCACAGTCACCAGCAATACATGGTTTTAAAAATAAAACGCCTCCCACGGAACAGGGACGACCGAAGCACGTGCTAGGATTGCTGTACGGTAAACCCTCGCCGCCCATGTCAGCCATCTGACATGATCAAGAGCAATCAGTAAATAAAAATAAAAATGGAAAACTGTCATACAAAGCTTACGGTTTTTAAAAAGTCCTTATTAGAAAGGGGAAAAAAATACCCAGAAAGATGTGAGGTTTCTCCTACCAGCAAATGTCTGAATGAACTCAAACAGACTATTTGGAATTGGGCCTCACTGGAAACGTCTTAGGCGATGCTTAATCTTTTCAAATGGAGCTGATGTGTGGGGAAGCTGACTGGTAGATGGGGATGCGTTTGCTGAATGAAACGGGGGCCCTTCAAACATGTGAGTTGGTCTTAGTTGGCATGACCTTTGACATCTGCTTCATCAATAGGCCCCTGCTGTGGTCAGTGTGCAGATGACGCTAGTCCATTCAACGTAGAAAACAGACGCCTGACTTGCACATAGAGGCATCCTCAGGCCAGCTTCTGTTTCAAGATTGTTGGGGAAAATGCACATTTTAATCATATTTTGAATCAGAAATTCTCCCATTCAATACGCAATAGCTCTCTCTATAAAAATTCTAGTAAAATGCTTCGTGGCCTGGCACAGTGGCTCACGCCTGTAATTCCAGCACTTTGGGAGGCCAAGGCCAGAGGATTGCTGAGGCCAGGAGCTTGAGACCAGCCTGGCAACATAGCAAGACCCCATCTCTACAAAAAAAAAAGCTTTGAAATAACTATTACGGGAAGTTACACAAGTATTTGTTCATCTCTATCACCGTGGCTTCAAAGCAGATTGTGTCCACATCTGCTCCCCGATGGCCCTGGGATTCCCCGGCCCACAGTCACTCTCAGCACCCACGTCCCCCAATGGCCCTGGGATTTCAAGGCCAGCCACTCTCAGCACCCACGCCTCCTGATGGCCCTGGGATTCCCGCGCCCACAGCCGCTCTCAGCACCCGCGTCTCTACCTCCAGTTGTATCCTGAAGTTCATGGATCCCATCCACATTCTCCAGTGGCCAGTAATGGGAAGCAGACGCCAACACCTGAAATCCTTGGGGAAAAAAGAATAAAAATTTTAAATCATCATTAGAGAGGAAAGAACCAGAGGGTAAGAACCGCTTAGCACACACATTATGGGGGAAGAGTAAAAGGATCCCATGTCTGTGGGAGATACTGAAAGCATATTTAATAAAATTCAACACACACTCTTGGTTAGAAAAAGAAACTCTTAAATTAGAAGTTGGTAAATAGTTCCTTAACTGGACAAAACAGGGTAAATAGGAATAGATGCCTCTTGTTGCATGAAAACAGAAGCCACTGCATTTACTGGTGACACACTAGAAGCTTGCCCATTCATGTCAGGAAAAGATAAGAATGTTCCATATCCCGCTGTTATTTACCATTATTTTAGAGTTAATATCAATGCAATCACACTATAGAAACAAATAAGGGTAAAATCATTTTAAAAGAGGAGAAAACTAACATGAATGGTATGCCAGACACTGAGGTCCTTAACAAGCACTTCCTCACTTCATGCTAACAATAATCTATAAGAAAATTGAATTCTTAGCCTATTTGTAAAGACAGGAAATGAAAGTCTTGCACAAAATCACACTGCCAGCTCATTGTAGACGCAATACTCACTTTCTCAATTTAATCCTGGTCATTCTATTTTCCCTCTATGCTTCCTCCACACTAAGCATTACTCAGTTTGAAATTTCCTTCGTGATCCTTATACTTTGAGTAAACATAACTTTATGCAGGTATGTTATTTTCTATTCTGCTCTTCTCATTGAATGCTATATGAATTATTTCTTTGTTTCTATCTAACCCTCATAATTGAGTTTGGGTAACAGTCTCTTGAGTGGCTGCCCCATAACATGTTATGCCATTCTTCTGTTAATGAACAATCAATAGCTTCCATCCTTATTCGTACAGGTGGCGCTGACATGAGTGGCTTTATGCATACAATTTTAGTCTTCTCGGGGATTAGTCCTCTGGGATTCATTCACAGAAGTGGAAATAATGGTTCAGATGACTAAACAATAATCAACTGCCCCAAGCGACTGCTAGATCATAGAAAAGGACAGACTAATAGTCTCTATGTTAGTCCTTGTTTTTTTAAAAAAAATACTTTTTAAAGAGGAGATAATAAGATCATTATTTTCAAATGATGTATGCCTGATAACCAAAGTGGAAAACGATTACAAATAAGAAAAGAATTTCGTCAGTGAAACACTATTACAAACAACAAAAGAATTTAGCAAGGAGGCTTGTACAAATTTAATATACAAATGTCAATTGCTTTTCTGTATTCCAACAATAATGCTACAAAAAAAGAAGAGTTCTCCTAAGTGCAGCCAACAAAAAGAAAATATTTATGAAAACAAGAATAAGAATTGTACAAGATTTTCATGAAGAAAATAAAAAATAATAATTCTGAGGGATGTGAAAGCACCCTCGAATGCATGAAGGATTCAACCTATTCTTGGAAAAGCCGACTCAATGTCGTAAACTATACTTTAATCTATGAGTATTAGAAAATTTGTTGTAAAAATGCTGAGAGAATTTTGTGGGGGACATATCTGATTATGGAGTTTATATAAAAAATAAGAAAGAAAATCTGGAGAAGAAACAGAAGAGGATAAAGAGAGGAGATTCACACTCAATGATAAGGCACAGCATGAAACTACAATAAAGATGGCTGATTGTTACACGCGGATAGACAGTTCAGCGGGAGAAAAATCCACAAAGATGCCTAAGTACATATGGAAATTCAGTTTGTGATAAAGAGGGTCTTTTATTTTTTATTTACTTATTTATTTTTTGAGATAGAGCTTCGCTGTTGTTGCCCAGGCTGGAGTGCAATGGCGCGATCTCGGCTCACTGCAACCTCCGCCTCCTGGGTTCAAGCAATTCTCCTGCCTCAGCCTCCCAAGTAGCTGGGATTACAGGCACCGACCACCATGCCCGGCAATTTTTGTATTTTTAGTAGAGACGGGGTTTCACCATGTTGGCCGGGCTAGTCTCGAACTCCTGACCTCAGGTGATCCACCTGCCTCAGCCTCCCAAAATGCTGGGATTACAGGCGTGAGCCAACGCGCCTGGCCCCAAAGCTGGTCTTTTAAATTAGAGGAGAAATATTATTCAACAAAGACATTGGAACCAGTTCACCACATGGAAAAAATTAAGATCCCAACCTCACTCTTTATACCAGAACAATTTCCAGATAGATCAAAATTTACATGTAATAAAATAAAACAAAACACAATCAGAAAACAAAGTTTTCTGTGCATATTATATAATATGTATTATATAATACATATTACAGAAGGGTACTGATTTCTTTTTAGAGGTATTAAACGTATTATATTAGTACAACTCCTACTATTAAAAAGAACCAACCGAATATTGAGGCAAAGGAGATAATCAAATAGTTCAATGAAAAAGAAATAAAAATTACGTATAAATATATCAAGTGATGCCCAACCTTGCTCATAAGTTTAAAAAGTATATTAAACAACAATGAGCCTATCAGAGTTCACCCATCAGACTGGCAAGCAAAAAGTTAGCTATACTAAGCTGGCAACTTCCACCACATTTCTGATGGGAGTTCAAATCAGTACACCCCTTCTGAAGGGTAATTTGGCAGTATCTATCCCAATTTTAAGTGTACATTCCCTTTGATCTAGTAATTCCACCTCTAGGAATTTATTCTAGAGATACACTCATACATATGATCAAAGACCTCTGTGCAAGGCTTGTTTGTTGTAGAATTTTTTAATAGTATCAGAAACCTGAGAACAGCCTAAATGCTCATCTACAGAGCGCTGGCTAAATAAATATGGCACATCTACACTCTGGACTGGAATACAGCTGGGACGAATACTAAGGTTCATAAATGAACTTAGATGGCATATTCTTTCATTGATATTGTCTAATTTTTAAAAAGATGATAAAAATGTGTACACTATGAGCTATTTGTGTAAAATATAGTTGGTTCAGGGCAGGGATGGAGAGAGAAGAAGAGAGAGAGATGTCTGGAGAGATACTGCAGAAACCAATACTGCTGTTTTGGGAGTGAAGAAATCGAAAAGCTGAGTGCGAGATGTAAGAAGAAGATTTACATTGCATTATCTTTCTGTTCTATTTGAATTTGAATTTTTCTTTCTTTTTTTTTTTTTTTTTTTTTTTGAGACGGAGTCTGGCTCTGTCGCCCAGGCTGGAGTGCAGTGGCGCGATCTCGGCTCACTGCAAGCTCCGCCTCCCGGGTTCACGCCATTCTCCTGCCTCAGCTTCCCAAGTAGCTGGGACTACAGGCGCCCGCCACCACGCCTGGCTAATTTTTTGTATTTGTAGTAGAGATGGGGTTTCACTGTGTTAGCCAGCATGGTTTCGATCTCCTGACTTCGTGATCCGCCCGCCTCGGCCTCCCAAAGTGCTGGGATTACAGGCGTGAGCCACCGCGCCAGGCCTCTATTTGAATTTTTCAATCTGTATTCCTTTAGAAATATTTTAAGGCTTGCTTTCACAATTGAAGTGCCATAGGTAGTTATGAACATACCATCATTTTCAGATAACTGACGCACCCCATGTAATATCTGAATTTTTGTTCACAGGGCGCCCAACATCCACACGTGTCCTGTTCCTTGGTTCCACTTTTCAATTTGCATCTGTCCCTCCAGTTTTATGTACACAAGCTCAAAATGTAAGCCAGGAACAAAGTTAACTCTGTAATATGAGCTAAAGAGAAGTATCTAAACAATAACTTAAGTGTCTTGTTACTCTCTAAATAAAATAGCCCTATCTAGATAAAGTAGCACATTAGAAAGTAAGGCCTGACTTCAGTTGATTTCCAGTGGGGATAGTTCTACTATTGTAATGCAATATGAAGAATCTGAAATGCAAAAATCAAAAAGATTCATTTTCATTCCCACTGTGCTTTTTTTCCCCCTAAAGTCTAGGATATTCATTTTGAAGAGGACAAAACCTCATTGACTTGTTATTCAAGTCATCTGGGAAAAAAAATTGTAAAAGGAAATAACATCTGTTATACAAAGAACAGATGTGTCTTCAGAATCCTCATCTTTATAAAATAAACCCTGTGGACGATAAAGCCCTTCCCATTCTTTCCATTTACAAATGGCCACAATCAGTCCTGGCAGAAAGGCTGACAGAGTAAAGTGATGGTGTCTCGTTCACCCCAAAGCCAGCCAGAGTTCATAGGTGGCCAGTGATGAGAAGAGCAGGGTTGAGGCCAGAACACTGCCTTCTCTCCACACCACTGCACTTCAGACAAGTGTAAAACACCTCAGTTGCCACAGATGTTTTGCAACTAGCAACACTGACTGGAAACAAGCAATGAAGGGGCTGCAAGCTGTGACACCCGCAGGGGACGGCGAGTCCTGAGAAGTGACTGGACAGAGTCCAGGGATGGCATCCAAGGTAGTTAACAAGCTGGAAGGCACAGGCCAGACTCATCAGAGCAGATGCTGGAAACCATCAGCTGGCACCACTGCAGTCGTAGGGCAGGAGAGGCGGAGGCGACGTGGAAAACTGTGCCCTGTCTAAATTAAGTAGTGCCTCCTGATGCCGAACGAAGCATTGCGGCTCTGCAGGAAGCTTTGCCCAGGATTGTCAGGTCTTCATTTTTTAAAGCAGAGTCAGAAATTCAGATTTTTTTTTAAAGCAAAATCTATCAAAATTTTAATGTTAGCAATTTTTTAAAATAAAACATTGTGTGGTGCTAATGGGATGGGCTGAATTCAGCCCACAGGTTCCTTTTCCAACTCAAGGAGTAAAATAACTCATAGTCCTACAAGTTTCATCAGAGCAAGAAAGTCTCATTCTTTCGGGAAAAAGGCACTCTGTGGCATTTTTCCCATTGAGAAGGTGGCATGAGACCACCTAACTCTGCAACCACCTTGATTTTCACCAAACTCTTCTAAAGACTAAACGTCTTCTTAGGCAGGTCAGCCAGCCAAGCAAAACCATGGCCCATTTGAGGACTCCAAAACAACCCCAGCCTGCAAAACAAGTAGCAGGGGACAGAGCCAGAGAGAAAATGGAGGAGGGGTGGGGAGGAAGAGAAAGAACGAGAGAGAGAGAGAGGAAAGGGCAGAGAGAAAAAGGGGTATTTTCAGCCCACATCACCACAGTTCTTCAGAAATAATTTATCATCCATATGTAATGTTTTATTAAGTTTGGTGTGTGCGTGTGTCAGAGACAGACATAGGAGAGAGATGAAAGACAGAGTATTAATACTCAAAACAACTTAATAAAACCTTTAATTTTTCCTTTTCCATTTTTCTTCCAGATTTCCCTATTCTTCTTCCTTCCCTGTTACTTACTCCTTGTGTGCGTTCAGGGAAACCTTTATCCCTTGGTTTCCTGCAGGGAAATAATCTTCAGTGTTGCACTGACTTGGTCCAGCTGGAATCTATATCACACAGAGGAATGCCGGCCCCTGCCGATGGTCGGGCTGGCTTCGTGGCTCCATCCTCCTTGGCCTCCAACACATGGAGCTCATTTTTCCTGCATAACTTTGCCTGCTGTTCCCACTGCCTGGAATGCTGATCCCCACGTTTTGTGTAGCTCATCCTGATTCAGGTCTCAGTTCACAGGACCCCTCCCCTCATGCCACCCCTTCGTCGCCACCACCATCCACTCTTTCTTTCAGGTCCTTATTTGGTTTTCTCATGGCATTTACTATTGTTTGGGATTTTTTTGTTAGTATATTTGTGTGTTGTCTCCTATATCAGACTCTGTTCCTTGAATGTTCTATTTACATTGTATCCTCCATGTCTAAGACAAGGGGCCCAGGAGGTGTGTGTGTATGTGTGTGTGTGTGTGAGAGAGAGATTTTTGCATTTGAAATCTCCCAAATTTTTAATGTTAGCAATTTAAAAACTAACTATACAGGTAGAATGAATGATAAAATGCAAAAATAAATAAATAAATCAATAAACATAGAATATAATTATCTGTATAATTCTAGTATTTAGAAAATCTCTATTTGCCAAATTTCCATTTCTTCAATCGGATATAAACATTGTTTTTTTAAAATTCTATTATAAATACTATGAAGATGAAGAATCCAGTTTCTGCCATGGCCTAGCAGTTCTGACAGTTCTTTAGAAACTCTAAGGCATGATGGAGATCTAAGGAATGATAATTACTGTAATTATCTGCTTGGCCTCCCAGACCCCTAAATAGAGCGGGTGAAGTGAGCCGCCCCAAACTTCTGGAAACGGCTGGAGCCAGCTGTGCCATGTGCCCCAGGACCAGGAAACTGCTGGGTAATGACATGCTTTGGGTTTGTTTTAAGTTCTCTTTTCCTCATTACAAATGTCATGTATAAAATGGCATGCTTATAAACTTTTTAAGAATGGCCTGCAATTTATTGGCCAGTGCCATTTATGGATTCAGATTAATCAACCATCACAGCTTCATAAGGCTGTCCCCTGGGGAGCAGAGGCAAGAAATTGGGCCGCCTGAGGCCCTGGAAAAGCTTCCAGATGTGGGGAGGGGCCCGGACTCTGCCGACCCTGGATTTCCCTCTCCAAACCTACCTCCTGGCTTCCCTGTAAAGTGAGAAGTGGCTCAATAGTCCCCACGGTCCCTCAACTACGACATTCTATAATGCCTCCAGAATGACCATCTATGGTCACAGATAAGCACAGAGTATGCAAAGGCTTAAAATGATTTCAAGTTGTTTGGCAATTACTTACAAAATGAAACACCTCTCTACATGGTAAAGATCTGGCAAATATCTGGCTACCTCTGCCAGTGTAGACAGGCAAACCAGGTAATACAAGCCAAAACAGCCACCTGTGAGCCGAATGCATGCTGGTTGGCTAGCTTTATTGACGCGGTTTACCAGATGACTAGCAAATCTTCAGTGACTGTGCACAGACAAGTCAATAAATATATAGATATTTTTTGAGACAGGGTCTCACTCTGTCACCAAGGCTGGAGTGCAGTGGTGTGATCACGGTTCACTGCAGCCTTAAACTTCTGGACTCAAGTGATCCTCCCACCTCAGCCTCCCAAGTAGCTGGGACTAGAGGCATGCACCACCATGCTCAGCTGAATGTTTATTTTTTATAAAGGTGGGGTCTCACTATGTTGCCCAGGCTGGTCTTGAATTCCTGGGCTCAAGTGATCCTCCTGGCTCAGGCTCCCAAAGTGCTGGGATTCCAGGAATGAGCCACTGCGCCAGCCCAACAAATATTTATTGCGTGTCTCCTATGCATAAGGCACAGTGCTGAGTGCCAGAATCAGAAAACAAGAAATGCTTAATAGTTCTGAGAACCTTTAACAAAATACTACAGTTTGGTGTGGCCGTGGTGGAAAGTAGGCTGGCGTTTGGAAGATCAGGCTCTCGCTCTATACTGGAGACTCCTCCTTAAGGCTCCCCCAGCACCTGAGCGAACCTATGTCCCGGTACTGACCACTCGGCTGCTGTTTTCCAAGAATCTCTGTCTGTGTCTGTCTCCCCTAATTCCCCTCACGCTGTGAGCTTCTTGGGCTTAATATTGTGTCCTCTGAGCCCTGTGACCTTGAGCAAATCGCTTGGTCTGTCTGAAAGACACGCTTCTCCACCCGCGGTGCGAGGGCGTGACACCACCGCAGGGCTCTCGCAAGGATGATGTAAAATCATTGAAAGGCCCAACGTGCAGACAAACTGGCCGCTTTTCATAGCTGTTTAGCACTCTTTAGAATGAAATGCTACGTGTTAAGGAGCTGTTCTCTTGCGATGGAAACAGGTTGTTTCTGTTGGTGTGTTTGTGACGCCCGTGCCCGTCATGAGCGCTCCTGAGGAGACGCGCCAGGGCCAGGCTTCCTCTGCCAGAGCTGCCCGGGGGCAGGCGAGCCTCAAGGATGGAAGCTGGAGCATGAAGGAGGCCCCTAGATTCTGCTTCACACAGACAGCCAGGGATGCGGCTTTTCAGCAGGAAACGAGGTGAGCAGAGCCTGAGATGTCGGAAGAGAAGACAAAAAGGAAGGACTGGGGCTGGGTGCGGTGGCTCACACCTGTAATCCCAGCACTTTGGGAGGCCGAGGCAGGCGGATCACCTGAGGTCAGGAGTTTGAGACCAGCCTGGTCAACATGGTGAAACCCCGTCTCTACTAAAAATACAAAAATTAGCCAGCCTTGGTCACGGGCGCCTGTAGTCCCAGCTGCTCGGGTGACTGAGGCAGGAGAGTCACTAGAACCCAGGGGGCAGAGGTTGCAGGGAGCTGAGATCACGCCATTGCACTCCAGCCTGGGCGACAGAGAAAGAGTCTGTCTCAAAAAAAAAAGAAAGGATTGGATAGGATGGAGGGAGGGGGGAGGGAGGGAAGGAAATGAGGGAGGGAAATGGAAAAAAGAAAATGAGACAGGAAACAAAGTGAGAGAGAAGGCAGGAGAAGGGGAGAAGGGGAGGAGGGGAACAGTGAGGAGGAAGGGAAGGAAGGCAGGCAGCAGGATGTGTTGTTCATGGAGGGCACCTAAATATTCAGCAAATGTGTCCACCTTCACCATTATTCTAAAAAGGAAGGAAGGAGGAAGGAAGAGAAAAAAGGAAAAGTTCAAAAACAATTTGCAGTGAGAGGAGGACGAGGAAGGACGAGGAGAAAAAGAGGGACTGCTAGAACCTGGAAAGCTGAGGAGAGAGAAACCTTGCGGTTTCAAGAGCTCAGGAGGCATGGCCGCCTTCACTGTGCTTTTCCACACAGACTAGGGGTCACCACACCCTTCCGTCCCTTTCTACTGTCATCAGCATGGCCGTCGTTTCTCTAAGACAGTGCCTTGATCAGGAAATGTTGATTTCTACCCTAAATCCAGACTTGGAAGAACAAAGCTTCTATATGGAACAAAGACTGAGTTCAAACTGCTCCTTCAAGTTTAGATACAAAAATGCAAGTGCACATGTGCATGTGTGTGTACATATGTGTACGTGTGTGGATATGTGAGCTGTGTAAATAGGTGTACATGTGTGTGGATGTGGGATGTGTGTGAATGTGTGAGGGTGTGTGTGCATGTGTGTGCACACATGTGAGTATGTGAAGATGTGTGTGGACACGTGCATGCATATGAGTGTGTGTGGACGTGTGTGGGGTGTACGTGTGTGAGCATGTGTGTATGTATGTGCATGTGTGTAGAGATGTGCGAGCATGTGCAGATGTGTGTAGACACGTGGACTTTTGTGAATGTGTGTACGTGTATGCATGTGTGTAGAAATGTATGGATGTGTGTGGATGCATGTGGATGTGTGTAGTCTGTGACTGTGTGGTCATGTGTGTAGACACGTGGATATGTGTGGACATGTGTGAACATGTGTAAATACATGTATGTTGATGCACGTAGACATGTGTTGGCACATGTGGGTGTGGGTGTGTGCATGGATGTGTATATATGTGCATGTGTGTCTACACATGTGAATTGTGTGGACACATGTGTGGATGCATGTGGACACATGTTGATGCATGCAGGTGTGTGCATATGTGTGGATGCTTTTGCATGTGTATGCATGTGTGTCAACATGTCTGATGTGTATGGATGTGAGTGGTGTGTGGACATGTGATGTGTGTTGGCACATGTGGCCATATGTTGACACATGTAGACATCTGGTGTGTGTGTGTATGCATATGTGTCACCATGTGTGGATGTGTGTGATTTGTGTTGGTGCATGTGGGCATATGTTGACACATGTAGACATGTAGCATGGGGGGGCATGTGGACACATGTGCATGTGTGAGAATGCGTGTGGGCTCTGTATCATAAGCAGAAGTCCGGGGAGAACCCGCACAGCTTTTCTCCAACACTGAGCAGCAGTGAGGGCCATGCTGGGGCCTCGGGGGCCACCTGCCTGCTGCAGGAGCCGGGTGCACAGCTCTGCCTGACCGCCCTGCAGTTCGAGGGGCTACCCCTCTCCTCCTCTCAGTCCTCTCCCCTACTGGAGCCCAGCCCAAGCCATGAGGCCTGCATTCACGAGAAGCAAGGTGTCCAAGGTGGACACGTCCTCTCTTTAACGCAGCGCTGGGCATGTTTATTCGTTCCCAAGCCACAGGAGCCCTTGTTTCATTCAGCGATTTGGCTGAGGAGAGGGGAATGTGTGGAAACTCACAGCTTCCACACCTTTTTAAAAGGAGCTCCCTATGCATGTGGACGAAACAGAAGTGGCAGCGTCCCCACCCCCGAGTTGGTGAATGGAGGTGGTGGCGAGGCGACGATGCCTGGAACATCCTGGCATGGGGCTGCCGGGCAGCCGGAAAGGAGACAGAGGCTGAGGGCACAGCCCCTGGCCCTAGACCCCAGCAGGCTCCTGGTGCTCCATCCAGGAAAGGGGCTCTCCCTGGAGGCCTGGGTATCGCCCTGGGATCTGCCCACAGTGCTGGCCTGAGTCCATTTGTGGTTGATCATTAAAGGCTGGTTCCCAGCCAGGCCCAGTGGCTCACATCTGTAATCCCAACACTTTGGGAGGCCGAGGTGGTTGGATCACCCGAGGTCAGGAGATCGAGACCAGCCTGGCCAACATGGCAAAACCTTGTGTCTACTAAAAATACAAAAATTAGCCAGGCGTGGTGGCATGGGCCTGTAATCCCAGCTGCTTGGAAGGCTGAGGCACAAGAATCGCTTGAACCCGGGAGGCAGAGGTAGCAGAGAGCCGAGACTGAGATCTCACCACTCAACTCCAGCCTGGGTGACAGAGTGAGACTTTGTCTCAAAAAATAAAAACAAAAATAATTTTTTTAAAAAGGCTGATTTCCCATCAGAGACAGGCAGGGCCATACAATAGCGCTCGGGGGGGTGCCCAGCCAAGCTCTGGTGGGGCGGGGGCAGAGGCTGTGCTCACAACAGGCTTCCCAGCAGGGGTTCAGGCACTAGCAGGGTCTCCTCCCCACCTCCTGCAACTTCCAGCAGGGAGCAACAGCCCAGTGACTGCCTGCTGCTCCCAGAAAGCCTCGTCTTCCCATCCCTGCCCCTGGCTGACCAGAACGTGTGCCCACACTCTTAACAGCGAAGGGTGTGTGCCTCCCTGTCTTCCCGAGAGAAGCCCCGTCCTGATGCTTCCTGGTTGGGTGTCACAATGGCCAATGGAATGTGGCTCTGGGGCTGGAGCAAGGGTGGCCCTCTATCCCGAGTCCCACTCATCGGCTGCTCCAGGCTAAGCTGGTCAGCACTCTGAGGCTGGAGGTCCCGAGACCCTGCTATGGGCCAGAGCTCCAACTCCCCACCAGTGAATCTGCCCTGAAGACATGAGATGGGTGTGGTGGCTCACATCTGTAATCCCAGCACTCTGGGAGGCCAAGGCGGGCGGATCACCTGAAATCAGGAGTTCGAGACCAGCCTGGCCAACATAGTGAAACCCTGTCTCTACTAAAAATACAAAAAAAAAAAAAGCTGGGTGTAGTGGTGCACACCTGTGATCCCAGCTACTCAGGTGGCTGAGGCAGGAGAATTGCTTGAACCCGGGAGGCAGAGGTTGCGGCCACTGCACTCCAGCCTGGGCAACAGAGCAAGACTCCATCTCAAAAAGAAAAAAAGGAAGAAAGGAAGAAAGAGAGAAAGAGAGAAAGAAAGAGGCAGAAGGCATTCAAATGAAGATCATATTTCCTTAATCACAATGTTTCATATGACCCAGCTCAAGGGGCCCAGAACCACTTCTCCATCCACCGCTCAGCCGGTGAGGGGTAGCAGAGCTGCCCAGGGTCACAGTGTGTGGTGAGGCAGTGAGGTCGGGGACCAGGAGCCCAACAAGGGCCATTCGCTGATGCCTCAGAGATGAACAAGTGGGCTGTTCCTGAGATACCTGCACTAGGCAGGGGGAGAGCGGTGCTCAGAGTGAGAAGGAAACACTCTTACCTGGATGGTCCTGCGATCTGGAGTAGACGCCACGCACCTGCGCACAAAAGACCACAGTGTGAGACACACTCAGGGAAAGCCTCCGGAGAAACCAAGCCTGTCGCCATCCTGGCCACTTGGGGACATTACCTGAAAGTTGTAATAAAATAGCAGCAGCCAGGAGTACCAGCAGCACAGCCGCAGCAGCTTTTCCATGGCTCTCTCGGAGGTCAAAGCTCGGAGCCAAGTGAAATTCCTGAGGGTCTGTGAGAACGGGACCTCTTAACCTTCACTTCCTTGGAAAAGGGACATTTTCACAGGTTCCAGGGGAGAAAATTTCTGTCTCCTTAAAGTTTGTGAAACACAGCTGTCTTGGAGACCTAATGGGTGTTTCTTCCTCGTCTCAAAACTTGAGATTCTTCAGTGATCAATAAACACGTTGCGATGACCAGAGCAGCTGTGGAATGCAGGGAGGAGAAACCCAAACCCGACTCGCAGTCCTGGGAAAGCAATCCCAGGTCACCACTGTGACCGCGACCTGCGCCCGGGGACGGGAGGCTGTTTGTCCTGCGGTATTTTCTTTTTATTTCAAGAGCCTCCGTTTGTCTCAGTCAGGTTTGGAGCTTCCCTTTTCTCTGAAGAAGGTTTTGTGCGTGGTTTTCCCCTGGAGCGCCCGCCTGCTCCTCGGGCTTGTCCTGCGGCCGCTCTCGAGCTCCTTCTGGTCTGGCTCAAGTTCACACCTCCGTCCTGCTCTCTGGGTGGAGGGGGAGTGAGTGATGTAAGTCTCTCTCCTCAAACTTTGTTCTGTTCTCCTTTTCTATTTATATCCCCACTGCTGTGTCCTTCCTGGGTCCTAACTCCAGCCTCTTAACAACAGCTGAAATATTTCCAGGATCTCAGGCTCAGAATCAAACCAAACAGACATGGTGTGTGGTGTGTGTGCGTGTGCGTGTGTGTGTTACTGATGCCTTCTGGTCAGCACCTTCAAAGTCGGCATAAATATTAATAAATACAAAATGCAAAACAAACCATAAACTCTGTTTAGATCTGAGTCTTGTTTGCCCCCAAAAGAGAATGAAGTTGACAGAGGGATGGAAAAGAGAAAGCAGCACACCCACTGTGCCCTCCATATTAAGCGCTGACCACATTTTTCTCTCTAATCCTTTCGGACGTCAGTGAAAGCTACGGAATTAATTACAAGGTACGCTGCGCAATTACACCATCCCACATATACCCCCACCCCAGCACCAGGAGGATGTTCTCAATGGGATAGAAAAGAGTCAGCCCCTTCGCCAGACATGCCTCAGTTTACCCAAGACCAAAGTTTATCCGATCTACTCCAAATACACGTGGACACACAGAGACACACACCCTAGAATTGCAGTCACAGCTATATTTGCTATGTGATTTAAGTAATATTTACCGCTTCATACTTTCTCCAACATTCACCAGCTGTGCTCCTAGGCAAATTACTTGATCTCTCTTAGTTTTCGAATTCCTCATCCACAAAATGGGGGTTAATAGTTCCTCCTCCTCAGGGCTGTAACAATAAATTAGAGGACAGATCCAAGGCTCTTCAGGCAGTACTTGGAAAATATGTGGCACTCAGTAAATGCTGCTATTTTCTATTAAGAAAAATTATCACTCAGTAAATGTTAGCTATGATTATTATTAGCAAGTATAACATAACACCCAGTAAATGTTAGCTGATACAGTTATCTCAATTGTCCTGACTTTAAATGGGAATTAAGAATCCTGAATCCAACATACTTCCTAAAGAGGATAAGAAAATGACTTCCAATCTCTGTGGGACAGAAAAAAAGAAAGTGCTGTCAAAACGTTAGGTGATTATTTTTAACTTGTGCCTGCAGCCTACAACCGCTCAGATCCTCTGATAGCCTGAGCCTCTCTGTGGAGCTGGAGAAGGGTTCCAGAGAGTTCCATCTCCTAGCAATGGAGAAACTGTGAACTCCAAAGGCCGGGGGCTGTCTGTAATAACGACCTTTATCCTGTTGCTCAGGCTGGTCGGCTTCAGGGAAAACTAATTTACAACCTTTATCTCTGCCATTTCATCAGCTCTCCAGTCCCCCACTGCCTCTCGCTGGAAGAGGTGAAGGGAGGGACAGGCAGCTGCAGGTTTTTCTCAGCTCCAGTTTTAACCTGGAAGAATTCAACAGATTGCTGAATATGCGGACCTTTCCCATCTCCATGACCGAACAAAGCCAGCATGGTTTCTTTTCATCATAAAATTGTCATCAGATAATGGGAGACACCCCGATTCAATGACTGTAATAAAAACTAGATAGCAAAGCAATTCAGCAGAGCTTGCCCTGCAGGCATCTGCACTCATCCTCAGACTCACTCTGACTCTCCATCCCGGACTACAGTCTCGTGCCTCATGCTATTTGCCTGCGTCCTGTCTCAGGCCTTGTTCAGAGGCCCAGATGAAGAGCCCGCCTCCATGTAAAGCAGCGTGTCCTGAAGCCTGGAGATTTGAGACAGGGCCTTGAGTGGTCCATGGGCCTGGAACCAAGCAACTCTGATGTCTCTGAGCATCTCATTCCATCACCCAAACGTCGGGGTGTTCGGCACCCAAACATCACCTTGACAGCAGGTCTCCCTCCCCCTAAAGCCCTCCCCTGCTGTATTTTCTCGATCCCACTAACCACGATCCAATGTACTTCATATCTTAGACGTTTATTTCATTTATTGTCAGTCTCTCCCCACCGAGGCGTAGGCCCCATGAGAGCAGAGACCTTCTTTCTGCCTGTTCGCTCTGCACCCCAGCCCCGAGAACAGGGCTTGGTACTTGGTGAGCACTCAGCGTTTGTCACCAAACCCAGCCTGGCTCTGCCCTCCCGCAGCAAAGCCAAACATGGACGTCGGGATTGCAGTGAGAGGAAGTGAGGCATTTAGAGCAGGGCACCAGGCGAGCAGAACCTGGCAGCTCACACTTCAGACCTGAACTCCCCGATGGCTGATGGGGGAGGGTTTTTCAAGGTGGAGAGGCAGAGGTTACAGGCTAAGTCCCACATGAATAATACCTGGAGGCTGCACATTGGTTTGACCTAAAAAGCTAGGACATCTTGAACTGGGGGCCCACAGGTCATATAGGTAGTAGATTCAGAGGTTTTCTGATTTGTGATTGGTTAAGAAGGCAAGGCTTTGTCAAAAAATTTGAGATCAGCAAAAAAGAATGTTAGCTCTGGCCTGTGGGCATGACCTCCTCCAGGCCCCTCAGGAAGAAATTTAGAACAAAGAACAGTGGTGGGCCCGGAGGGGTGGATCCCAACACTTTGGGAGGCTGAGGCAGGTGGATCACCTGAGGTCAGGGGTTCGAGACCAGCCTGGCCAACATGGCGAAACCCCGTCTCTACTAAAAATACAAAAATTAGCCGGGTGTGGTGGTGCATACCTGTACTCAGGAGGATACTTGGGAGGCTGAGGCAAGAGAATCGCTTGAACCCAGGAGGCGGAGGTTGCAGTGAGCTGAGATTGAGCCACTGCACTCCAGCCTGGGCAACAGAGTGAGACTCTGTCTCAAAAAACAAAGAACAAAGAACGGTGGTGGAGTTCAGCTCTCCGCTCCCCCATATCAGAGGTCTGTAAGTCAACAGATCCATTTGGTGGGGGTCCAGGTTCTGAAAAACAACTCCGGGTCGTTTGTTACGATGTTGTCTTTAGTTTCTACAGGGAAGCAATGAATTCCTGACTCTAACTCTCTTGACTATTGTTTCTCGCCACTATTAACTTCTTGCTTCCCAAGTTGCTCATGTATTTCTCAGGGCTAGCTAGGTGGCTGGAATTCCCCTTCAAGGAACCCAAGATTTTATTGTATTTATTTATTTATTTTGAGATGGAGTCTCATTCTGTTGCCCAGGCTAGAGGGCAGTGGCACGATCTCAGCCCACCACAACCTCACTGAGCTCCCAGGTTCAAGCAATTCTCCTGCCTCAGCCTCCTGAGTAGCCAGGATTACAGGCACCCGCCACCACACCCGGCTAATTTTTTTGTATTTTTAGTAGAGGCGGAGTTTCACCATGTTGGCCAGGCTGGTCTCGAACTCCTGACCTCGTGATCCGCCCACCTCAGCCTCCCAAAGTGCTGGGATTACAGGTGTGAGCCACCGCGCCCGGCCCGATTTTCTTTTTTCTATGCTTGGGTGGGGAGTGCCCGGCAGGCAGCCTCACATTCAACATTCAAGTCATAGTTTTGGGCCACATGCATGTGTACTTTACTTAAAGAATGAAAAACATTGTTACGCTTTGGTAAAATATTTCAGACTTTACTGGGAGGATGCTAATTAAACATTAAAAATGAGACCTTACATTGTGATTAGGCTCCACTCAAAATTTTACAAGGACATAAAGTGTGACGCCAGCTACCAATGGGAACGTAACTGGATTATTTGCAAAGCTGATGCCCTGCGCACAACAGAGCATGTTTCCTGGTGCTGAGCAGCTCAGATGTCCCAGGAGGACAGATCGGGCCTGAACAAAGAATTCTGTGGAGTGGCCCAAATGCTGAGGGAGAGCTGGACAAGCTGTGAGCACAGGAGTTCCTGATGCCTGATTCACACCAATCCAAGGTGCGCCTCCCTCCAGCTCAGACCCTCCCATACGCCGGCATATTTGTGAGAGGCAGCAAGAGTTGTGTGTCCATCACGTTTACTCCTGTGTAGATAAGCAAGGCGGAGCAGCAGTTCGTAAGCAGTGTGCTAGGAGGGGTGTGCAGCACACAACGTACATGGAAATGAACGGTGTTAGAAGCCTGGGGGCGAATTCACTGTGAAAGTCACACGAAGGAGTTCAAGAATTCTTTCTCTGAGTGGTTAAGGGATGGGACATTCTGGAAAGAAGCTATGGAATGGGCTAAAGCTCCGATGCAGCATGCCATGGACCATGGGCGTGTGTTGTTTCTACCAGCCCAGCCTCCCCTCCGGCTCCTGTCGGCTTTCCTTTTGAAGGACGTTTCTTCCACCGACCCGTGAGCTCAGACGGGACTGTCAGAAGCTGCAGGTGTTGCGGGGGAGTTGTGACCCAGTGGGAACACTTGCAGCTCCTCCATACCACAGGCACTGTGAATGGCCCAAAGGTGTACATGTGACCCACTCAGAACCAATCAGTGTCTTCCCCGGGATCAATAGATTGACCATGGGAGAGAAAAGACTCCCTCCGCCACTGCAGTTGCTAATCCAGAATGGTCTTCAATCAAGGCTGGTGATGCCCATTTTTCCCACAACAAAGAAAAGAATTACACAGAGCTGAAGATAACAAGCAAACATAGAGACTCTAGCCGCCTAGCCTTGGAGAGGGTCAAGAGAAAACCTGATGCTGTCAGCTGAGCCCTTGGATCCTACAAGACCTAAAGCCAGCATTCCCTGACAGGCACCGAGAAATTTATGTTAGGCTCAAGCAAGTTTGAGCTTGGTTTCTGTCCCTGGTCATTAAGAGTCCTGGTCAGTGACACAGATTTGAGAAACCACAATTAATTATATATTCAATGAAGAGTAGGCACAAGTAGGGAAAGTGGCAGGGGCTGAGGCTGGAGAGAGTCAACAACATAATCAAGAGGGCCTGTGTACGGGGCCCCTTTCATTCACCTCTTTAAATCTTCTCTGCCCTACTTCTTATCCACCTACCAGTAGGATGATCAGCTTCACACTGGCTTCCACCAGCGTTGCTCCTGATGGCGATGCCCTCAGAAGCCAGAGCATGCTCCACCCTGGGGTCTCTGACTCAGCAGATGGGAGGCCCGGGAAAGCCCTGCAGCCTCAGGCATAAGCACCCAGAAACGTGAGGTACTCGAGCCCATGAAGTGCAGGATCCAGTGGACAAACCCGCTTTTCTCCCTCCAACCATCATGGTTGCAACACGGTAGCATTTCCCTGCATTGCCGCTTCCCCACTTCTGTGTCTGTTGCCCCCGTCCCCCACTTTGGCCCCCTGGACTCACACTCTAAAGCACTGCTCACACGTGAGTGTTGGCACTGGGCTCTGCTCTCAGAGAACCAAGAACGAGACACTCGCGTAAGTTAGTCCCAATGAAGCAGCATCGTTTGTCTGGGGAAATCCCCGGGGTTTGTTGTCTCCTGCTAAGGAAATCAAAGACATGGACACACAAGGAGTAGGTTTAAGAGCAGAAAGTTTAATAGGCGAAAGAAAGAAGAGCGCTGCCTTGTGTAAAGGGAGGGGGACCCAGCGGGTTTCTGGGTTTGGGGTGAGATGTGTTTGATTTCATAGATGAGCTTGAGGAGGCGGTGTCGATTTACATAGGGTGTAGTGGATTGGTTGGACCAGATATGCCATTTACATAGCCCGGAAGAGGCTGGCTATCCCACTCTAATCTTTTATTATGCAAATGGAGTCTTTACTTGGCTGGCACCATGACGCCCGCACACGTGGCGACAAAGAAAAGGGAAGAGGGAACCTCCATGTTGAACATACCTGGCTTCCAGGTTTCCCTTTTCTATTGGCACAGCTGCCAGCATTCCCCTATGCAGGCTTCCAGCTTACTTATCTACACTGGCAGCTTGATTTTTCAGGCTGCTTTTTGTTAGAAAAGAAATGACTTGGAGGCTGCTTTCTTATTAAAAGGAAACCTTACCAAGGACTCCCGTACCTTCACTAACCACCTAAATCATTTCTTTTTAGCTCCTGTATCACCAAGGATCCCAAAGGCATTCACGGATAGACTTCAGGGATCAGGAAATGCTCTGGATCACATATACTTTTTTTTTTTTTTTTTTTTTTTGGTGACGGAGTCTCACTTTGTCACCCAGGCTGGAGTGCAGTGGCATGATCTCCACTCACTGCAACCTCCACCTCCAGGGCTCAAGCGATTCTCCTGCCTCAACCTCCCAAGTAGCTGGGATTACAGGCACCTACCACCACGCCTGGCTAATTTTTTGTATTTTTAGTAGAGGTGGGTTTTCACCGTATTCGCCAGGCTGGTCTCGAACTCCTGATGTCAGGTGATCTGCCCGCCTCAGCCTTCCAAAGTGCTAGGATTACAGGCGTGAGCCACCATGCCCGGCCCACGTGCACATTTTGAATGTGCATATGTGAATTTTGGGGGGAGAAGGTCCATAGCTTTTATCCAGTTTTCAAGGACAATGAGAGCAAGGATGAAAGTGTAACAAACTGCTTAGTTGGTAAGGAGTGTTTTCAGCAAGAATATGCACAGAGGACATTGCTAATTGCCTACTCAAATCTGTTCTCTTCTTTCTCTGTATGCAGAATTGCAAATATATTTGGGTGCCAATATGCACAAGTAAAAAGGTTACTTCCCTTTCAGCTAGGGGTGGCCATGTGACCTACAGGCAATGAGAGACAGGCAGAAGTCTCTTGAATGGGCTTCTGAGAAGACATTTTGAAAAGGCAAACTCCTTTTGACCTTTGTTCTTCCTGAAGGCTTCTGACCTTGACCTTTCTGGCTGGAATGTGGAAATGCTAAGCTGAGGTGGAGCAGCTGTCCTCAACCATGAGAATGAAAACCACAAGCTTTTCCTCCTGGGATGTAAAAAGCTGGAAAGAACATCACTCCCATCACGAGAAAAAGCCAGGTAATCTACAAAATCTTAACTTTTCTTGAACCCATCAGAGAGCTGAGGTTCAAGGAAATCACCCTGCCCGAAATCTAGGGGAAGATAGGTCTAAGGAGAAATGGGACATGAGCGTCATCTCGCAGGTGGCAGAGCGTGAGCTCAACAGGTAAGAAGCATTCAGCAAAAGCTTTTGATGGATTTCTAAAGGCTGGTGTAGGCTGGAGAGAGAGCATAGACTGCTGGCAGCTGCACACCAAGGAAGTTTGTTCCCATCTCGGCCTCTTCTCCCTGGATGCCCAGCAGGTACAGAAGAAGGACTGGGGGCAGGCAGGAGGCTGGAGAGAACCACTCTGCACAGCTGGAGAAGTGAGTGGCCATCACTGTGCAAGGGCACAAAGCCCTGCCTGGACCTTTCTCCCCAAGGAACAAAGCACAAGCAGTCCTTGTGCTGCTGGGGGAAGGACAGCCAGCCCTGCCAGCCGCAGGGCACAGGGAAGAACCTCTGGGATGCAGTGGGGAGAAACTACCCTCTATTCCCAGGGCAGAGGCAGAAACTCTCCTGGGTCCAGATCATCAAAGATCTCCTTCAAATGGGAGAGGGGCAGGGCCACCAAGAAAATCCATCTCAAGACACAGAGACACAAAGTCCACCTAAGACTGAGGCCGGGCCTCAGAACCTTCTCTATTCCCCATGCCCAGGCTTGCAAGATCCAGCGTTCTAGGACTGAGAGGGTAGGAGCCAGAGGAGAGCCGCTCTGACATTCTGGCACACAAGAAACACTTAAAACTGAAAGTAGAGCAGAAACACTGAGAAAAACCTTCTGCCAAACCAAACCCCACCCAAAGCGCAAGATTCTGCCAGAGGAATGTGAAGCTACCAGTGGACTGAAGGCAACCATAGCAACAGAACCCAAACCCAGCTCAACTCGCCTGATTGACTTAACACACATATCACACACACATGCACATATACACACCAACACACATACCTTACACACATGCACATAAACACACCAACACACATACCTTACACACATGCACATAAACACACACATCTGCACACACCCACACATGCAAGGACACACATGCATTAATGACCTAGCAGAGAAGACTTTTCCCCATTTCCTGGCATAAATACTACTTATCTTAGTCTCCACTGTCCTATGTGTGATGTCCAGCACTCATTCTAAAATTATGACACACACAAAAGAGAAAGAAAAACAACCCACTGCCAAGAAACGAAGCAATCAAACTAGAAGATAGACCAGTTTAAACAACTATGATTAATATGTTAAATGTTTTACTGGAAAAATGATGACAACGCTGATGAATAAATGGAGAATTTCTGCAGAGAGATGGAAGTTATATGAAGGAGTCAAATGGAAATGCTATCACTAAAAAAGAGCAGATAACAGATGAAACATTCCTTCTCTGGGTTCATCAGTACACTCCACACAGGCAAGGAAATGGAAATGCTATCACTAAAAAAAGGTAGATTACAGATAAAACATTCCTTCTCTGTGTTCATCAGTACACTCCACACAGGCAAGGAAAGAATCCATTAACATTGTGATAGGTCAATTAAAATTATCCAAACTGAAACACAAAGTGAAAAAGAAAATATATATATTTTTTAAATCAGAGCATGAAAGAGCAATGTCACAATAGCAAATAATCTAACATATGTGTAATTGGAATTGTAGATGTAGACGTGAGAAAATAAGACAGAAAAAAGTTTGAAGACATAAAGTCTAAGAATTTAAAAAGAAAGAAAGAAAGATATTCAATTACAGACCCAAGAAGCTCAGACAATCCCAAGCAAGATAAATATCAAACACACATACCCCTAGAAACATTTAGACACATTATCATCACACTGCCAAAAATCAAATATAAAAGCAAAATCATGAAGGCAGCAAAAGGAAAAATATACACTATGTACAGAGAAGAAAAAATCAGAATTACAGTAGACTTCTTATCAATAACTATGTAAGCCAAAGGATGATGTCATGAAGTATCTAAAGTGCTGTGGGGTCAGGAGGATGAGGAGGGCCCTGTCAACCCAGAATTCTATATCCAGTAAGAATATCTTTCAGAAATGAATGACAAGTCTGGGAATGGGGGAAGGGGGGAGTGACTGCCACTGGATACAAGCTTCCTTTGGGGGTTGATGAAAATGTTCTGAAATTAAATAGTGATGATGGTTGCACAACCTTGTGAATATACTCAAAACCACTGAATTTTACACTTAAAAATGAACTTTATTGTCTGTAAATTATATCTCAAAAAAAGAAAGAGATATAAGCTATTTTTCAAACAGAAAGTGACAGAATTTATTATCAGAAACCAGAACTACAAGAAATGTGAAAGAAGCTCTTTAGACAGAGCACTATGACACCACACAGAAACTTGGATCTACACAAAGAAATGAAGACACTCAGAAATGATTAAATTTGAAGTAAGTATAAAAGGAGTTTTTCTTATTTTCAGTTGCCATGGAAAGAAAACATTGACTGTCTAATGACAAAAGAGTAGAAGGTGCTGTGGGTTGATAGCATTTGTAAAAGTAAAATTTACGACTAAATGTAATAAAATGTGGGAGGGAGGAAGTAGGAGTACCCTGTCCTGAGGTGCTCACACGATACATGGAGTGGCATAATATTATTGGAAGGTAATTTGAAGAGATAGATTTTATGACAACCACAGGGGGTGGGAAAAAAGCATTTGGTAAGCCTTAGGACAACCCCTGGGAGAAAATGTTATAGAGGGATAAATAATAAGCCAATAATATACATGAAAAGGAATCATACATTCTGAATTAATCCAAAAGAAGATGGAGAAAGAAGGAAGGAGAGAACAAAGGACAGATGGAACAAATAGAAAATAACTGGCAAAGATGTCCAATTTTATTCCAATCATATCAATCATTGCACTGACCTTTAATGATCTGAATACACCAAAGAGAAGATAGAGATTCCCTGGATAAAACAAAAAGACCCAACTATTTTCTATCTACAAGAAACACATTTTAAATATAAATACTTAGTGAGGTTAAAAGTACAAGCAGAGTGAAAAGACATACCATGGAACACCAAATAGAAGAAAACTGGAGTGGCTGTCTGGAGTGGAAAAAGTAGACTTCAGAACAAGAGAGGCCATTAGGGATAAAGAGGGTCATTACATAAGGATAAAGGGGTGAATTCACCAACAACACATAGCAATCCTCGGTAGGTATCGCTCTAACAAAAGAACCACAAATACATGTCAAAAGCCACTACAGCTGAAAGGAGAAACGGACAAATCCAGTTATATTTAGAGACTCCTCTCTCAGTAATCAATAAAATAAGTAGACAGAAAATCAGTAAGGATACAGAAGACTGACTAACATTATCAACTTACTTGGCTTAATGACATTTGTAGAACGCTCCGTCCCACAACAGAGAAATTACATCCTTTTTCAGTGCACATAAAATATACACCGATTAGACCATACTCTGGGCCATAAAATAAACCTCAGCAAATATGAAATTTTGAAATTCTATAAAGTATGTCCTCTTAATGGTAATGGAATTGAACTAGAAGTCAAAATGAAAGAACGATAACTATTTGGGTGATAAAATGTTCTAAAATTAGATTATGATGGTTTTTACATGACTGTCAACACACTAAGAAACATTGAACTGTGCACTTTAAAGGAGTGAACTTTATAATAAATAAATTACTAGAACTAATAAGTGAGTTTAGCAAGGTCACAGAAACAGGTTCAACATAAAAAAATTAATTTGCTTTGATACAATAGCAATGGATGATTGGGAATTTAAATTTTTAAATGCTATTTTAAATATCATTTTACATATGATATTAAATATCTAAAACATTACCATGTATAATAACACCACCAAAAAATTAAATATTTCCCTTCTTAGGGAAATTTTTTGCAGTGTTGGACAAATTTTGTGTCTTGTAATGGTAGTGGTTACATGACTATGTGTTTGTCGAAACTCATGGAGCTGTACTCTAGAAAGAGTGATTATTTTCGTATATGAGTTACACCTAAATACACCTGCCTGAAATATCCCATAAGCTAAGAATGACAGAGCCACAGGCTAGAAGGTGCTCGAGTCCCTGGTGACATTGCAGAACTGCCATATTGCCCCTCTACTTGCCTAAGCCACTGGAATCTTGTGTTTATTACATGTACTTGAAAAATAATCTTGGCCAGGTGCGGTGGCTCACGCCTGTAATCCCAGCACTTTGGGAAGTTGAGGCAGGCAGATCACGAGGTCTGGAGTTCGAGACCAGCCTGGCCAACATGGTGAAACCCCATCTCTACTAAAAATACAAAAAATTAGCTGGGCATGGTGGCGCATACCTGTAGTCCCAGCTACTCAGGAGGCTGAGGCAGAAGAATCGCTTGAACCCGGTAGGCGGGGTTGCAGTGAGCCGAGATTGTGCCACCGTACTCCAGCCTGGGTGACAGAGTGAGACTCCATCTCAAAAAGGAAAGAAAAAATAAAAGAAAAAGAATCTCTAACTGACACAGTATGACAAGTGGATTGGGGCCTCATCTTGATTACTCAGGTGGTTTCTCAGTCCAGAGTGGCTTTTTCACTTTGCCTCTGAACTCAGCCAAAGTCATGGGATACCTACCAATGAGTCCATTTTTATTTTCACCCACCTGTAACTGAGGAATAAACAACTCTAGATATTAAAAGGTGGAATCCTATTAGACAGTGAGGCACTACATTATCATCTGTCATCACCACCACCATCATCACATGACCAATTAACAGACCGTCCAGCAAACAGTATGATTTGTCATTTGGAAGCAAAATCAACTGCAGGGGAAAAGACAATCAATTACCTTGCACCTTTTAGAAAGTCATGCTGAACCACTGCAGCAAAACTAGCCATTAATTAATACCTCAACTCACTGTCTCAGTGAATAACAATGTCAAGCTCGAAAAAACCTCCAAAAAGAGAATTGCATGTCAAGGGACGTATTCTGGGGAAATCCTATACCAACAAGTGTTCCAATACTTAATTTTGTGAAGGCCCTAGAAAGAATTAAACTAAAAATCAAAAAAGATATCTGGTTTGAAAATCAGTTGAATTGTACCACAATTTTGTGATGTATGAGGTACTGTAACTTCACCCATAACAATAAAAGGAATTTACCATAATGTCCTTCCTCAAAACCTTCTTCAGGACAATATCAATCAGGGTGCTCTCTGTTGCAAGAAACAGAAAATACAACAGACTTAACCAAAAAGGAGGAAAGTATGTATTTACACTCAAGCTATTAAAATCCCAGAGGATGGTATGGCCATCTTCAGGGCCTAGTCAATGGCATTGGGAATTTTTTTTCTATTTCTCAGTCTCCACTTACTTCCTGTTGGCTCCATTCTCTATCAGCCTCATGCCTCACTGTCACAAAACGGCTGCTGAAACATCTTTCTACACCCTAGCATCTGCAGAAAAATGTCCACTGCATTTCACTGGGTCGTGTGCCCATGCCTAAACCAATCCCTGTGATCAAGGGAATGTGTTGAGCTGACTGAAGCAGCATTGAGTCAGGCGTTCAATCCCTGGGTCCTGGGGAAGACCCACATTCAGGCTGTAAGGATTGATAGGAAATAGAGCAGTCATTGATGCTGTTCAACAAATGTCTGTAGTTCTACTTCTAGGCACGTGCAAGGATTTCATTTCCTGCTCATTTGAAGTTAGTGTGACTATATGCCTTGCTGTGCCTCACAGCAGGTGAGTGGAAGTGATACATGTCACTTCCATATGGAAGACCATACTCAAGTTTTCACTGCCTCATTGACTGCAGAAACTTGTGAGTGAGTGGATGAAACCTTCAACTGAGTGACTCCAATGAGCTGACCCCAATGAGCTGACCCCCTCCAGCAGTCCAAGTTTTATACATAATGTGAGCAAAATTAAGATGAAATTTTGTTGTCTTAAGCCACTAAGATGTTGGAACTGTTGTTGCTATAGCATATACCTACAACCTATACTGACTGATATAGTGGGTAAGGAATAGAATGAAAATCAGAATCTGGAACTCAAAGAAGGGTGAATGAATGTTGAACAAGCAATCAGTCAATTTCCACTCCACAGTGCTAAACTGCTGGTTAAGCTTTCATTCCTAGCCAGTGGTACCTCTATTCCTCATGTCCCTGGGCTCAAAATATCAGAATTATCTTCCCCACCCTACTCTTCTTTGCTGGAAAACTTCCAGCTGGTCACGAAGGCAGAGCCCTCATGTGTGGAATTATTCCCCTTACAAGAAGAGACATGAGGGAGATTATCTGTCTCTGCCATATGAGGACAAAACAAGAAGGCATCTGTCTGTAAACCAGAAAGAGAGCCTTCACCAGAACCTGAGTATGCTGGCACCTGATCTTGGACTTCCCACCCTCCAGATGATGAGATATAAATTTCTGTTGTTTAAACCCCAGTCTATGGTACTTTGTTATGAAAGCCCAAGCTAAGCTGCCATGCTCCAGAAACACTGCCCTTTATTCTCTACCTCATCTTGGTCATTCCCTCCTGGAGGACTTTGCCCATCTTGTTTCCCCTGCCTGGGATCCTCTGTCTTTATTATTATTACTCAGGCTTTAGTTCAGTTACCACTTCTTCAGAGAGAACTTTTCATGACCAATAATAAGATGGTATAGACGTTGAAATTATCCGACAGAATGTAAAGCAGCTATTATGAAAATGCTCAAATGAGTAATCACAAACACTGTTGAAACAAAAGTTAAAATAGAAAGTAGAAAAGGTCTCTAGGATTAACATCGAATCTGCTTTTAGTCTCATTTGCTTTTGCAACAACATCAACTGTACCTGTACCATAACAAATGTCTCTCATAGAAAAAGTTAAATTGTGTTTACAATACGATTTGATAGAATTGGAAACACACACACACACACAAGTGGAAAAAAATAAAAATATAAAGAAAAAACAAATGGAAGTTTTAGAACTAGAAAATACAATAACAAATAAAAAAAGATGTTGAACTTGAAGCTAGATCAATAAAGATTAAGCAGTCTGAACAATAGAGAAAAATTATTAAAAGAAAAACAGTAGAATATCAGGGACCTCTGGGACAATAAACACAGCCTAACATTTATGTCTTCGATATTCTGGTAGAAGAGGAGAGAGTGTGGGGCTAAGACAATCTTTTTAAGTAATAATAACCGTAAACTTTGCAAGTTCAATAAAAAACATAAACCTACGTACTCAAAAGCTGAGCAAATCCCAAACAAAAATCCATGCCCAGAGACATCATAATCAAACTGCTGAAAACTAAAGGCAAAGGAAAAGTAGCAAAAGTAGGCAGAGAAAAAGAGCACATTACCTATAGGCAGACACTATTTAAAATAACTGAAGATTTCTCATCAGAAACCATGGAGGCAAGAAAAAAAACATTTTTCAAAAACTAAAATAAAATAACTATCAACCCAGAAGTCTACATCCAGCAAAAATATTCCTCAGGAAGACCAGACACGGCAGCTCACACCTGTAATCCCAGCACTTTGGGAGGCCAAGGCGGGCAGATCACAAGGTCCAGGAGATAGAGACCATCCTGGCTAACATGGTGAAACCCCGTCTCTACTGAAAATACAAAAAAATTAGCCGGGTGTGGTGGCGGGTGCCTGTAGTCCCAGCTACTCGGGAGGCTGAGGCAGGAGAATGGCGTAAACCTGGAAGGCGGAGCTTGCAGTGAGTGGAGATCATGCCACTGCACTCCAGCCTGGGCAACAGACCAAGACTCTGTCTCAAAAAAAAAAAAAAAAAAAAAAAAAAAAAAAAATATATATATATATATATATATGTTCTTCAGGAAGATGATAAAATGAAAACATTGTGAGATAAAGAAGAGCTAAGAAAATTTATATCCAGCAGACATGCTCTAAAAATATACTAAAAGGGCCAGGTACAGTGGCTCATGACTGTGACCCCAGCACTTTGGGAGGCAGGAGGGTAACTTGAGGCCAATAATTTGAGACCAGCCTGGACAATAAAGCAAGATCCCATCTCTACAAAAAATTTAAAAATTAGAAGGGTGCGGTGGCACACACCTCTAGTCCCAGCTACTCGGGAGGCTGAGGTGGGAGGATCACTTGATTCTAGAAGTTCAAGGCTGCAGAGAGCTATGACTGCACCACTGCACTCCAGCCTGGGCAACAGAGCAAGACCTTGTATCTTTAAAAAAAAAATAGATATGGTAAAGAAAGCTCTTCCGATACCAGAAGGAAAAAAAATGGAACATCAGGAATAGAGAAAGAGTAACAGAAGTGGTAGATATCTGGGTAAATACAATAGATTATTCTTCCCTTCCAGAATTTTAAAAAATATGTTTGACAGTTGAAAGGAAAAAATATAACATCATCTAGTGGAGTTTTTAATATATGTAAATGTAATATGTAAGGCAACTATTGCATAAAGACAAGAGGACAAAGGAACTTTAGAGTGACAAGATTTCTACATTCAAATTGAAGTAGTAAAACCAGGCATGGAGGCACAGGCCTGTAATGCCAGCTGCTTGGGAGGCTGAAGGGGAAGGATAGTTTGAGCCCAGGAGTGCAAGACCAGCAGCCTGGGCAGTATAGCAAGACCTTGTATCTAAAACAAACAGAAAAAACAAATTGAAGTTATAAAATATTGATTCTATATAAACTGTGAAAAATTAAGACTGTATTTTGTAATACCAAGATTAACCACTAAAAAATATATACCAAAAAATACTCAAAATCAAAACAAGTTTAAATGACCTGCTAAAATATGCTTTGATAAACCTAAATAAGTTAGAAAAGGGGAAACAGAAGAACCAAAAAAAATCCAATAAAGAGACAACAAATATTAAAATGATAGACCTAAATCCAAACTTACCAATAATTAAATTTAATACAATGCCAATTAAAAGATACAAATTGTCAGATTAAATTTTATATAATGATGTAAGTATAAGCTGTTTACAAGAAACTCACTTCAAACACAACAATAGTGGTAAGTTAAAAGTGAGAGAATGGAAAATGTATATATATATATCACACAAACACTAACTTTATTTATTTTTTTTATTATTATACTTTAAGTTCTAGGGTGCATGTGCACAACGTGCAGGTTTGTTACATAGGCATACATGTGCCATGTTGGTTTGCTGCACCCATTAACTCGTCATTTACATTACGTATATGCTATCCCTCCCCTAGCCCCCCACCTCATGACAGGCCCCAGTGTGTGATGTTCCCCGCCCTGTGTCCAAGTGTTCTCCATGTTCATTTCCCACCTATAAGTGAGAACATGTGGTGTTTGGTTTTCTGTCCTTGTGATAGTTTGCTCATAATGATGGTTTCCAGCTTCATCCATGTCCCTGCAAAGGACATGAACTCATCCTTTTTTATGGCTGCATAGTATTCCATGGTGTATGTGTGCCACATTTTCTTAATCCAGTCTACCATTGATGGATATTTGGGTTGGTTCTGAGTCTTTGCTATTGATAAACACTAATTTTAAAAATCGGACTGGTTATATTAATATCAGACAGGATAGACTTCAGAACACATAAAATTATAAAAGATAAAGAAAGATAATTTATAAGCCAATTCATCAAGAATATAAAACAATACCAAATGTGTATGCGCCTAACTACAGAGCTTCAAAACACATAAACAATTGACAAAATTGAAAGGCTTAATGGACAAATCCACAGTTAAAATCAGAGACTTCAGCATTTCTCCCTCAGTAACTATGATGGTTAATTTTATGTGTCAACTTGACAGGGCAAAGAGATGCAGAGATAGCTGGTAAAACATTCTTTCTGGGTGTGTCAGTGAGGATGTTTTGGGAAGAGATTAGCATTTGAATCAGTAGACGGAATAAAGAATATCCACCCTCATCAATGTAGGTAGCCAAGATCCAATACATTGAGGAAGGAAGAATTTGCTCTCTTCCTGAGTTGAAATATCCATCTTCTCTGCTCTCAGACATGGGAGCTTTTGGATCTTGGGCCTTCAGACTCCTGGACTTATACCAGTGCCCCACTACGTTCTTAGGGCTTTGTACTTAAACTGGGAGTTACACCATTGTCTCTCCTGGTTCTCAGGCTTTCAGACAAAAACACACCACCTGCTTTCCTATTTCTCCAACTTGCAGAGAGCAGATAGTGGAACTTCTCAGTTTTCATCATCACATAAGCCAATTTCCATATCAATCTCTCTTATTTACAGAGAGGTAGGTAGATAGGTAGACAGATAGATAGAAACATATCCTATTGGTTTCGTTTCTCCAAAGAGCTGTGACTATAGACTAATAGACCAAACTATGAGGCAGAAAATCAGCAAAGGACTTAGAAGAAATGAACAGCATGATCAACCATCTGGATCTAATTGACGTTTATGGAACACTCCACCCAACAACAGCAGAATACACATTCTTCTCAAGTGCACATGAGAAGCATTCACCAAGATAAAACAGACCTTAATCAATTTAAAAGAAGTAAAACCACACAAAATATGCTCTCTGGACATAATGAAATTGAGCTAGAAATCAGTAACAGAAAAAATAGCAGGCAAATCTCAAATCACTTTTTGATTAACAAACATACTCCCAACTAATCCATAGGTCAAGTATGAACTCTCAGCAGAAATTAGAAACTATTTGGAACTAAGTGAAAATGAAAATACAACATATCACAATTTGTGGGGTATAGCTAAGGCAGTGCTTAGAGGGAAATTTATAGCACCAAATCCATATATTAGAAAAAAAAAGCCTCAAATCAATAATCTAATAACTTGCCACATTAAGAAACTGGGGAAAATAGAGCAAAATATATTAGAAAAGAAAAAAGAGCCTCAAGTCAATAATCTAGTAAGTTGCCATGTTACGCAACTGGGGAAGATAGAGCATAATAAACCTAAATCAAGCAGAAGGGAAAAAATAAGTTTTATTACATTATTATATGTTGCAAATGATTTCTGGGGAAGATAATTGTTAGAGAAACTAAGCCATCTCAACATCTTTCCTGCTTAGAGATCTTCGGTAACATATAATCATTCACCAAAAAGAGAATGGTTACTAATGTTCTTCCCCATTATGATCCCACATAACTTCCCAATATTATCATCTTCTCCTTCCCATTTTCTCAAGTAAACTGAGTATTTCAGCTACTGCCAACCATGCTTTCTTGCTCCTCATGCTTCTTTTGTTTACATGGTTCCATTTGGAAGTTCCTTGCCCACCTTTATCTTACATTTAAATTCTATTCAACCTTAAGATAAAATGCCTCTATCCTTAGTGCTACAAATTGAATATTTAGCAGTAAGATGCTGTTTTATTTATATCTTATGCGCATCATTTTATCTAATATTTCTGATAATTCTAAGAGGTGGGTACTGATAGTTTCTATATCTTTAGAAAGTAAGGAAACCGAGGCACAGAACTATTAAATAACTTAGCAAAGAGTACACAAGTAGTAAAAAGAGAAACAGAAAATTGAACCCGGACAGGCCTCCTCCTGCATTAATGCCCTAATCACTTCAGGGCCCTGCTTCCCTTCTCTGAACTTCCAAAGTATCACGTCTACACCTATCATGGCACTTACCAAGCTCTGCCTGAAGTTTCAGTCTTTGCGTCCTTATCTCAACTCCCTTAATAGACTCTTAGTCTCCAGAGCACAAAGACCAGACCATATCAACTTTTTATTGAATTAAATTAAGGATTTATACATATTTGTGGGATGGAGGAGGGAGGGAAGGCCACCAAAGCCTTCAGGTGGTGTCCTAAGTGCTTTAAGAGGACAAGTGAGGCTGACCCTTATCCAATGGAGAAAATTCTCTGAACTTGCACAAAATTTTAGAGATCTGATATCATGAGATTGTTCTCAGTGTCAGCCTTTCTTCTCACCATCACCACCTCCCTCCCTGAAACAAAGCATGTTTTAATAGCATCTGTGTTCTAAAGAAGCTTCAGCTATCACTGGGTAACAACAGATCAGCAAAGAGTTACACATCACCTGTCTGCTTATCAATTTAGTCCCTTTAAATTTTAAAACTTGTAAAAAGCAATCAACCTACAAAACAAAAGAAGGAAGGAAGGAAGGAAAGAAAGAGAGAAAGGAAGGAAGGAGAGAAAGAGAGAGAGAGGTGGAGAGAAGGAAAGGACAGGAAAGGAAAGGAAAGGAACTGAAAGGAAAGGAAAGGAAAGGAAAAGAAAGGAAAGGAAAGGAAAAAAGGAGAAAGAAGCACAGCTTGGTGTTCGTGACTTGGGCGAAGGGAAGTGTTACTGCAGTTTGAGGGCCAGGGAAGACTCTGCTGAACAGATAATATTTGAGTTGAGCCTGGGCATGCAAAGATCTGAAGAAAGAGTGTGCTGGCCGGGCGCGGTGGCTCACACCTGTACTTGAGGTCAGGAGTTTGAGACCAGCCTGGCCAACATGGTGAAACCCCATCTCTATTAAAAATACAAAAAAATTAGCCGGGTGTGGTGCTGCATGCCTGTAATCCTAGCTGCTCTGCTCAGGAGGCTGGGGTCAGAGGATTGCTTGAACCTGGAAGGTGAAGGTTGCAGTGAGCCGAGACTGCACCACTGCACACTCCAGCGAGACTCCATCTCAAAAAAAAAAAAAAAAAAAAGAGTGTGCTGGATGAACAGATCTTCGCATTCCCCATGGCAAGAATGAGCCTGGTGCTTATGAGAACTGTCAAAGCTGGCATGACCAAAGCAGTAGGCAAAGGGGGAGGCTGAGAAGGGGCTGGGGGTGCACAGGGGCCAGGCACAAGCAGCTCCACAGAGCACAGGAAGGAGGCTGGAGTGGACTCAGAGGGTAACGGGAAGCCCGGATGCATTCGCCAATGGACACTGCCAGAAGATTGCTGTGGCTGCGCTATAGATCCTCAGTTCCCGGGGTGGAGGGCAGCAACCCTGGAAGTCGAGCTGAGACGCCTTTGAGGACATCCAGCCACGAGTGATGGCGGCTTGGACCAGGGAAGTGGAGGTGGGAGTGGGGCAGAGAGATGTGGGTAAAGTCAAGGCATCCTTTTGGAAACAGAGCTGACAAGATGCGATGATGGAGTGGACAAGACCAGGCGCAGAATCTGGGGAGTGGGACTGACTCCCGGGCTCTGGGATAAGCAGCTAGTGGGGGGCAGCCGGCGTGCCCTGGATGAGAAGCAGGCCGGGGAGGAGCAGGCTGCGGCCTCAGACGGCAGAACCTGGAGGAAGGAGGTCCTGACCCCACAGGGAGTCAGCATCCGAGGTCCTGCCCGCCCGGGTCCGTGTGGGTCTCGACAGGCACCTGCTGTGACTCATGAGAGCAGGTTGCAGTCATCCCAAGCCTGCCTCCGTGTCGGGGACCTGAGGAGCGCCCGGACACCGGGAGCCTCATGGGTGCAGCGATCAGGTCAAAACCTGGGGAGTCATCCTGGGGACAGGCTTGACCCCAGGGATCTGACGTGGGGACGCCCCGAGGGGCCTGGATCCTCCATCTCAGGCGGGCTCCCGTTCCCCAGCTCTCTGGTCTATCCCACATCGGGGACTG
The DNA here is from genome assembly GCF_000001405.40 of Homo sapiens. Taxonomy (NCBI): domain Eukaryota; kingdom Metazoa; phylum Chordata; class Mammalia; order Primates; family Hominidae; genus Homo; species Homo sapiens. The sequence goes on along the minus strand of NC_000012.12, from coordinate 130,933,586 downwards.
TGAGGCTCCGGAGAATTCCCGCAGTGCCCACAGGAACCACTTCAGAAGCCGCTTGCGCAACCAAAAACGTCCTCGTCTACTGTGGGGCTTGTCATTGAAAGGGGTTGGTGACACCCACGTCTGGGCTCGCGTCTGACGTGTGTTTACGTCCACTTCAGTGGTGAGAATCTCCCCGCCTCCCGCACCCCGAGCTGCAAACAAAAGAGCCCTTCATGCCCCTTAGAGGTTGCCTTTGTATCTTTTCTCCAGGGCTCACCCATACTTATTTGTTTTCGATGTGGTGTTTTGCTAAGTGTCCTTGGAATGTGTCTCGGTGGCCAATTGAGCTGGAATAGAACAGAGAAGGAGGCGGCCATCAGTGCCGTTAATTCCTTAAAAATCATTTCTTAAAAAACAAGGAAGTAGCAGCACCCTGTTGGTTTCTCCATCAGTTTCTCTTCTGTCCTCAGCTGTCATTCATCTTTCCAGAATGAAAGGCACCTGCTGAGTCCCTAGAGCACAGCTAGACCCCAGATGTACCTCAGAGCCCTGAAACCCCAGCCACGCTCTGTCCTTTCATGATGCCACATGGAAGGCAATAGATCAAATGTCACTTTTGACTACAGTTATGATAAAAAGGAGGGGAATGAACTTAGGAGACTCTCCCTGGCTGGCAGAAAGTTCATCAGGGTTGATGTTTTTATCTTTCACTTTAATCTATAGTTTCATTTTACTCGGAGGTTAGTTGATAATATAGCTAAGAGATCCCTGTGCTGTCTCTGGTGCTAAAATATTTAGTAAATCTGGAAGAAAATGGTTTCATAAACTTCCCAGCTGTTAGACTGCATTTCTAGTTGGCCTCATTTCCCAAAAAGACTTACAACCCACAGAAACTCCAGAGGAGCTGGGTTATCTCACATCGGCTGTTCTAAAATAAAGTGGCAAAAGCTATTGGCTGTTTAATGAGTCTGAGACTTCTCTCATTAGAAGGGGAATAAGAGAGATGCCATAACGGAGAGGATTTTGCGGTTGGGGATTTTGGGTTTAGGGGAGCACGGTTTGCAGAGCCAGAGGCTCTCCTGGTATATCTATGGCTCAGGGTACAGGGGACAAGGAGGGGAGCAGGAAGAGTGTAAGTGTGTGTCCCAGCATCCCAGCGTTCAACCTCACTCTCGAAGTTGCAGCCTCCCAGCCTCAGGGGGAGAGGGACAACAGAAAACATATGTGAAGGGATGAATAATGATTTCTGTGTCTCAATGATTTTATTTATTTCCTTGACCCTAAATTTTGGATGTCTATAAACCACACTTTAAAAAAATTCTCTAACTCAGAATGTGAGGAATTTGGGAAATTGAAAATGTTTATGCCCTGAGCTCATTCGTTTGCCTCCCATTTACCAACAGCATGTGGTTCCACATCACTGAGGGAAAATACGCTATTTAGGCAATTACCAAGTATCATCTTTCCTGAACCCTGATCCGGAGCATAACCTCTTGCATGTCACTTTAAACTCATTAATTACCATTTTTAGTAAAAATGCAGTGACTGCAGGGGTGTCGCTTGTGTGCCTCACTCCTTTTTTTTTTGGAGAAAGAGTCTCACTCTGTCGCCCAGGCTGGAGTGCAGTGGTGTGATCTTGGCTCAGTGCAACTTCCGCCTCCCGGGTTCAAGCAATTATCATGCCTCAGCCTCCTGAGTAGCTGGGATTACAGGCATGCACCACCACCCCCGCTAATGTTTGTATTTTGAGTACAGACAGGGTTTTGCCACGTTGGCCAGGCTGGTCTCAAACTCCTGACCTCAGGTGATCCACCACCTTGGCCTCCCAAAGTGTTGGGATTACAGGCGTGAGCCACTATGCCTGGTCCTCACTCCTTCTCTGGTTCTTTGTCACATTATTCCTATAATGGTATAAACTATTCTTTTTTCTGTTGTTTTTGTTTTTCAGACAAGGTCTTGCTCTGTTTCCCAGGCTGGAGTGCAATAATGCAATCATGGCTCACTGCAGCCTCGACCTCTCAGGATCAAATGATCCTCCCACCTCAGCCTCCTGAGTAGCTGGGACTACAGGCACGTGACATGACATCCAGCTAATTTTTTAATTTTTTTGTAGAGATGAGGTCTCACTATGTTATCCAGGCTGGTCTCGAACTTCCAGGCTCAAGGGATCTGTCCACCTAAGCCTCCCAAAGTGCTGGGATTACAGGCATAAGCCACCATCCCCAGCCCAGAAACTATTCTTTTTAAATTTATTTCTTTTGTACATGTGCTCAGAGATTATTAAACACAAAGCATGCCAAGTGGTAATGATAAATGTAGAAGGTAACAGTTTGTAATCTATTTACATGAATCATATTAAGCTACAGAACAGCACATTCTTCTGACAGCCTTTGGCCTAGGATCCCGATCATATCCTGTTATGGGTGATGGATTTGCCAAAATCCCTTTGAGAACTGGGACTCCCAACCTGTACACTGACAATTTCAGGAAAATCTTTTCAAAATTATTTACAAAAATCAGAATAAAGTATTTCTAAGGAGTAAAAAGCCCTGGGAAAGATGTTGTGTGTGAGAGAGAAAGAGAGGCCAGGCAAGGTGGTTCGCGCCTGTAATCCCAGCACTTTGGGAGACCGAGGCAGGTGGATCACCTGAGGTCGGGAGTTTGAGACCAGCCTGACCAACATGGAGAAACCCTGTCTCTACTAAAAGTACAAAATTAGCCAGGTGTGGTGATGTGCACCTGTAATCCCAGCTACTTGGGAGGCTGAGGCAGAAGAATTGCTTGAACCCAGGAAACGGAGGTTGCAGTGAGCCAAGATCGCACCAGTGCACTCCAGCCTGGGCAACAAGAGTGAGATTCCGTCTCAAAAAAAAAAAAGAAAGAAAGAAAGAGAGAGAGAAGGCTGAACCATTGATTATAACCAGCAGAGCCAGTTGGCAGCTACTGTGCAGCCAGCCACACGTCTCATTGAGACCTGCAGGAACAGCCAGTAAATGAGTGGGAATGGATGACCCTTGCACACGACCCTGCTCCAAAATCAGAACTGTGTCTGCAGCCCACCTTGTTTCCCTCTGGCAGAAAAATAACCTTGAGCTGTGCAGCTGCTGAGCTGAACATCCAGAGGACTGAGCACACCCAGACCTGTAAGTGCCACAGAGGAAGCATGGAATGAGGAAGCTTTAGCTCATCCTGGAAGATGAGAACGCACACCTGAAACCATGACCTTTTTGAGATTTTTAATAACGAGCATACTTTTAGACTGCTCTTAGGCTCTGTGTCTCTGAATTTATAGAGAGAGAGACTCCTCAGTCAGGCAGGCTGTCCAGTGGGGCCAAGTCTTAATAAAGGTTAAATCACCATCCCCTTCCTTCACCATCTTCATCTCATGATCAGAGACAATGTCATCCTCATCCTCAAAGTGATCACTGGTGGGGCAGCCCCCTGTGCCAACCCTGCCCCGAGTGCCAACCTGCAGGCATCTGCTGATTCCTTAGGACAACCCTAGGAAGTTTATGCTATTTTATTTTTACTTTTTGGAGACCAGGTCTTGCTCTGTCACCCCCGCTGGAGTGTAGTGGTGTGACCACAGTTCAGAGCGGCTTTGATCTCCTGAGCTCCAGTCATACTCCTGCCTCAGCCTCCCAAGTAGCTGGGACTACAAGCATGTGCAACCATGCCCAGGGAATTTTTTAAAATTCTTTTGTAGAGTGAGCCACTATTTTTAAAACCTTCTTTTAAAGATGAGGAAACAGAAGTTCTGAGAGGTAAAGTAGGTTCCCCAAGGCCAGTTTGTGAGTGGAGGATTAAAGGTTCCAATGCAGGGAGCCTCACTCCAGCACCTGCGTTCTTAACCACTCCACCACGTCCTTTCCGTATGTCTAAACATTCTGAAAGAAAAATATTTTATAACAAAGAAGTGCACAGTAGAGTTTCTCATTACCTTGATATTATATTCTGTGGTCCGTGAAGACATTATCATCACCAGACACGTGACCTGTGGTCACCTCTAACTCAATTCTCTCACACTCGCATCCCAGACAGACACAGAGGCTCACAATCACGTGCACCACAAAGAGGATTATTTTTACGTTTTTATGATGAGTTCATGTGCAGCTATTCAAAGGCTTTGGAAACCTTCCCATCTCATAGCATCTTCAAGAGAATGTTTCTTTCTTTAACCCATGGAAAAAAAAAAAAAAACCTTCCTAGTCCGACCTTGCTCAAGTCTTTTTGACAATAGTCCCTGTTCCTCGGTCGCAGTAACAAAGAATAAAAATGGGTGGCCAAGACACCCAGCCGTGTCCTCGTGAAGAGAGAAACAGCACCACTCACACTCCACTCTGCCTGATACAGTCAGAAGCATCTTGGGAGAATTTCCAATTTGACAGTCGTGTGGAATGAGAAAATAAATGTGCAGGGAACAGGTTTGTAAGAATTTACATCCAGCTTGTGCAACATGGCAAAACCCCGTCTCTACTAAAAATATAAAAATTAGCCAGGCATGGTTGCATGCACCTGTAGTCCCAGCTACTTGGGAGGCTGAGGCAGGAGGATCGCTTGAGCCCAGGAGAGGGAGGTTGCAGTGAGCCGAGATCGCACCACTGCACTCCAGCCTGGGCGATAAAGCAAGACCCTGTTTAAAAAAAAAAAAAAATTCCAGGACTCATTGTTTTTTCTATTTGAGGGGAAGGAAGGATGACGTCGGGGCAATTAGATGTAAACTTTTGGCAGGAACTCAAGAATGACAAGTACAAGAAAACTCAGGAAGGAGTGAAACTTCTCCATATGCCACTCCCCACAAACTAGAGTTAAAACCATGGCAAAAATGTGTTGCCAAATAAGTGATGCTATTGCTGCATAAATACGAAGCATTGCTGGGTTTGTTGTTTTCTGTGTGTGTGTGTTTTGCTGTGTTACCTAAGCCAAATATGAACTAATACACAAGGACACACAGTAACCATGAATGCAGTCAGACAAGTAATGATTTACGCTGTGTACAGATTGTGACGTTTTTGGTTCTTTGCAGGGTCGGAATAAATAGAGAACAGAGGCAGAGCATCCAAGAAGGAAAAACAGAAGCTCCTGGCAGATGCTGAAACCGGAAAGAGGCATGAGAAGACAGCAATGGGATCTGACACTACGGCCCTGTCTGTCAGGGCTATGTCAGTTACCAACCCATCTGATAGAAGCAGAAGGAAAACAAACTGGTCCGTGGAAGGAAAGGCCAGTGGTGATGCTGGCTGCAGGCACAGCTGGATCCAGGTGACATCCTGGGGTTCAGCTTTGCCCTTCTATTCAGACCCTTTCCTTGCTGCGGATGTTTACAAATAGTGCCAAGCCTGGAGTCACTCTCTGACTTGTCTTAATTATGTCATTAGACCAGCTTTTCTTTTCTTTTCTCTTTTTTTCTTTTCTTTTTTGAAACAGGGTCTCCTGTCACCAAGGCTGGAGTGCAATGGTACAATCACAGCTCACTGCAGCCTCAACCTTCTGGGTTCAAAGAATCCTTCCACCTTAGCCTCCCCAGTAGCCAGGACCACAGGCGTGCACTACCACACCCAGCTAATTCTTTTATTTTTTGTAGAGACAGGGGTCTCACTATCTTTCCCAGGCTGGTCTCGAACTCCTGACCTCAAGTGATCTACCCGCCTCTGCCTTCCAAAGTGCTGGGATTACAGGCATGAGCCACCACGCCTGGCCTATTATTACTTTTTTGAGACAGGATCTTGCTGTTTCGCCCAGGCTGGAGTGCAGTGGTGTGATCATGGCTCGCTGTAGCCTCGACCTCCTGTCTCTACAAATTTTTTAATTTGTAGAGACAGGGTCTGGCTATGTTGTTCACAGGGCTGGTCTCAAACTCCTGGACTCAAGTGATCCTCCCACCTCAGCCTCCCAAAATGCTGGGATTACAGGTTTGAGCCACTGTGCCAGGCCTCATTAGACCAGTTTTCTGACAAACGTGATAGAGAAATCATAATCATTTTCTTGTTGGTTAGTAAGGAATAGAATAGAAAATAGCAACTCATTAATTCAAGCAAGTGAATATGTAGAAGAGGGGGTCCACATAGGGGAGAAGGCGGCCATTTTTCCAAGAAGGAACTCTGACTTGCTGCAGATATTTAGGGGAAAATTCCTAAAATAATGGGGATTTTAGGAAGCTTGGAGAAATTCAAGATGACCTATTGCCAGGTAAAGGAAGCAAGTTGTCAAAATGTATGAATTTGAGGCTCTAGAATTCTCCAAAAGCTTTAGAGTGGCCTAAATAACCTGATTAATATTTTTCAATCCTGGGTGGCAGTATATAGAATACACGCCACTAACATGGGAAGAGTTCCAAGACATGCCACATGAAAACAAAAACAAAACAAAAGAAACAAGTTACAGAACTATTAAGATCATGCGATATTATTTACGTACAGCATATACATAAATGACATCTGGGTACATATTATGCAAAGGCATAGGGAAAGTTCTGGAAGGATAGGATGCAAACCAAAAGAGAATATACTTCTGGAGAATGGAGAGAAGGGCCAGAAGTCACAGGTCTTTACTGCCCAGGGGTGTACCTGGGACTATTCTACAGTCCCAGCTGCTTAGGAGGCTGAGGTGGGAGGATCACTTGAGCCCAGGAGTTCAGGGCTGTAGTGAACTGAGATTGAGCTACTGCACTCCAGCCTTGGTGACAGAGTAAGACATTGTCTTAAAAAAAAATTAAGGCCAGGTGCAGTGGCTCATGCTTGTAATCCCAGCATTTTGGGAGGCCAAGGCGGGAGGGTCACTTGAGGCGAGCAATTTGAGACCAGCCTGGGCAACAAAGTGAGACCTCATCGCTAATAAAAATAGAAAAATTAGCTGGGTGTGGTGGTAATTAGCTGAGTAGCTGTAATCACAGCTACTCAGGAGGCTGAGGCAGGAGGATCGCTTGAGCCTGGGAGGTTGAAGATACAGTGAGCCAAGATCGTGCCACTGGCACTGCAGCCTGTGTGACAGAGAAAGACCCTGTCTCAAATAAATTAATAAAGTTTAAAAAAAGAGCTCTCTAGCCTTGTTGCGACATTTTACATCTTCACAAGAAGAATGTATCCAGCCAATGACTTAAATAATAAAAATTCTTTTTTTTTTTTAGATGGAGTTTCACTCTTGTTGCCCAGGCTGGAGTGCAGTGGTGCGATCTCGGCTCACTGCAACCTCTGCCTCCCGGGTGCAAGCGATTCTCCTGCCTCAGCCTCCCGAGTAGCTGGGACTACAGGCGTGCACCACTATGCCCAGCTAATTTTTGTATTTTTAGTAGAGACGGGGTTTTACCATGTTGTCCAGGATGATCTCTATCTCTTGACCTTGTGATCTGCCTGCCTCGGCCTCCCAAAGTGCTGGGATTACAGGTGTGGGCCATTGTGCCCGGCCAAAAATTCTGTTTTATAAAAGTTTCAAGCACATCTTAAGGCTTCTCATTTTAAGCAACCAGCCTGTGGCACTCTTCTTTATTATACATTCAATTCTTCATCCATCTTTTGTTTTTCCAAATCTGTGTAATTCACCCTTAACAACATCTCAGCATTTTGCAGAGCGAGAAGCCCGGCGGGAAAGCACGCTCCTCCCAAACCACATCAACCAAACATATCCCTTACTTTCACGCAGAACTGTAAAACAAAGAGTATTCTTTACTAAGTTAGAGACTTTAAAATAGCAGATGAAAGAACGCCGTGTTCTTCAAGATTCCGACCTCTCTCCTCCTCTATCTTTAGCATGAAGTTCCTAGGATGCTGTGAATCACTGCTTGTTTGGGACCAGCGTCAGCTGACCTGTCGAAACAGCTGCCTTCTGTAGTAAGAAACCGGCCTATGTTTGGAAAACCACAAGTCTCTTATTTTTCATTGCCTGGTTGGCACTTGTTGCAATTAGCTGTGGGTCAGAAATAAGGATCAAGGATGGTACCTGGTCTCTTGCTGAGAGCCAGAAGGAACAGAGATCGCATGGTCTCTGACCCAGAGAATTCTCAATCTTGCTGGAAACACAAACCCACAGGAAACTCCAGTTAAGAATGAACACAAATGTGGTGTGTGATGAGCAGCCACAGCAGGCACTAGCTGTCAGCTGGAGGGCATCTCGGCCTCACTATAAATTATCTGCAGGAGGAAACGGGACAGATCTACAGGCAGTGGGGACGGGCACTGGGTCTTCTCATCTGCTCTATCCACGAGAGTCTAGTGGGGGTTTCATCTGCCAAGTGAGCCCAGTGCTTTGGTGAGGTCACGCTTGAGGCATTCGTTGGTGTGTTGTTCCCATGGCTTCCCTTTTTAGCCCCTCCATCTAAGCGGTCATTTGGGGTGTGAGGATCTTCACTCACTCACTCCTGCCCCGAGCCCAGACTCGAAGGCTCACATCAGCTGATGGAAGCCAAGATCAGACTCACACACGTGACGCCGCGCCCTCCCCTGCACTCTGTGCACCAGGAGGCTGATCTCGCCCAACGCCGTCGACAAGGAACTCTTGCCCTCTAGCTTCTGGTTGGCTCTGCTTGGAGTCAGACCTCCAGGGAGTGGGGCCTGCCTCACCAGGGCTGGGCTCTCTGAGATGGGGGTTAAGAAGACTGGTTCAGCCGAGCGCGGTGGCTCGCGCCTGTAATGCCAACACTTTGGGAGGCAGAGGCGGGCGGATCACCTGAGGTTGGGAGTTTGAGAGCAGCCTGGCCAACATGGTGAAACCCCGTCTCTACTCAAAATACAAAAATTAGCCGGGCGTGGTGGTGGGCGCCTATAGTCCCAGCTACTAGGGAGGCTTGAGGCAGGAGAATAGCTTGAACCTGGGAGGCGGAGGTTGCAGTGAGCCAAGGTCACACCACTGCACTCCAGCCTGGGTGACAGAGCGAGACTCCGTCTCAAAAAAAAAAAAAAAAAAAAAAAAAAAGAAGAAGAAGAAGAAGAAGACTGGTTCTATAAAGGCAAGAAGAAGCTGAACATACCAGGATAGTGACCCGTTTCTGGGACAATGACACTTCACGGAAAAGAATTCCAAATGGCCAATAAGCACAGGAACAATTGCTCAACGTCACTGGTCATTAGGAAAACAAAATCACAATGATTTTCCACTGGACACATCACACACACTCTGAGCAAGGCTAACATAAAGACCGAGGACCCCAAACGTCGATGAGGGTATGGAGGAGTCAGAACTCTCTCTCGGTTGCTGGGAGCCCTGAACGTTTCTGCTCCGGAGTGCTCACCGGAAGAGAAGACAGTTGGCTCTGGAAGCCAAAAAGTCATCAGTATCTGCTCTAGGGGCACCGCACACGTGTGGGGATCTTGGGAATATAGTCCCTTCTGCCAGGCAGAAATGAGGACTCAGTTTGGTAAGATCATCTGATTTCTGTGGGGTTTTTTGGAGAAGCTGAAAATTCAGAATTTTGTTTAAAATCTTTTGATGTTTCAACACTGACCATTCAAGTGCCCTGAAAAGATGTACTGGGGCCGGGCACGGTGGGTCATGCCTGTAATCCCAGCACTTCAGGAGGCCGAGGTGGGCGGATCACCTGAGACCGGGAGTTTGAGACCAGCCTGGCCAACATGGTGAAACCCCGTCTCTACTAAAACTACAAAAATTAGCCGGGTGTGGTGGCGGCCACCTGTAGTCACGGCTATTCTCGGAGTCTGAGGCAGGAGAATCACTTGAACCCAGGAGGCAGAGGTTACAGTGAGCCGAGATCACGCCACTGCACTCCAGCCTGGGCAACAAAGCAAGACTCTGTCTCAAAAAAAAACAAAAACAAAAACAAACAAACAAACAAAAGGATGTCTTGGAGCCACGTAAGTCCTGGGGACATCCAGTCCTCTGACCTCATAAAGATAGTGAAGCTGACCTACATACAAAATGGATTTGACAACGAAAATAATAGCAAGTGGGTCAAAGATCGTTTTAGTCCATCCTGACTGCTATACAAAATACCACGAGTGGGGTAGGTTATAAACCGCAGAAATGTGTTTCTCACAGTTCTGAGGGCTGGAAGTCCAGGATCAAAGCATGACAGATTTCATGTCCGGTGAGGACCCCCTTCCTGGTTCATCGAGGGCACCTTCCCACTGTGTTTTCACCTGGCGGAAGGGGCGAGGCAGCTCTCTGGATCCCCTTTAATAAGAGCACTAATCCCCTTCTTGAGGGCTTCACCCTCGTGGCCTCATCACCTCGCACAGGCCCCCACCTCCTAATACCATCACCTGGGGCACTAGGTTTCAACATACGAATTTGCAGGGAGAGCAGTAACAAACATTCGGACCATAGCAAAGATTATCGCGGGTGTTTAAGGCCAGAAGAGGCATCACGATTGTCCCCCATCTCACGCCCATTTTTAAATAATTGTTATTACAGCTGAATACTGTGGACCATGGCTGCCGGTCAAGGGATCTGCCTCAGACGCTTTTTCTAAGATCTATTAACCAGCAGGGAGTTTTGGAACTTTATAAGCGCTGCCCCATAATCTTGCTAATGATACAAAATGGTGTTCTGTGAACCTTAAAACATCTATTTTCAACTAGGAAAACAGAACTTTCAACTCAGAAGAAGACTTTTTCTTCTTTCAGCTTGCTTGATAATTTTGCATTCCCTAGTGGTGTTAAATGTTACTTAGATTTATAATAGAAAGCAATTACCAGACAAATTCACCATCTCCAGCTAATATGGTTTCCTTCAAAATGCAATGTTTCTGAAGAAACAGATAAAAGCCAGGCTTAAGTGATCACATTGTGTGAGGCAATTCCTTTTATATCTTTTTAAGAGTGATTACAGACAAATCTGCTTTGCCAAAAAAGCCAACGCCTAGTACACTTGTACTTTATTTTTTTGGCATCCCTAAGTCCCTTATTTTTTTGTAATTAGAGAAATATTTGGTGACCATAACTTCTCTCGCTTGGATGAGGTTATCCCCCTTCCCTTCTTCCTCCCTACCCGGCCCCTCCAAACTGTACAGCTTTTCCCAAAATTCTGTCTGTGGGAAATTCCAGCCTCTGGCCCCTGCAGCTTGCTTTCACTGCCTGTGGTTTATCTTGATCCAAATTGTAGCGTTTCATTCCAAACCCTCCCAGTGCAAAGTAGACTATATTTCAAGTCAAGGTTGCAGCCCAGCGACCCTTAAGGTTGGGTGGTGAATGGAACGTGTGAATCCTAGCTCTGTCACTGCCTAGCTGAAAAAAATCCCTCCACCGCCTGTTAATTGAGTTTTCTCATTCGTAAAGTGGAAAGAATAGTATTTACGCCAAAGGGTAAATTAGCACCCCTAAGGACTGAGTGAGCTTACATCTGCAAAGTTCCTATGCGTAGTAGCCATTCAACAAATATTAGCACCCATCCCTCTCTCCTCAAAGCTCAAGAAAGGACCATATTCTCAGGTTCCCCATCCCCACATATATTTAGCCCTAGGAGCAGATATCAATTACTTTTTTTATCTGTCCAGAAACCAAACATCCTCTCTTCCTGTAAAGGCTTATAGCAGAAGTGGTTGGCACCACCCAATGTCCTTCTGCTTCTATGTCTCTCCCATCATCCCTTATAATTATGTTAGCCTTGTAATGAGTTATGGGAATATGAGCAAAAGTAAAGCATATCATTCATCCCCTCCCCTGCTCTATCCAAGCCAGGGCATTTAAGATGCACTGGAGGTAACTCCCCTCCTTCTTTTCTGCTTGAAGGCAGAGGACTCTGAAATGGAGCCCCAGGTTGGAAGAGCCTGGATCCCTGAGTCACTGCATGGAAGGGAGTACACTCACTAGGAACACCTGCATTAGACTCTGACACAGAAAATGAACTTGTATCAGCTGAAGCCCCTGAAATGTTTGGAGGAATTTGCATGTGGATGGAGTAGGAGGGAACATTTACACCTACTGTGAAAGCTGAAGTGGGTAAAATCCTTCCTTTCCTGACTGATATGGTTTGGATCTGTGTCCCTGCCCAAATCTCACACTGATACGGTTTGGATCTGTGTCCCTGCCCAAATCTCACGTTGAATTGTAATCCCCAGTGTTGGAGGTGGGGCCTGGTGGGAGGTGATTGGATCGTGGGGGTGGCTTATCTTGAATAGTTTAGCACCATCTCCTCCGAGCAGTTTTCATGATAGAGTTCTCATGAGATCTGGTTGTTTAAAAGTATGTGGCATGGACCCCCTTCCTTCTGCTCCCACTTTGCCGTCCTCCATGAGTAAAAGCTCCCTGAGGCCTTCCCAGAAGCAGGTGCTGCCAGGCTCCCTGTAGAGCCTGCAGAGCTGTGAGCCAATTAAACCTCTCTTCTTTGTAAATTACCCTGTCTCAGGTATTTCTTTACAGCAGTGTGAGAACAGACCAATACACCAGCCTTGGCACAGCTGGGAGCAAGCCTGTGACTCAGGCTCTATGCAGATGGCCCTCTCCCCTGGCACTTTGAATCTCCAGCAGCAATGAACAGTCTGTACCTGCATCCTGGCCTCAGCTGTGATTCCTGCTGTCCAGCCTTCTGAAGTGCCCTTGGTTGGTTCCATTTTCCAAGATAGACCCTCTAGCTCCACAATGATGCTGTGAACCCCTGACGTCCTTTCAAAAATTCCCTTTTTGCCTAAGAAAGTCAGAGTGCTTGCAATCGAGAGCCCTGACTAATACACTTGATATCAGTGGAGAAAGAATGTTTACACATACTTCGTACATCCTCGGCCAAGCTGGCCACCCCGATCTCCCCTCCACTAGCTCTGATGCAATGGCTGAAGTGGCCACACCCTTGGCAAGATCTCCATGAACATGTCTTGTGAATTTACGACAATCCAACCAACCAGTCCTGGTCATTCGTTGGCCATAAAATGCACATTGGCAGAGAAGGATCCATGAAGCCAGTGCTGAATTCCAAGAGCAAGCTCAGATTTCTGAGCGTAAGTGATAAAACTTGATTCTGGGAGGAGAAAGGTCAGGATAATGCCTCCTCTGTCTGAGCACATGGACCTCCACTCTGAAGAGAGAAGAACAGGAGAGATGGCCAGAGTGAATGCTCAGGGGACAGAGTTTTGTTCCCTCCATTCAGCCCTGCTGTGGTCTCACCAATGCCTGGGCTCACCAGGCAGTTCACACAACTTCTGGATCTGTTAACTTTCCTCCTACGGTGGCGTCCCTAGATCGGAATGAAAATCTAATGCTGTGGCCGCTGCTGCAGCAAACAAACCCAAACACCGAATGGCTCACACGTGATGGATGTTTCTGTCTCATTCTCACAAGTCCAAAGGGTGCTTCCATGTAGCCAGCAACTGTGTCCTTCACGTGGTGACTCAGGGACCATGGTCCCTTCCATCCGTGGCTCTGTTTGTAATGTGTGGCCATTGAAGCTGCCTTGTTAGTCACCTCAAGCCAGTAGCAGAGAAAGGGAATGGCTGGCCGTGTGGCGGAAATATTTGCGGGTCACGACTGCAAGTGTCACGTACGGCTTCTATTCACATCCCATCGGCCACATCTAACTGTGAGGTGAGGCCAGGACATTCAACCACATGCCCAGAGAGTGAGGTCGTTTGCCCAGGAAGAGGAAATGTGTGGCAAGTGCTGACACTCGGCCACGCAAAGACTCAACTTGGAGGCTGAAAGTGCAGAAAACACCACAAGCAGCCATATTCCAACCCAAATGATCAGGGCAGGTGTGTATTGAAAGAAGGCAGTTCTCTAAATAGGTTTGTGTTTCTGATGACTGCCTGGTCTGCCCCTGGGAACTAAAGTCCAGGACAAGATGATAAAAGTGTGACCCCAATTAACTGCTCCAATTTCAACATGGGAGAATATGATTCCAACATGGAGAAATATGACTTCAACATGGGGGAATATGATTTCAACATGGAGAAATATGACTTCAACATGGAGGAATATGATTTCAACATAGGGAAATATGACTTCAACATGGGGGAATATGATTTCAACATGGGGAAATATGATTTCAACATGGGGAAATATGATTTCAACATGGGGAAATATGATTTAAACATAGGGAAATATGATTTCAACATGAGGGAATGTGATTTCAATGTGAGGAAATATGATTTAAACATGGGGAAGTATGATTTCATCATGGAATATGATTTCAGCATGAGGGAATATGATTTAAACATGGGGAAATATGATTTCAACATGAGGGAATATGATTTAAACATGGGGAAATATGACTTCAACCTGGGGGAATATGATTTCAACATGGGGAAATATGATTTCAACATGGAGAAATATGATTTAAACATAGGGAAATATGATTTCAACATGAGGGAATGTGATTTCAACGTGAGGAAATATGATTTAAACATGGGGAAGTATGATTTCATCATGGAATATGATTTCAGCATAAGGGAATATGATTTAAATATGGGGAAATATGATTTCAACATGGGGAAGTAGATTTCAACATGAGGGAATATGATTTCAACATGGAGAAATATAACTTCAACATGAGGAAATATTTAAACATGGGGAAATATGATTTAAACATGGGGGAATATGATTTCAACATGGGGGAATATGATTTCAACATGAGGGAATATGATTTCAAATAGAGAAATATGATTTTGACATGGAGGAACATGAGTTTTAGGTGCTAAGTATGAGCAACAGAGACGTTAGACCGGCAGACCCTTTGGAAATGGGCTGGCCCTCGATGCTCTGAGGTCATGGGGAAATCTTAGCCTCAACCAAAACAAACAAAAGAAAATAAAAGAAAACCACTCTTCTCGTGCCCTGGTTCAAACAGTTCCCTTTACAATTCTAAGCTGATGGCAGCATTGAGTAGCCGCACCTGACAGCTACTTTCTCCCCTTCTTCAAGGCCTGTTTGCCACCAGCTCCCTTCTCTGAGTGCAGAAAGCCTGTGAGGCTCACAGAGGCGAGGGCCGCCAGCCCGATGCCTGCAAGGTGGGGTGAAACCATAGGCACTCCATAAACTTGGCCACCTGGCCCCCAAACCACCTGCCACCCCTGGAGTCGACGGCTCCTCCTGCACCACCTCATAGCTAATGAAGGATGCAATCACGTTGGCCGTCTGGCAAATCTACATGTCTGCCAGGGCCCCGCCACAGGGCGCGGTGGGAATTAATACTGGGAGGTTGTGCCACGTTCCTGACGAGTGCAACGCGGGTCAGGGAGGGGTGACCTTTCCCTCTCCAGATGCCGTTCTCGCCTAGACACCAGCCACCCTGAAGGAACTGAAACAGGACCCCTGAAGTGAGCAGGCGCGTGTGGGCCGCTGTTAGCGCACAGCTTCTATCGAGACATCTAGAATATGTCTAGATGTCTAGAATATGTCTAGATGCAGAACTATCAATTCTAGAATTCCACGACGAAATCTTTCTCAAGGTTCAGACTCCGAGCCTCAGCGTTCTGCTCTGCTGCCCCCCTCGTGGAGATGGGTGTCTACTGAGCTCGCGGAGCAGGTGGGTGTCACCTGCGCTAACAGGTACTTAGTAAGGGGGTCCGTTCGTCAAATGGAAACACGCCACCCTTATCGTGAAAAGGGGAGCCGTCAGTCCCCACTTTCCCCTGATATCCACTATCTTTACCATCATCTAATGACGGAGGATGACCCGGTGTCCTAGCGGGATTACCAGGATCCCACCAACGCTAGCCTCACCTCCAGATACTCCACGCTCACCCAGCGTGTGCCCACCATGTTCCAACCACACAGACCAGCCGGGTCCTCCAAAAGCCCGCATCCCTCCTGCCTCAGAGGCTTTGCACACACGCCCCCTTTCCCTGGAATATGATCCACCCCACCCCACCTGTGGCTCTCTTGGCCAATGAACCCCGGTTCTTCCTTGAACCTCAGCACTTCCCCGACTTCTGAAGCTCACAGCCCCCGTTAGACACGTTCACAGCTGCCCGCTGCGCTTCCTCGCTGACAGCATTTAAAAGTTAGGAATTACCAGTCTCTGTGCTTGTCTCCCAAACTAAAATAATAAGCCTCAACAGGAGAGGTACCAAGCTGAGTCTGACTCACCCTTTGTCTCCAGCCGCTAGTGCAAGTCAGGCCTCCCGCACAGGGCTGCCCAATTTTCTTGAGTGAAGAGATGAGATGAATCCTGCAGGTGGTAAACAGGGTGGAGGTAGGCTACTGCCTTCTGTGGAAGTGCCTTCCTCGAGCTACGTACTGCACAGCACCCTAATACCGACGCGTGGTTCAAGAACCACTAGCCTCAGTGTCGGCCGGGAGCCGGTTAGAAAAACACAGAGTGCCAGGGCACCCCAAATTTCTCATGAAAGTTTGAGAGGTGCTGCACAGTGAAACTGAGGAAAGCATGCATGGACGAACAAAAACCTGTGGCTTTTGTCTCAGAGTCCCTTTGCTAAAATCTTGCCGATTGCCTCTTTCCAAGCATCAAGACCTGATATCCTCTGAAATCTCAGAAATCTCTAAAGCGATGATATTTGACAGACTTATGTGGCCTTACGAACCACCTGGATACCTCAAAGGACTTTTCCAGCTTAAATTGATTTATCTGATGCCCCCACAATTGACAGAGCTACTGCAGCTGGCGTCACGACGTTAAGAGCTGCCACAAAGTCTCCCTGTTTTCTTGAGTGTTTACGTTATACCTTCAATGATTGACCTTCCAGAGACACGATTTCACTGAGGCTTAGAACATTGAATTATTTCAAGACACAGCTCCACACACACGTATTAGTTCCCCTAAAAACCTGGATATTAGGTGCATCTGAACTACCCTAGGTATTCAGTGGCACAGCGTCTGCCTCGGCTTAAAATATGACTTCCCAATAACGTTGTTATTTCTACGATTCCTTTGCTGGCTGTGCATGCAGATATCTGCGGTTTCATGTGCCTCTTTGCAAAGGCAATCAGCCCAAGCAGCCGAGCGTAAACGCATTTCTAGTCGTCTGTGCTGCTCAGGGCGTCTCAGAAGACACACCAGTCTTTCCTCCCCTAAGTTGTAATGCTCTGAAGCACTTAAGGATTTCATTAGCAATGAACTAATCGCTGTTCTGCAAGACCTGAAAAGAAAATTAAAATGTGACCCAGAAAAGGACACCGTCCTTTGGTACTGCTTAGGCAGCCGAATCTCTCTTGTTCCAAACGACACCTGCTTGATGTGGCTTTTCTTCCGTAATAAGTTACAAATCCGTACTGCGATCATTAATCATGAGAGCCTCATCCACGTCCCCTTTTTGAGAAGGTGAGCTGGAGGGGTGATTACCGCGGACCATTTGAACAAAGGCGCGTAAGAGTGTGGCCACAGCGTGGAGCGTGAGCGTCCCCATGTGTCGCGAAGGGGAATTTATTCCATGAATGTCGCAATCGCCAATTGCACAGCGATTCTGAGAGGCGGCAGCCCGGCCGGGTCCTGCGTGCCGGGGATGCGGAGGTGCATTAGACAGTCAGGCGCCCTACCCCATAGCACATATTTCAGCTGGACAGCAAATATCTGTGTGCCCCACAAACAAGTCCCAGAGGACAGGGACCTCTTGCTTGGTTTACCAAGAATCACTGAGCGTCTAGAAAGGGTTTGGCACAGGTGACCAATAAATATGTATCGAATGAACAAATACAAATAAAAAGACAATTACGCATTTTGGGCAAGGCATGTTGGCTCACACCTGTAATCCCGGCGCCGTGGGAGGCCAAGGTCGTCTTGAGACCAGGAGTTTGAAACCAGCCTAGGCAACATAGTAAGACCCCATCTCTACAAAAAATTAAAAAATAAAAATTAACCAAGCATGGTGGCACGTGCCCGTAGTCCCGGTTACTCAGGAGGCTGAAGCAGGAGGATGGTTTGAGCTCAGGAGGTCGAGACTGTAGTGAGCTATGATCACACCACTGCACTCCAGCCTGGGTGACAGAGCAAGACCCCATTTCAAAAATTAAAAAAGAAGGAAATTATGCATTTTAAAAATGTGGTTGCATGGGCCGGGCGCGGTGGCTCACGCCTGTAATCCCAGCACTTTGGGAGGCCGAGGCGGGCGGATCACGAGGTGAGGAAATCGTGACCATCCTGGCTAACACGGTGAAACCCCGTCTCTACTAAAAACATGCAAAAAAAGTAGCTGGGCGCGGTGGCGGCGGCCTGTAATCCCAGCTACTCGGGAGGCTGAGGCAGGAGAATGGCGTGAACCCAGGAGGCGGAGCTTGCAGTGAGCCGAGATCGAGCCTCTGCACTCCAGCCTGGGCCACTGAGGGAGACTCTGCCTCAAAAAAAAAAAAAAAAAAAAAAAAAAAAAAAAAGTGGTTGCATGTTTTTCTTCTTGAGTTTGAAGAGTTCTGGTATATTCTGGATACAAGTCCTGTATCAGATATGTGACTTTCAAGTATTTTTGCCCATTCTGGGATATACATACATTTTCATTCTCTTAGCATCATTTGAAGAGAAGAAATTCTTGATTTTGATAAAGTACAATTTATAATCTTTTTTTATTTATAGATCATACTTGTGTCATATCTAGGAATTATTTACCTCACCCAAGATAACAAAGATTTTCTCCTATGTTGTCTTCCTGAATTTTAGCAGTTTTAGGTGTTACAGCTAATTCTATTACCTTTTTTGAGTTAATTTTATAGATGATACAAAATATTAATTGAGGCTTGCTTTTTCTGCCTATGGATGTCCAATTTCTACAGCATAATTTGTTGGAAAGATTATCTTTTCTCCGTTGAATTTCTTTTGCAGCTTTGCCAAAAATCAATTAACCATATGCCTATGAGTTCATTTCTGGACTCTCTACTCTGTTCCATTGATCTTTTTGCCTGTCTTTATGCCAATACCACACTGTCTTAATTATGATAACTTTGTAGTAATTCTAAAGTCGGGTAATGTAAGTCTACCAACTGTACTGATCTTTTTCTAAGTTGTTTTGGTTCTTCTAGGTCCTTTGTACTACCATTTAAATTTTATAATCGCCATGTCAATTTCTTCAAAATCTGCTGAGATTTTTATTGGAATGGCATTGAATTGATAGATCAATTTGGGGAGAATTGACATCATAATAATACTGAAACTTTCAGACCAAGAGCACAGTCTATGGCCCATTCATTTAGACCTTCTTTCTCTTAGTAGTGGGTTGTAGTGCAGTGTCCTTTACATCTTTTGTGTCTACATCATTTTTATGCCTTTGTAAGTTATATTTCTATTTCAATTTCTGCTTGTTCATTATGATTACAGAAATTCAATACATGTTGTATATAGATTTTATATCCTTTTTTTTTTTTTTTTTTGAGACAGAGTCTTGCTCTGTCACCCAGGCTGGAATGCAGTGGTGCGATCTCAGCTCACTGCAACTTCTGCCTCCTGGGTTCCAATGATTCTCCTGCCTCAGCCTCCCCAGTATCTAGGATTACAGGTGCATGCCACCATACCCAGCTACTTTTTTGTATTTTAGCAGAGATAGGGTTTCACTGTGTTACCCAGGCTGGCCTTGAACTCCTGAGCTCAGGCAATCTGCCCACCTCGGCCTCCCAAAGTGCTGGGATTACAGGTGTGATCCACCGTGCCTGGCCCACTTTTCAATTATAGCAGCTTTTTTGTAGATCATATAGAATTTTCTACATATACAATATACCATCTGCAAATAAATAATGCCTTTACACTTTCCTTCCCAATCCAGTTCCCTTTTATTTCTTTTTCTTGCCTTATTGCAAGAGCAATTGCACATTGCACTGCACCTCCAGACAACATCGAGTAGACACAATGAGAACAGGCACTCACCCGTGCCTTGCCCTGATCATAGGAGAAAGTCTTTTTAGCTGCTTAAGTATAAATATATATTAACTGTAAATTTTCCATAGATTTCTTTCATTATGATGGGGAAGCTACCTTCTAATTATAGTTTGCAGACAGTTTTAATCAGAAATGGATGTTGAAGTCTGTCAAATGCTCACTAGGCTTCTATTGAGATGATCGTGTAATGTAGCTCCTGATATGTTTAATTATATTGATTAATTTTTAAATGTCAAGTTAATCTTACATTTCTGGGGTAATGCCTACTTGCTCATGATGTATTATCCTTTATATATATGTTAATTTGGATTTGCTAATATTTTAAGAATTTTACTCAAATATTGATGTTCAGTGCTATAACTTTCCCTCTAAGAATGTAATGCTATAAATTTCCCCCTAAAGCCACTTTAACTCATCTCATAAGTTTTGACATGCTGTGTTTTCATTCTCATTTACTTCAAAATGCTAATTTTTCTTTTGGTTCCTTTTTTGACTTATGGGTAGACATGTGTTATTGAGTTTCCAAATACTTAGAGATTTTGCTGAGTTTTTTTTATTGATTTCCAATTTTTCCAACTTTTTATTCCACATGACCAAAAAATATATTTTGTAAAAAAAAAAAAAAAAAAAAAAAAAAAAAAAAAAAAAAGGGGCCAGGTGCGGTGGCTCACAACTGTAATCCCAGCACTTTGGGAGGCCAAGGAGGGCGGATCACAAGGTCAGGAGTTTGAGACCCAGCCTGGCCGATATGGTGAAACCCTGTCTCTACTAAAAATACAAAAATTAGCCGGGCGTGGTTGCGGGCGCCTGTACTCCCAGCTACTTGGGATGCTGAGGCAAAATTGCTTGAACCCAGGAGGTGGGGGTTGCAGTGAGCCAAGAGCACACCACTGCTCTCCAGCCTGGGCAACGGAGAGAGACTCTGTCTCAAAAAAAAAAAAATATATATATATATATATATATATATATATATGTATATATATATGTATATATATATGTATATATATGTATATATATATGTATATATGTATATGTATATATATATGTATATATGTATGTGTATATATATATGTATATATGTATGTGTATATATATATGTATATATGTATGTGTATATATATGTGTATATGTATGTGTATATATATGTGTATATGTATGTGTATATATATATGTGTATATATATATGTATATATATATGTGTATGTATTTATGTATTTTGTGTGACTTGAAGTCTTTTAAATTTACTGGGACTTTTCTTATGGCCAGAATATGGTTTTCCTTGGTAAGCGTTCTGTGCGCACTTGAAAAGAACGTGTATTCTACCATTGTTGAGTAGATCGTTTTAAAAGTGTCAACTTGGATGATGATGTTCATGTTGTTCATGATGATGTTCATCTTTACTGAGTATTTGTCCACTTGGTCTATCAGTTGTTGAGTGAGGGTGTTAAAATCTCTGACAATATTTGTAGTTTTTCTACTTCTTGCACATCTATCAGTTTTTGCTGTGCATATTTTGATGCTCTTTTATTAGGTGCATGAATGTTTATGATAATTAAGATTTCTTGATGAATTTATCCCCTTTATAATTTTGTAATGATCCTCTTAATTCCTGGTTTTTCTGCTACAAAGTCTACTATCTCTAATGTTAATATAGTCAATAAGCTTCCTTGCTATTAGTATTAGCATACTGTAACTTTTTCTATTCTTTTACTTTTAACTTACTTGAGCCTTTAAATTTGAAGTGAGTTTCCTGTAGGCAGCATACTAGATTGTCCAATTTGGCATCTCTTTCTTTCAATTTGAGGTATTTATACCATTTACATTTAATGTGATTACTGGTATGGTTAGATCTAAATCTATTATCTTGCCATTTATTTTCTATTTATCCTATCTATTCTTTGTTCCTTCTTCTTTTTCTGCCTTCTATTAGATTAAATGTTTTAAATGATTCTATTGTATTTCCATGCTTTGCTTATTGGCTATAATTCTTTACTGTATTATTTTAGTAGCTGCATTAGAATGTACCACATTCATCTTACACCTACTGCACTCCACCTTGAGGTAACATTACATCACTTCATGTATGGTATAAAAGCCTTATAAAAATACACTTCCATTTCTCCCTTATTGGCCTTTGTACTATTACCATTATACATTTCACCTCTACATATGTCATAAACCTCATATGACATTGCTTTAAACAATCGATTATGATATGAAGAAATTTTAAAAGTAGGTAAAATGTTTATATACCCACAGAGTGACCATAACCAGTTTTTTTTCCCTTGTATAGATACAGGTTTCCATCTGTATCCTTTTGCATTTCTTGTAGTACAGGTCTCCTGGCAATTAATTCTTTCAGCATGTGTTGGTCTAAAACCTTCTTTCGCCTTTGTTTATGAAAGATATTTTTTCTGGCTGTAGAATTCTAAATTGGCATTTGGGGGGTTTATTTCATGATCAGTGCCTTAAAGATGCTGCTCCACTGTCTTTTCCATTAACATTGTTTCTGATGCAAAATCTGCTGTCTTCCTTATATTTTTTCCTCTCAACAAAATGTATCTTTCTTTCTCCCTTTCCTGCCATTCCTTGGCTGCTTTGCAGATTTTCTCTTGATTACTAGTTTTAAGCATTTTAATTATAATACACATTGCTGTGGTTTTATTCAGGTCTTTTATGTTTGGGGTTTATTGAGCTTCTTGGACCTGTGAGTTCATAGCTCTCATAAAATATAGAACTTTTTCAGCAATTATCTTCTCAAATGTTTTGTCTGTCTACCCCGCTCCTTTTATATCTACAGATGGTCCCTGACTTACAATGGTGGACTTAACATTTTTCAACTTTATGATGGGCTTGTTGGGACATAACCACATCATATATTGAGGTTATCTGGATTTAACAGTGGTTCAACTTATGACTTTTTGACTTTAAGATGGGTTTATTGTGATATTGAATGAATTTTCAACTTACAATATTTTTTACTTATGATGGGTTTATCAGGACGTGGCCCTATTGTAATTTGAGAAGCATCTGGACACTTGCAGTAATTCCACAGATTACCAATGCTATGATTATTTTTATTTTGTCCTTTTTATTTATTTCATTTTGAATATTTTGTATTGCTATGTCATCAAGTTCACTAATATTTTTTTCTGCCATTAATCCTATCAAATGTGTGTGTGTGTTTCTTTTAGAGACAAGGTCTCCCTCCATCACCCAGGTGGAGAACAGTGGCACAAACCCAGCTCACTGCAGCCTTGACCTCCTGGACTCAAGTGATTCTCCTGATTTAGCCTTTTAAGTAGCTGGGACCACAGGCATGTGCCAGCATACCCAGATAATTTTTTTTATCTTTTGAAGAGACAGGGTTTTACTATGTTTCCCAGGCTGGTATTGAACTCCTGGGCTCAAGGGATCCTGCAACCTTGGCCTCCCAAAGTTCTGGGATTACATGCATGAGCCACTACACCTGGCCTGTATTTTTTTAATTGAATTATAGTTTTCATCTTGAGACATTGTATGGGTCTTTATAATATTCTCTATATCACTGCTTACCACGATCAGTCTTTCCCCTAGCCTCTTGAACATGTAGAACATATTTACAATAACTGAATGTCCTTTACTACCAGTTCTATCATCTCTTGTCATTTCTGGACTCTTTTTTTTTTTTTTTGGTTGATTGATGTTTCTCCTTAACATGCATCACATGGCCAGGCATGGTGTCTCACGCCTGTAATCCCAGCACTTTGGGAGGTCAAGGAGGCGGATCACAAGGTCAGGAGATCGAGACCATCCTGGCCAACATGGTGAAACCCCATCTCTACTAAAAATACAAAAAATTAGCCAGGCGTGGTGGCACACATCTGTAGTCCCAGCTATTTGGGAGGCTGAGGCAGGAGAATTCCTTAAACCCAGGAGGTGGAGGTTGCAGTGAGCTGAGATTGCGCCAGTGCACTCCGGCTTGGGCGACAGAGCAAGACTCTGTCTCAAACAAACAAACAAATAAACAAAACAAAAACACAAAACAACAACAACAAAAAGCATCACATTTCCCATCTTCTTTGCATTCCTTGTATTGTTTTCATTGGTTGTCAAGCAGTGTAAATTTTACGTTGTTGGTGGCTGGATATTTGTGTATCCCTATAAATATTCTTGAGCTTTGTACTGGGATGTTATTTTGCCCTGGGATACAAGTTACTTGGAAACAATTTAATCCCTTTAGGTCTTGATTTTAAGGTTTGAGGCAAGGTGAGGGCAGCTTTTAGGTCTAAAGTCCAATTTTACAGCATTTCTAAGGTTTCAAAAAAAGCCTTCTGAGGACTTTACCTAATGCCCATAAATAGGAAGTTTTTCATGCTGGCAAGAACAGAAACTCTTCCCAGCCCTGTGTGTGCTCTAAGATTTGTCCTCCTTAATCCATTTGGGTGGTTCTTTCCCTGGCCTCAGATAATTTCCTCACATGCACTTATCAGTACTCCGGTAAAAAACACAAGGAGGGCCCTCTGCAGGTCTATGAAGTTCTCTCTGTGCAACTCCCTCCCTGTACCCTCCCTGAAAACTCAATTACCTCTCTTGACCCCCAAGTCTCAATTTGGGACGGCCGGGCTCCACCTGGGCCACCCACGCTGGGCCATGGCCTGAAAACCCTCTCCAGGCAGTAAGCTGGAGTATTTGAAGGGCTCATCCATGAGTTTTCCATCCCTCAGGGATCACTACTTTCATTGCTTAAAGTCCAGTCTTTGAAAACCATTGTTTTACCTATTCTGTCCATTTTTCACTTGTATCAGGTGAGAAAGTAAATCCAATCCCTTTTGCTCCCTTGTGGCTAGAAGCAAGTCTAGACTTTTCACTCTATGTAAATAAATACTCTTTTTTGTCTTTATGTGTGTATTTCTTTATTTCTATTGACTTGGTAGAGATGGGGTCCCACTATATTTCCCACACCGGTCTCAAACTCCTGGGCTCAAGTGATCTTTTACTTCAGCCTCCCAAAGTGCTTGGATTACAGGCATGAGCCACCACATCTGTCTAAAATACTTTTTTGTATTTAAGCCACATTAATTTAGATTTTCTGTCATGTGTAATTTAAAAAAAAAACCTGAAAAATACAGCCATCCAATCTGAACTATTTCATTTCACTTTATTAAAGTGTCATAAATTATGTCAATTAAACATGAATATAGGGGTGCCAAGAATCTTTCTTAAATGCCAATATTTCCATAGGAAATAGGAGCTAAGTGCTATCAATAGTTTCACCTACTCAGATGAATTTGTTTCTGGTTGCTTTCCTCATCATAGCTAGCTGAGATTGACCAAACTAAAAATGATAAGTTTAGCTGAGGGGAAAAAAAGAAAAATTCAAAAATTGGGGGAGGAGGTAGAGTAAGCTTTGGTAGAATCATATACTTGGGTGGGAAGTGGGAAGAGCTGTGTTCCAAGTGAGACTATTAGTGAGAGACATTTTGGCAAAGATCCAGGAAGATGCCAGATCATCAGGATCAAACATGGGAAACCGCCATGCTACAGCCTGAATATTGGCATTCCCCCCAAAATTCATCTGTTGAAATCCTGACCCCCAAGATGATGGTATCAGGAGGTGGAGTGTTTAGGAAGTGAGTAGGTCATAAGGGTGGAACTGTCACGAATGGAATTAGTGCCCTCATGAAAGGGACCCCACAGAGCTGCCTCACTCTGCCACCACCTGAGGACACAGCAAGAAGGCATCATCTATGAAGCAGGAAGTGGCCCCTCCCCAGACACTGAATCTGCCAGTGCCTTGTTCTTGAACTTCCCAGCCTCTAGAACTACGAGAAATAAATTTCTGTTGCTTATAAGCCACCCAGTTTAATGGTACTTATACCATTAAATTTATAGTAGCTCAGATAGACTAAGACATGCTATTTTGTAGATCAAAATATTAAAATATTGGTAATTTCATATAGTTTCATGAAATGCTGTTTTCACCATTTTGCAATGAGCTGGCTAACCCACTCAAAGCACCTTGCTTCCAGGGTGTACAACACTGGCTGGTATGCACCAGCCATCCTGTGAGTGGATTTGTTTATTCAACCATGATCCTGACATTAGGGATAAGGCAGTCAACAAGCCCAAAGGATTCTGGTGGAGCCCATGGCAATACTAAAGGGAGGGTGGCCAGTAAAAGGCATCTGAACAGAGAGCCGAACATTCAGCAGGAACCA
This sequence comes from Homo sapiens, assembly GCF_000001405.40. Classification (NCBI taxonomy): domain Eukaryota; kingdom Metazoa; phylum Chordata; class Mammalia; order Primates; family Hominidae; genus Homo; species Homo sapiens. Next base: position 130,907,715 of record NC_000012.12, on the reverse strand, counting down.
GCCACTCAAAAACCTGGAGCAAAACCCTTCTAGGCAGATGGATTAAAAAATGTTAAGATACCAAGAAGGGTATGAGCCGGGCATATTTAAGAAATAGAATGGGCCGGGTGCGGTGGCTCACACCTGTAATCCCAGTGCTTTGGGAGGCCGAGGCGGGTGGATCACGAGGTCAGGAGATGGAGACCATCCTGGCTAACACAGTGAAACCCCGTCTCTACTAAAAATACAAAAAATTAGCCGGGCATGGTGGAGGGTGCCTGTAGTCACAGCTACTCAGGAAGCTGAGGCAGGAGAATCGCTTGAACCCGGGAGGCGAAGGTTGCAGTGAGCCAAGATCGTGCCACTGCACTCCAGCCTGGGTGACAGAACGAGACTCCGTCTCAAAAAAAAAAAAAAAAAAGGTAGACAGAATGAGGATGTGGCTGGAGCAATGTGGAGTCTGACAGGAAGAATCTGAAATGTTGAGATGGGTTTCTGTTTTATTCTAAGTGCTCTCAGATGCCATTAGGAGTGAAGAAGTGACATGATTTGGCCTACCTCTTTAAAAACTAACTCTACCCCCTGCTTCAATAATATATTCATGGACTCATCTAGGAACTTAATCCCCCACTTTTCACTTTCCTATTTAAACACACCCTTACATTTTAGGTTGTCTTAGGCCAGGCCTGGTGGCTCATGCTTGTAATCCTGGCACCTTAGAAGGCCCAGGCAGAAGGATTACTTGAAGTCAGGTCTTTTTTAAAATATATATATATTTAATATATTTTTAAGACTAGTCAAGTGCAGTAGTGAGAAGGAGGGAAGGGAAGAACGAGGACTTTGATCTGTAACTGACCTTGAACAATCAATTGAGATAACGCACTACTTTTGGACCAACCAAGGCCAGCAATTCAAGACCAGCTTGGGCAACATAGTGAGACCCTGTCTCTACCAAAAATTAATTTTTAAAAAATTAGCTAGGTCCAGTGGCCTGCACCTGTAGTCCCAGCTACTCAGGAGGCTGAGGCAGGAGGATTGTTTGAGCCCAGGAAGTTGAGGCTACAGTGAGCCAAGATCATGCCACTGCACTCCAGCCTGGATGACAGAGTGAGACCCTGTCTCAAAAAAAAAAGGAAAAAAAAAACTGTCTTAGTGTGAGACATTTTCAAAGCACAACTCTGCTCCCAAGGAGTTTATCTTTCTTCTCTTTCTTCACTAAAGAAAGAAATTTCTGGCATAAATTGTTATTTAACAACCCATCATTAAAAGGCCCACATTGAGAATGGGGTTTTCAAAGATGAGAGATATGGTGTGTCCAACGTTTTTGGGGAGAAGCTGAGAGCTTCAGAGAGGAACATGCAGCTACGTTACCACATTGAACCCTCACGCTCCTTGCTGACTTTTTCCGAGAGAAGGAAACAGCATTATTTTTCCTCCCCAACAAACTTCAGAACCTTGGAGATTTGCCCATCTGCTTAGAGAACATCAAAGACCAGACACTGATGACTTTTCTTCTGTGGGAACACTGAGTACAGACCTTTCTTTCCCATCATCTGCTGTTCTCATCATTTCAAGCCCACTTGATACAAATAGTTTATGCCTCAGGTACAAGGTTGAAGTCAGTAGATAAATTCCTTAAATAATTCCAGACTATAGAAAATACAGAATACAGACAGATCCTCATTTACTTTTTTTTTTTTTTGAGACAGTCTCGCTCTGTTGCCCAGGCTGGAGTGCAGTGACGCCATCTCAGCTCACTGCAACCTCTGTCTCCCGGGTTCAAGTGATTCTCCTGCCTCAGCCTCCTGAGTAACTGGGATTACAGGCCTGCACCACCACATCTGGCTAATTTTTGTATTTTTAGTAGAGACGGGGTATCACCATGTTGGCCAGACAGCTCTCAAACTCCTGACCTCAGGTAATCTGCCCACCTCGGCCTCCCACTGTGCTGGGCCCTCATTTCCTTTTAAAATGACAGGGCCACCAGGCCTGGTGACTCACACCTGTAATCTCAGCACTTTGGGAGGCCAAAGCAGGTGGATCGCTTGAGTCCAGGAGTTTGAGACTAACCTGGGCAACACAGTGAGACCCCATCTGTATTTTTGAAAACAGAAAAATTAGCCAGGCATGGTGGCACACGCCTGTGGCCCCAGCTACTCAGGAGGCTGAGGTGGAGGATCCCTTGAGCCCCTGAGTTCAAGTCTGCAATGAGCTATGATCACGACACTGCACTCCAGCCTGGGCGACAGAGCAAGACCCTGTCTCACACACACAAAAAAAAGGGCAAATTTTTCTAACATGTACTAGTGTTCTACACACCAGTCTTCTAACTTCCTTAATCCTCACAGAAGTCATGTGGAGGAAATGTTACCATATTCTCATTTTACAGGCAAAACAATCAAAGGAAGAGAGCAAGTGTCCTGGGCACACAGCTGGTAAGAGGCAGGGGGTGGGGCCGAACCCAAGCGGCCGGCTCCCAGAGCCCACGTGGATCAGCCCGTGCCCAGGCGGCCGGCTCCCAGAGCCCACGTGGATCAGCCCGTGCCCAGGCGGCCGGCTCCCAGATCCCGTGTGGTTCAGCCCGTGCCCAGGCGGCCGGCTCCCAGAGCCCATGTGGATCAGCCCGTGCCCAGGCGGCCGGCTCCCAGATCCCGGGTGGTTCAGCCCGTGCCCAGGCGGCCGGCTCCCAGAGCCCATGTGGATCAGCCCGTGCCCAGGCGGCCGGCTCCCAGATCCCGGGTGGTTCAGCCCGTGCCCAGGCGGCCGGCTCCCAGAGCCCGGGTGGTTCAGCCCGTGCCCAGGCGGCCGGCTCCCAGATCCCGGGTGGTTCAGCCCGTGCCCAGGCGGCCGGCTCCCAGATCCCGGGTGGTTCAGCCCGTGCCCAGGCGGCCGGCTCCCAGAGCCCGGGTGGTTCAGCCCGTGCCCAGGCGGCCGGCTCCCAGAGCCCATGTGGATCAGCCCGTGCCCAGGCGGCCGGCTCCCAGATCCCGTGTGGTTCAGCCCGTGCCCAGGTGGCCGGCTCCCAAAGCCTCTGTGGCTCAGCCTGTGTGATGCCACCGCGCCTGGGCTTTACACCAGAACCTGACAATGGTCATTGAAAACTAGAAAAGTGTGGATCAATCACCCATAGAAATACAGGCACAAAAATGAACAAAGAGAACAGAAATAAATCAGATAAACACTGTGACCAAGCATGAAACTGAAGCAGGGCTTTTTCTCAGAAATTCAAGAATGACTGATGTTCAGGAATCTGTCAACATTTAAAAGTTACATCAAATAACTAAGGAAGGGAGAACAAATTTCATAGGAAGAGATGCTGAAAAGGCAGTTGATAAAGTTGAGTAACTATTTCTAACAAAGTCTTTCTAAATAAATTTCTTAAAGGTTAAAAATTACCTGTCAAACCCCAAGAATACAGATAATTTAAAACAGCGAATACTGGCCAGGCACAGTGGCTCACATCTGTAATCCCAGCAGTTCAGGAGGCTGAGGCAGGAGGATCGTTTGAGCCTAGGAGTTTGACCCCAGCCTGGGCAACATAGTGAGACCCTATCTCTATCAAATAATTTTTTTAAAAAACAGTAAATACTAATACCTTTTCATTTATTATCAATTAGCAATTTCAGCATACTTAAGAATATGAGAAAATAAAATAATCAGTATAAACATTAGAAATGTGATAATATAATCTCTTTTGCTCTCTATGATTACATACCTTGAAAAAGCAAAATACCTGAAAAATAAACTAATGAACAAAAGAAACAAGAGTGTGTGAAGACACTTGGATTAAAGATAAATACAGTCTTTAAATTTTTTTCTGTAAGTTAGCAATAACCAGATAACACTTAAAAATGAAGAAAAATTGGCCAGGCACGGTGGCTCATGCCTGTAATCTCAGCACTTTGGGAGGCTGAGGCAGGCAGATCACGAGGTCACAAGATCGAGACCAGCCTGACCAACATGGCGAAACCTCATCTCTACTAAAAATACAAAAATTAGCTGGCATGGTGGCGTGTGCCTGTAGTCCCAGCTACTCGGGAGGCTGAGGCAGAAGAATTGCTTGAGCCCGGGAAGAGGAGGTTGCAGCGAGCCGAGATCGCGCCACTGCACTCCAGCCTGGTAACGAAGTGAGGCTCTGTCTCAAAAAAAAAAAAAGTTTCATTTGTCAAAATACAGTTTTTTAAGTTAAAATAACAGAATAAGATGAATTTTAAAACATAGTATCTTATTGGAGTATTGGAGGATGTGAAACAAGATCTACACAAATGGAAAAAGATACTGTATCCCTGGATGAAAAAACTAACTGTAGAAGACTGATTCTCCTCTCATTATTCTAAATATTTTTTAAGATTGTAATTGAATCACATTTTCAATTGGATAAAATGGTTTTAATACATACAGTATAAGAAATGTTCCACAGGTGCGATGGCTCATGCCTGTAATCCCAGAACTTTGGGAGGCCAGGGCAGGTGGATCACTTGAAGTCAGGAGTTTGAGACCAGCCTGGTCAACATGGTGAAACCCTGTCTCTACTAAAAATACAGAAAATGTTAGCCGGGCATGGTGGTGGTGCATGCCTGTAGTCCCAGCTACTTGAGTGGCTGGGGCAGGAGAATCTCTTGAACCCTGGAGGTAGAGGCTGCAGTGAGCCAAGACCACACCGCTGCACTCCAGCCTGAGCAACAGAGCAAGACTTGTCTAAAAAAAAAAAAAAAAAAAAAAAAAAAAAAAAAAAAAAAAAAAAAAAAAAAAAATTCAAGAATAGCCAAGGAAATGGTGGGAAATAAAGGGGGATTACACACCAGAGAGGACAACGGAGTCAAAATCCACTCAGAATCCTGGGGATCTAGGGCTGGAGAAGTTGAAGGTAGCACAGACGCTCAGAATGGAGCCCTGCTGCCTGAGGATTAGCACAGGGCACGGTTGTCACTGCCACGGGGGAGGTGGGCGGAGGGGCTACTTAATAAATGCCACTGCAGCAAACACGTCATCAGTATGGGAGAAGGAAAGACAAACCGGACCTGGATCTCTAGACACAGAATAATTTCCAGAAAGAGTAACACTTTCATGCAAACAAATAAAATTAAAATGCCAAAATCATTTACAAGACTATCCATACAACTTAGATTAGAGGAACCTATTCAGGGCCAACAGAAATCCAGAAACCATGATAGAAAGATAAAAAATATTCAGCCATAATTGTAATTGCATGACCAAAAAAATGTCAAAAATATCAGTAGACAAATGAAAAATTAAGAAAATATTAGACCAGGTGCAATGGCTCATGCCTGTAATCCCAGCACTTTGGGAGGCTGAGGCGGGTGGATCACCTGAGGTCAGGAGTTCGAGACCAGCCTGGCCAACATGGCGAAACCCCACCTCTACTAAAAAATACAAAAATTAGCCGGGCGTGGTGGTGGGTGCCTGTAATCCCAGCTACTTGGGAGGCTGAGGCAGGAGAATCGCTTGAACCCAGGAGGCGGAGGTTGCAGTGAGCTGAGATCATGCCACTGCACTCCAGCCTGGGTGACAGAACAAGACTCCGTCTCAAAAAAAAAAAAGGAAGAAAGAAAGAAAGAAAATATTTGCACAGCATACGAAATGCCAAACATTATCTTACAAATCAATACCAAATAATGACCAAAAGACAAACAACCTAATTTTTTTTTCTTTTTTCTCCTTTCAATTTTAGAGACGGGGTTTCGCCATGTTGCCCAGACTGGTCTCAAACTCCTGGGCTCAAGCTATCCTCCAACCTCAGCCTTCCAAAGTGCTGGGATTATAGGCATGAGCCACCATGCCCGGCCAAAAACCTACTTTTTTAAAGAATCAAAAAATACAAAGAAGAAACATACAAAGTAAAATGGTCTTTATACAAATGAAGGATGCTCCCACTTCCTTGGAGTCAGGGAAGGGCAAATTCAAATAATAATGAAATATCATTTTATACCCAGTAAATCTTCAAAATGTAAAAGAGTGATATTAGCTGGAAGGATGCAAGGAAGAAAGAAGGTGTTCTTAAACAAGCCTAGAAATGTGAGTTATCCATTTGGGAGAGCAACCTGGCAATATCTATTAAATTATTTCCATTCCATCTGGGAATCTATCTTACAGAAATAAAAGCATCAACACATAAGTAAGAATATATATTGCAGAAATATTTGTAGTTAGGAGGAAAGACTAGAAATGGAGTAACAAACTATCAGTTTAACAAACTGTAGTATTTTATAAAGGGCAAATATTATGCTCCCATTAAAAAGAATGGGTTTATGGAAATAGAAAGGAATAGATAGATATAGATAGAAAGATAGATAGATAGATGATAGATAGGTAGATAGATAGATAGATAGACAGACAGACAGATAGGGCCAGGCACGGTGGCTCACATCTGTAATCCCAGCACTTTGGGAGGCCAAGGTGGGTGAATCACCTGAGGTCAAGAGTTGAACACCAGCCTGGCCAACACGGTGAAACCCTGCCTCTACTAAAAATACAAAAATTAGCCCAACATAGTGGCGGGTGCCTGTAATCCCAGCTACTTGGGAGGCTGAGGCAGGAGAATCGCTTGAACCAGGGAGGCAGAGGTTGCAATGAGCAGAGACTGTGCCAGCCTGGGCAACAAGAATGAAACTCTGTCTCAAAAAAAAAAAAGATAGACAGACAGACAGACAGATAAATGAGTGACAAAACAAGCATAGTAAAATGTGAATGGTAGGTTCTAGGTGGTGGGTATATGAGAGTTGGGGGGAATTTGTTGACTTGAACAAATTGAAGGTAGTTCCACTATGTATTGCTAAGTAAAAAAAGTTCAGTGTGGGTGAGTAGATAAGTCCCATTTTTTGTAAAACAAACAATGGAAAGACACTACAAAGGCAAATTTAATGAACTTTCATATATACAAAGAAGTATCGCTTAAAAGGTATAAGAAAAAATGACTCTATATACTTAAAAAAGCATCCCACCAAAAAAAATTTAAAATACCTCAAAATAAGCTTAAGAACTCTACAAGAACTGAGTGAAGAAAACCCTTAATGTATTAATTTTTTAGTATGAAGAAATAGAAAGAAATATTATATTCTTGGAGAGAGGACTGAATTAGTTAGCTAGGACTGCCATAATAAAGTTCCCCAGACCTTTTGCCTTAAACAACAAAATGTGTAAAATGTATTCTCTCACAGTTCCGGAGCTTGCAGGTTCAAGGCCAAGGAGTCAGCAGGGCGAGTTTCTCCTGGGGGCTCTCTCCTTGGCTTGCAGACGGCTGCCTTCTTGCCCGTGTCCTCATAGGGTATTTTTCTCGGTGTTCGTCCATCCCTGGTATCTCCTTGCATGTCTGACTCTCCTCTTCTTACAAGGACATAAGTCAGATTAGAACAGGATCCACCCTAAGGGCCTCGTTTTAATTTAATCACCTTTTTAAAGACTATCTCCAAACACAATCACATTCTGAGGACCAGGGGTTAAGGCTTCAACACATGAGTTTCAGGGTGTGAAGGCACATAATTCAGCCCTGAACAAGGACTCAATATAATAAAGTGTCCTTGTCTCTATGTTAATTTATAAATATGAAGTGTTGCTAACACAAATACTATAACTAGATTCTTTGCTTGCATTGGGTTCTGTTTTGTTGGAACTAGGTTAAGAGGAAAAATAAACAAGCAAGAGTAACCAGAAAAAAAGTGTATATATATATAAAGTGTATATATATATATATATGTATATATATATATAAAGTGTATATATATATATAAAGTGTATATATATATAAAGTGTATATATATATATAAAGTGTATATATATATATATTTTCATATATATATGAAGAGGATGGATTATGAAGTTACAATAATTAACCCTGGTGGCCTTGGCACAAAAATAGATCATTGTAATGCTATCAAAAGCACAGGAACACGCCTCAGTACAAATGAGAATATAACATATGATAAGTTTGACATCTCAGAGAAATTATGGGTAACTCTTCAGTAATGGTGTTGAAACATAGGCATAACTATCTTGAAAAAGAAAATAAGGCCGGGCACAGTGGCTCAGGCCTGTCATCCCAGCACTTTGGGAGGCCAAGGCGGGTGGATCAGTTGAGGTCAGGAGTTTGAGACCAGCCTGGCCAACATGATGAAACCCCATCTCTACTAAAAATACAAAAATTAGCTGGGCATGGTGGAGTGCGCCTGTAACCCCAGCTACTCGGGAGGCTGAAGCACAAGAACCGGGAGGCGGAGATTGCAGTGAGCCGAGATCACGACACTGCACTCCAGCCTGGGGGACAGTGCAAGATTCTGTCTCAAAAAAAATTAAAATAAATAAAAATGCAAAAGCAAAAGGCAAATGATGAACTGGGAAAAAATGTTTGCATCTCATTACAAGGGATGTTCTTCATAATAAAGAGCTCCTAGAAATGCATTTTCAAAAAGGAGAGGCAACTAACAAAGAAAATAGAGAAAGGAAGGCTATGAGCATGCAATTTACAAAGAACTAGGAATAGCTGTTACACAAGTGAAGAGGTTAAATCTCACCTGTGATAAGATAAATGCAAATTAAAGCCACGCGGAATTACATTTTTCACTTATCAGAATGGCAGAGTTCCAAAAGTTTAATAACACAGGCTGGTATCAAAGCTACGGGAGAACGAGAGCGCTCCCACTCTGCTAATGGGAATGTGAGCAGCACAATAGTGCAGGCCGTTAAGCAGCAGCTAGCGACATTCATCTGTGACCCAACAATTCCACTTCTAGGGGTTGATCCTGCAGATGTATTTGCACATATGCAAAATAACAAGTGTGCAAGAATATATTCACAGTAGTGTTTGTAATAATATGATAACCAACCCAAATGTCCTCAATAGGGGGCTGGTTATTCAATTTTGATGCATCCATCCAGCCTCGATGGTATACAGCTACTTAGAGGGATCTCAATACTCACTGTGAAATTATCTCCAAGATATGCTCTTCTGTGAAAAAGCCAAACGCATATTGTCTAAACAAACTAGCTTTTGTTTGCTTTTATAACTGGTGGAAGAATAAAAGTCTATATTCTTATGTGTTTGAGCATAAACAAATTATGACAGGACATACAGGAAGCCAATACCAGCCAGTGTCTATCGGGGTGAGACAAAGATTGCATGGATGGGGAGAGACTTCCCACCAGTGTGCCTGTCAGCACTTCGTGGGCTGTGGATCATGTGAGTGTCTGCGTGTTCCCTGTTCAAATAATCAAAAGTATTGAAATTCATCTGTGATGGTAAATATTAGACGTCAACTTGTTTGGACTGAAGAGGCCTAGATGGCTGGTGAAGTATGGTTCTTGGGTGTGAGGATGTTGCCAGAGGAGATGGACATTTGAGTTGGTGGACTGGGAGAGGAAACATACCCTCGATGTGGGTGGGCACCATCCAGTGGGCTGCCAGCGCGGCTGGGACAAGGCAGGAGGAAGATGGGATGACCTGGCTTGCTGGGTCTCCCGGCTTCCTTCTTTCTCCTGTGCTGGATGCTTCCTCCCTCTCCTTCTGCCCTTGGACATCAGCCTCCAGGTTCTCCTGCCTTTGGACTCTGGGACTTGCATCTGTGGCTTCTGGAAGGTCTCAAGCCTTCTGCCACAGAGAGAAGGTGGCACTGTCGACTTTCTTGGTTTGAGGCTTTTGGACACGGACTGAGCCACTACCGGCTTCTCTCTTGCCCAGCTTGCAGACGGCCTATCCTGGGACCTCGTCTTGTGATCGTGTGAGCCAATTTTCCCTAATAAGATCCTTTCATGTATACATACATCCTGTTGGTTCTGTCCCTCTGGAGAACCCTAAGACACCATCAAATCTGTGCACACACACACACAACACACACAAGCACACACACACACTGTGACAACGGAGAAAGCATGGAAGGATAGACCACCAGGCTGTTACCTGGTGAGAGAAGATGGAAGGAAAATGAAACGACCGTGCTTTTTAAAAGTCTATGAGAAACCGGTCACAAACAATGACTTGTGCCATAACACACAGAAGCTTGTCTCAAAGTGCAGGACTGTGGATGGCTGTGCTATTTCTATATAGTGTCTGAATATTTTTATAATTAACATCCACTCGTGTAATAAAACAAAATGGTAATTTTCTTTTCCTAGCTGGGCGCAGTGGCTCACGCCTGTAATGCCAGCACTTTGGGAGGCCGAGGCAGGCAGATCACCTGAGGTCAGGAGTTTAACAACAGCCAGTATCATGAAACCCTGTCTCTACAAAAATACAAAAAGAAAGTGGCCAGACATGGTGGATCTCAGCCTCTCTAGTAGCTGGGATTACAGGTGCCCGCCACCACACCCGGCTAATTTTGTGTGTGTGTGTGTGTGTGTGTGTGTGTGTGTGTCTTTAGTGGAGACGGGGTTTCGCCATGTTGGCCAGGCTGGTCTTGAACTCCTGACCTCAGGTGATCTACCCGCCTTGGCCTCCCAAAGTGCTGGGATTATAGGCGGGAGCCACCGTGCCCGGCAAATAATAATAATTTAAGACTTTTTAAATATATGCATATGTTAACATTGTTGATTGACCTAAAAATATCCCTCTTTTCACAGTACCTACAGCAGCGCTGGGCCTAATGGTGTCACAGAGGCTCATAGGTACGGGGTGGATGACATCCTGTGTGTCCTGGCTGTGGGACCTTGGCTGGTTATCAGGATTATCATAAGAATCCAATGAAACACAACAGCTTCTCATTATCCAAATATCCTCATCGAGGTTGCAAGAGGAGGCGAAAGTCATCAACACCCGACGTTATTCACTATTGATCACTTACAAAATGGCTCCTCGACAACTCCCCCTGCCTCATGTTGGCACCTATCATCCAAGTCAGGGAGTCAAAATCCCTGGCCTTGGTCGTCCTGGCCCTCTCTGATGAACGGAATTGGAGTTAAACCAGTTAAAAGAGACATTGCAAATCCTGCAACAGAAGATCACCCGGGGCCAGGTGCGGTGGCACATGCCTGTAATCCCAGCATTTTGGGAGGCCAAGGCAGGTGGATTCCTTCAGCTCAGGAGTTCAAGACCAGCCTGGGCCACATGGCGAAATCCCACTTCTACAAAAACTACAGAAATTAGCCAGGTGTGGTGGCGAGCCCCTGTAATCCCAGCTACTTGGGAGGCTGAGGTGGGAGGATGGCTTGAGCCCAGGAGGCGGAGGTTGCAGTGAGGTGAGATTGCGCCACTGCACTCCAGCCTGGGCCTCAGAGTGAGACCCTGCCTCAAAAAAAGGAAAGAAAAAAACAGAAGGTCCCTTGGGAGAACTGTCCAAATGTCCCGAGGACAATCGATGTCCATAAGAGAATATTCTGAGGACAGAAGACAAAGGAAGGGCCTCCGGGAAGCTGATGAAGCCCTGAAGTATTTTCATAGAAATCTGTTCTTATGATTATGCTGTGAAAACCAAGTGCGAATTGAAGAATAAACTATAATTCTACCATACAAATGACGTTCCTCCCAAATGAACGCAGCTCGTTTTTTGCTTTGTTCCAAGAATCAGCATACAATTTCAATTATGAAATCCATAGCATCAAATCCAAAACTTGTCACACTGTCACTGTAAGATTCCTGTCCTTGTGTTAAGTAGACTCTTTTCAAGTGGTTACTTTTAATACCAATTATCTTCGGATAACAAGGCCTTCCTATGACATATATTAAAGAGTTTTATTAAACTAGAGCACTGTGAGGATTTAATAGGATTAAATATTGGGTGATTTAATCATAGGAGAATCCCAAGCCAGCACAATTTCCATCTTTCTCAACATCTCAGCAGTGATGTTGCCTCCGATGAGCACCGTCGGCCCTGCCCTCCTCAGCCCCTGCAGTAATCCTCGGTTGTTAGACACAAAATTCCAGGTGCCCTCAGCCTTCGAGGCCAGGCTGTAGACTCCACACACTCCCGCCTTTCCTTCTGTGCTGGCCTCATTAAGATGAAGGGCAAGTACTCCCACTATTTCAAATTCAACCCAATTTCTCTGCAATGAAAATAATTTATAAAATTCTGAGGAAGGCATTACAAATTTAACCATAGGTTGATTTCTTTTTTTTTTTTCTTTTTGAGACAGAGTCTCACTCTGTTGCCCAGGCCAAACTGCAGTGGTGCCATCACGGCTCACTGCAGCCTCGACCTCCAGGGCTCAAGCAATCCTCCCACCTCAGCCTCCTAAGTAGCTGGGATTACAGGTGAGTGCCACCATACCTGGCTAATTTTTGTATTTTTAGTAGAGACGTGGTTTCACCATGTTGCCCAGGCTGACAATTTCTATGTTATATAAACATGTTATAAAGCATGCTGAGCCCCCTCTATATTCACACATGTGGACACACATGCATGTACACACACACACATGCATGCACACACACACACACGTAAGCACCATTAGAGCAGAGACATGTGTGTCTCATTCACAGGTAAATGGCAAAGTCCAGCTTATAACAAGAACTCTGAAATTCAAATGCCTGTAAACTAGCACCTACACCAAGTGTGAGCAAGCAGGCCTGCATTTTCCAGAAGCCGGAGTCCTGGTGATCTGCTGAACTCTGTCCCTCCACACAGGAACGGGCATGGCCAGATCATCTCGTTTCTCGAGAGAAAATGGAAATCCATGCTTTCATGATAATTTTGTTTTGATTTTAGAGACGAGGCCTTGCTTTGTTGCCCAGGCCAGCCTGGAACTCCTGGCCTCAAGAGATTTTCCCAGCTCTGTCTCCCAAAGTGCTGGAATTATAGGCGTGAGTCATTCCATCTGGTCCTGAAAAGTTTTAAGTTGTATAAATTTTTTAAAATGACCTTGGCTAAAACAGAATACATTGCTGGTGGGAATGAAAATGGTTATGACCCCTAAAGGGAAGAAGTTGGCAGTATTTAGCCAAATTGAATATGCCTTTACCCTTTGACCCCAGTCTCACTTCTGCTACAAAGATGTTCTGGCACAACTATATGAAATTATAAGTACGCAAGACTTTGTATTCATCCGTTCTCATGCTGCTATGAAGAAATACCCAAGACCGGGTAATTTATAAAGAAACGAGGTTTAATTGACTCACAGTTCTGCATGGCTGGGAAGGCCTCAGGAAACTTACAATCATGACAGAAGACACCTCTTCACAGGGCGGCAGGAGAGAGAATGAGTGCCGAGCAAAGGAGGAAATGCCAGACACTTAGAAAACCATCAGATCTTGTGAGACTCACTCATTATCACGAGTACAGCATGGGGGAAACTGCCCTTGTGATTCAATTACGTCTACCTGGTCCGGCCCTTGACCCATAGGAATTATTATAAGTCAAGGTGAGATTTGGGTGGGGACACAGAGCTACACCATATCAACTTTCATTACAAAAGACTGGAAATCACCTACATGTTTTTCAAGAGGGTCTAATTGAACATATCCTGGAATACAATATGATGTGATGTAATACCTATGCTGTTGTAAAAGTGAATTCAAAAGATCCAGGGATTTATTAATATTTTTCCCTTTCAAAAAAAATTGTTTCCTAGTTGTGTCCCCAAAATAGTCGAGTAGCAATGACAAACTGGTAACAGCAAACATCTTGAGCCCCTAGACCCAGGTCTCTGCAGAGCATTTCTCGTTAACAAGACTCAGGGCTTGCTGGGGAAACTCTGATACTTAGTCTGGAGCCAGAAATATGTACGATCATCCCAGGACATTTTGTCATGACTGAAAGCAAAAACGTTATTAAACGGGAAAAGTGTCATACTGCAGTGATGCCAAAGATAGTGTAATTTGACCATCAAAAGAGAAAATAATGACCAGGCGTGGTGGCTCATGCCTGTAATCCCAGCACTTTGGGAGGCCAAGGAGGCAGGCGGATCACTTGAGGTCAGGAGTTCAAGACCAGCCTGGCCAACATGGTGAAACCCCATCTCCACTAAAAATACAAAAAAATTAGCTGGGTATGGTGGTGCAAGCCTGTAATTCCAGCTATTCGGGAAGCTGAGGCATGAGAATCACTTGAGCCCGGGAAATGGAAGTTGCAGTGAGCCGAGACCTTGCCACTGCACTCCAGCCTAGGCAAGAGAGTGAGACTCCATCTCAAAAAAAAAAGAAAGAAAGAAAGAAAAGAAAAAGAAAATAATGACTGCAATATGTGGAACCACACCAAATACATAAAAATCTACGCCCACGTGAGACTGCAAAGGGAAATACTATCAGCTACTTCTGCAAGTGACCAGGGCACCAAATCAGTATCCAGAAAATTGATAAGGAAAAAAATCAAGTATTAATTCTGTGTGTTCTACATGAACTGTATTTTAGGATAACCAAATTGTTGATGAAGAAAAGCCATTCTTTTTTCTTTTTTTTTTTTTTTTTTTGAGACAGAGTCTCGCTCTGTCACCCAGGCTGGAGTGCAGTGGCGCAATCTCGGCTCACTGCAAGCTCCGCCTCCTGGGTTCACGCCATTCTCCTGCCTCAGCCTCCCGAGTAGCTGGGACTACAGGCGCCCACCACCACGCCCAGCTAATTTTTTGTATTTTTAGTAGAGACGGGGTTTCACTGTGTTAGCCAGGATGGTCTCGATCTCCTGACCTCGTGATCCGCCTGCCTTTGCCTCCCAAAGTGCTGGGATTACAGGCGTGAGCCACCGCGCCCGGCCGAAGAAAAACCATTCTGCACAAGACAGTCACACCTGACAAATGCAGGTGTAATAGGATAAGCAAAGTAACGCATCACAATCATTGATTAATAGATGAAATAGTGGATCTATTAATCATCAATGATTGCAGTCATTGATAGATAAAAAGGTGGATAAAATAGATAAAAGTTTCAATGCTGTGAAACTTTTTCAATGAGTTTTTGTTGCTGTTTGTTTGTTTTGAGACAGGGTCTCACTCTGTCACTCAGGCTGGAGTGCAGTGGTGCAACTATAGCTCACTGCAACCTCTGCCTCCTGGGCTCAGGTGATCCTCCCACCTCAGCCTCCCAAGTAGCTGGGACTATAGGCACACACAACCACACCAAGCTAACTTTTGTATTTTTTGTAGAGACTGGGTCTCACCATGCTGCCCAGGCTGGTCAATGAGTTTTTTTATTACAGACGTTTTCTTACATACACCAAAGTAGACCTTTTAAAAACTTATTATCACACAAAAAATTAACAATTCCTTAGAATCATCAAATATAGAGTCCTCAAATTTATTTATCTAGCAAATATTTTTTTTCACTGTTAAAATCAAGATCCAAACTAGATCCAGAGATGGCCTTCAATTCACGAGGCTCTTAAGTCTCTTTTAAACTACAATTTTACAATTCCATCCCTTGGTCTTTGTTGTAGTTTTTCTAGGAAAATCACTGTTCTGTTGAGTTCCACACATTCTGGATTTTGCTGATTTTGTGTAGTGTAATTTAACCTAATCTTTTGCATCCTGTATTCCTATGAAACTGTAGTTTAAAAGCTGGATTCAACGTTTTGGAATGAAATTTTGCAGGTGGCATTTTCAGCACCAGCATCTTGGTAAGAAAGGCATAAAAAGGCAACAGGGCATCTGCAGTTCCTGAAAGCAGAATCCCAACAAGTCAACAAGCTTCTCCGCGGAGGCTAAGAGCAAAGTGGGAGGCTGCTGTGAGGAGTCCAGGGAGCGCTGCAGGTGCCGGGGCGTCTGTACCTCCGAGCAGCTGCTACGCACTGAATGTCTCTGTCACCAAGATTCCTATGCTGGAGCCTGAACTCCCAGTGTGGTTGTATTTGGAGTAAGGCAGGAATTAAGGTTCCATAAGGTCTAGGGGCGGGACTCAAATCCCTCATTTATTTTTATTTATTTATTTATTTTTCAAGACAAGGTCTGGCTCTATTGCCCAGGCTGGAGTGCGATGGCGCGATCTCGACTCACTGCAACCTCCGCCCTCCCAGGCTCATGCCATCCTCCCACCTCAGCCTCCCAAGTAGCTGGGACTACAGGCACCCACTACCATGCCTGGTTAATTTTTGTATTTTTTTGTAGAGACAGGCTTTTGCCATGTCACCCAGGCTGGTCTGGAACTTGTGAGCTCAAGTGATCCGCCCACATTGGCCTCCCAAAGTGATGGGATTACAGGCGTGAGCCACCACCCCCGACCATATTTTTATTTTTAGTAGAGGTGGGGTCTCCCTATGTTACCCAAGCTGGTCTCAAACTCCTGGCCTCAAGTGATCCTCCCACCTCAGCCTCCTGAGTTGCTGGGGTTACAGGTATTATCCACCGTGCCCAACTAAAATCAATCATTAAAAAAAAAAAACTGAAATACTTAACCTACCTAACTTCAAGGCTTAAAATTACATAAATCAAGGCCAAGTGTGGTGGCTCACACCTGTAATCCTAGCACTTTGGGAGGCCAAAAAATACAAAAATTAGCCAGGTGGGGTGGTACACGCCTGTAGTCCCAGCTACTTGGGAGGCTGATGTGGGACGATCATGTGAGCCTGGAAGATCAAGGCTGCAGTGAGCCAAGATTGCGCCACTGCACTCCAGCCTGGGAGACAAAGTGAGGCCCTATCTCAAACAAACAAACAAACAAACAACAATAACAAAACTACATAAATCAAAATACCTTGTCAGAAAAATAGTCACAGAGATCAATGACACAGAATCTGCAAGTTTAGGAACAGACCCACACATCTTTTGTCAATTGATTCAACAAGATGTCCAGGTAATTTAACACAGAAAGGAAATTCTTTTCAATGAATGGTGCTGTATCAACTGGATACTCACGCGGGGAAGAAAAATAACTCTTAACACCTCACGCCATATGCAAGTTTAATCCAAAATATGTCACAGAGGTATATGTAAAATTCCAAACGATGAGTCTCTAGAACAGGAAGAAAATCTTAGTGATATGGCATAGACCACAAGAGAAAAAAATTAACTAGACTTCATCAAAAGTAAAATATCTTGCTCTGGCTGGGCACAGTGGCTCACGCCTGTCATCCCAGCCCTTTGGGAGGCCAAGGCAGGAGGATCACTTGAGGTCGGGGGTTCGAGACCAGCCTGGCCAACATGGTGAAACCCTGTCTCTACTAAACATACAAAAATTAGCTGGACATGGTGGTGCTTGCCTGTGGTCCCAGCTACTCGGGAGGCTGAGGCACAAGAATTGCTTGAACCTGGATGGCAGAGATTGCAGTGAGCCGAGATCGTGCCACTGCACCCAGCCTAGGCAACAGAGCAAGACTCGGTCTCAAAAAATAAACAATAAAAATGAAATAGAATAAAATATCTTGCTCTTTGAAATAACCCATTTTTAAAAACAGAAAGGCAAGCCATCCATTGAAGAAAACATTTGCACCACACATGCCAGACAAAGGACTTACATCCAGAACTTACTCTTAAAAGCCAATAACCAGAAAACAAATAACCCACTTTTAAAAAAATAGGCAACAGACATTTCATAGAATAATATTTAAAATAACCAATAAGCACATGAAAAAATGTGCCCCATGCCAGGCGTGGTGGCTCACACCTGTAATCCCAGCACTTTGGGAGGCCAAGGCAGGCAGATCACCTGAGGTCAGGAGTTTGAGACCAGCCTGGCCAACATGGCGAAACCCCAGCTCTACTAAAAATACAAAAATTAGCCAGGCGTTGTGGTGTGCGCCAGTAATCCAGCTACTCGGGAGGTTGAGGCAGCAGAATCACTTGAACCCGGGAGGCGGAGGTTGCAGTGAGCCGAGATCCTACCACTGAACTCTAGCCCAGGTGACAGAGCAAGACTCGTCTCAAACAAAAAAAAAAAAAAGAAAAAAAGAAAAAAGAAAAAAAAGAAGAAAAAGAAGAAGGAAGAAGAAGAAATGTTCCCCTCCATCATCAGGGAAACACAAATGAAAACCACAAGGAGACACTGCCACACACTTGTAAACAACAGGCATTGTCTCACGCACTGCTGGTGGCGGTATAAGATGGGATAAATCCTAGAAAAAATAGGACTTTCTTTCTTGAAACAGTAAACATACACCACCATATGACCCAACCATTTCAGACTTGCTCCAGGGGAAAAAAAGTACATGCCCACATAAGCACTGGTATACAGATATCCTTCACAGCTGTATTTCCAATA
The DNA here is from genome assembly GCF_000001405.40 of Homo sapiens. Lineage (NCBI taxonomy): Eukaryota > Metazoa > Chordata > Mammalia > Primates > Hominidae > Homo > Homo sapiens. Next base: position 130,889,672 of record NC_000012.12, on the reverse strand, counting down.
GCCAAAAGCTGGAAACAACTGAAATACCCATGAAATGAAGTGGGCGGGCACTTCATGGACAAAGGAAGGGTGATGTATCCATACGGTGGGATGTTATTCAGCAATTAAAAAAGGAAGCTACTGACACAAGTGATAGCACAGTTGAACCTCAGAAGTACACAGCGTAAAAGAAGCCAAACAGAATCACGGCTGGGCGCGGCGGCTCACGCCTGTAATCCCAGCACTTTGGGAGGCCGAGGCGGGCGGATCGCCTGAGGTCGGGAGTTCAAGACCAGTCTGGGCAACATGGCAAAACCCTGTCTGTACTAAAAATAAAAAATTTAGCCGGTTGTGGTGGTGGGCACCTGTAATCCCAGCTACTCTGGAGGCTGAGGCAGGAGAATGGCTTGAACCTGGGAGGCAGAGGTTGCAGTGAGCCAAGATCATGCCACTGCATTTCAGCCTGGGTGACAGTGAGACTTCGTCTCAAAAAAAATAAATAAAAATAAAAAAGAAAGAAAAGAAAAGAAAAATAGAATATACTGTATAATTCTATTTGTCTGAATTTCTGGAACATGAAAACTAGCATATAATGACAGAAACCACATCCTGGGGATGGGGTGGAGGTAGGGATGGATATAGATGGGCACTAGAAACTTTTGGGGGTCATAGAAATAGCTGCTACCTTGAGTGTAATGGATGTGAAACTCCACATGCACCTCAAAAACAAAGGTTACACCATCAATATCTGTGTTTTAGTGTACTTCAATTATACCTCCATAAAGTTGAAATTAAAAATAAATGACAAGATGAAACCAATTCAAAATGAGGAATAAGTATAGAAGATCAGAAAAAAAGATCTAATATAAATTTAATAGGAGTTGCTGAAGAGGAAAACCAAGGCAGTAATACAAAATAATATTAAAACGTATATTTGGGCCTGGCGTGGTGGCTCACACCCGTAATCCCAGCACTTTGAGGGGCCAAGGCAGGTGGATCCCTTGAGGTCAGGAGTTCGAAACCAGACTGGCCAACATAGTGAAACCCCGTCTCTACTGAAACACACACACACAAATTAGCCAGGTGTGGTGGTGCGTGCCTGTAATCCCAGCTACTCGGGAGGCCGAGGCAGGAGAATCGCTTGAATCTGGGAGGCGGAGTTTGCAGTGAGCTGAGATCACCCCATTGCACTCCAGCCTGGGGACAGAGTGAGACTCTGTCTCAAAAAAAAAAGTATATTTTGAGAACTGTTTCCTGAAATCAAAAAAACCTTGAAATTAGGTATTGGAAGGGCACAATATCCAGGAAAATTAATCCCAAATGGCTAAGCCCATGTTGCTTCAGACCATCTAAATGACTGGAGAGACACCAGGGACTGCTGGTTAGCATGGAATATACATCTCCTTGCAGAATTAGGACGAATGCCTGTAGGGGAGAGAGTGATACCATGTCACAGCTATGTGTTCTGACAATGTTAATACCGTACATGTACATGTGCTGGGCACTGTGCTGTCAGGTGGGGGCAGGGAAAACAGAATGGCATGGTTCCAATGTGCACTAAGAGAAACATTAGCCAAACATGCTCTACAGATGTTCCCGTGGAAACAGACGGTACAACTTTCTCCTGTAACCCTCACGGTCAACTATTACATCAGACATATGTCATTGTCACGGTCATCTATTACCATCACGGTCACCTGTTACACCAGACCACATCACTGTCACCATCACCTATCACCATCATGGTCGACTATTACACCAGACACACATCACTCATAGTCACCCGTCACCCTCACGGTCACCTACTACGCCAGACACACGTCACTGTCACGGTCACCCGTCACCCTCACGGTCACCTACTACGCCAGACACACGTCACTGTCACGGTCACCCGTCACCCTCACGGTCACCTACTACGCCAGACACACGTCACTGTCACGGTCACCCGTCACCCTCACGGTCACCTACTACGCCAGACACACGTCACTGTCACGGTCACCCGTCACCCTCACGGTCACCTACTACGCCAGACACACGTCACTGTCACGGTCACCCGTCACCCTCACGGTCACCTACTACGCCAGACACACGTCACTGTCACGGTCACCCGTCACCCTCACGGTCACCTACTACGCCAGACACACGTCACTGTCACGGTCACCCGTCACCCTCACGGTCACCTACTACGCCAGACACACGTCACTGTCACGGTCACCCGTCACCCTCACGGTCACCTACTACGCCAGACACACGTCACTGTCACGGTCACACCAGATAGCAATACATTTTTTTTCTGATCCTCTGCTATAAATAGGACCAGTAAACTCAGAATAAAGGTTGCAGAGGCTTCTATTATAGTTCAGTAGTTTAATGCAGCAATTTCAATGTGCCTGAATTAGTGGCAGATATTTCAAGATGCAGCTGTATTTAAAGACATTACTTCCCTGGTTCTGTGCACAGAAATGCTGAAGTTATTAACGGTTTGCTCTCTACCCACGTGGCTTATTTCGGAGACTGGCAACTCCATTACTTGTTGCTGAGATGGCTTTAACCTGACCTCAAAAAAAAAGTTTTGTAAGTCACTTCACTTATAAATTGATCAACATAAAAATCTTGACTTTTATCCATTGATGGGTGTTCTCTATTTTATAACAGACTTATTTATACTAAAATCTTATTCTGTTGTTGCTTTACTTTAAATAGACTTTTTTAGAGCAGTTTTAGGTTCACAGCAAAATTGGGTGCAAAGTATAGAGGATTCTAGCACACCCCCTACTCCCCACATATGCACAGCCTCCCCCATATCAGCATCCCCCTAGAGTGGTCCATTTGTTACAACGGATGAACCTACAGTGACACACCATTATCGCCCACAGTTCACACTGGGGTTCAGTCTGCTGGTGCACATTTCGTGGGTTTTGACAAATGTGAAAGGACATGTATCCCTGTGATAACGTTATACACTGCCCTAAAAACCCTCCGCATGAAACCCACTCATCCTACCCACACCCTCACTACTGATCTTTATAGTGTCTCCGTGGTTTGGCTTTTCTGGAATGTCATATAGTTGGTATTGCGGCCTTTTCAGGTTATTTCACTTAGTAAAGTGCATTTTTCTCCCATGTCTTTCCATGGCTTGATGGTCGAGTTCTTTTCAGTGCTGAATAATATTCCATTTCTGGATGCACCACAGCTTATCCTTTCACCTGCTGGAGGACATCATGGGTGCTTCCAAGCTTTTTCTACACGGCCTCTAGTAGAATTTTGAAAAGTGTAACTACTTTTTATCATGAATATCTCTAAACATAACCAGCAGAAAACAGCACCTTCTATTGGAATGGTGAAAATTCAGGACACGGACAACACCAAAGGCTGGCGAGGTTGTGGAGCAACAGGAACGTTCCTTCATCGCTGGTGGGAATGCAAACGGTACAGCCACTTTGGAAGACAGTTTGGCAGTTTCTTACAAAACTAAACAGTATCTTACCATATGATTCCTCCATCCTGTTCCTTGGTATTTACCCAAATGAGCTGAAAGCTTAGGTCCTGACAAAACCTCCACCTGGATGTTTATAGCTGCTTTCTTCATAAATGCCAAAGCTTGGAAGCATTTTGGGAGGTCAAGGTGAGAGAATCACCTGAGGTCAGGAGTTCGAGACCAGCCTGACCAACAGAGTGAAACCCGTCTCTACTAAAAATACAAAAATTAGCTGGGCGTGGTGGTGCCCACCTGTAATCCCAGCTACTCAGGAGGCTGAGGCAGGAGAATCGCTTGAACCTGGGAGGTGGAGGTTGTAGTGAGCTGAGATCGCACCACTGCACTCCAGCCTGGGCGACAGAGCGGGACTCCATCTCAAAAAAATAAAAATAAAAATAAGAAATAAAACAAAATTATACTGGAGAAGTTGGGGTGCAGCTGGCATAAGAGACATTGCTGGTTTGATAAGTGTTTCAGGCACTGAGCTAGGAGCTCAAGACATAAAGGTGAGCCGGCCAAGTTCTTGCCTATATGTAGCTTAGTACAGCCAGTGAAAAGCAACTGGATGATGTTTGTCAAAAGTCTCTGTGTTCATACAGTCTTTGACCTGCAATTCAGCTCCTCAAAATTCATCCTAGGAAATATGTACACTTCCCAAAAATAGCTGTATATTCAGTGTGATTTCAATCAAAATTCCCAGTGTTTTTTGTGGAATTTTCATGGAAGCATCGAACATAGCCAAAACTCTTCTTAAGAACAGAGAGATAGGACTTGGTTTATCAAATATAAGCACTTACCAAACTACAGTAAATTTTTTTTTTTTTTTGAGACAGAGTTTCTTTCTTGTTGCCTAGCCTGGAGTGCAATGGCACAGTATTGGCTCACTGCAACCTCCGTCTCCCGGGTTCAAGTGATTCTTCTGCCTCAGCCTCCCAAGTAGCTGGGATTACAGGCATGTGCCACCATGCCCGGCTTGTTTTTGTATTTTTAGTAGAGACAGGGTTTCACCACATTGGCCAGGCTGGTCTCAAACTCCTGACCTCAAGTGATTCACCTACCTTGGCCTCCCAAAGTGCCGGGATTACAGGCGTGAGCCACTGAGCCCAGCCTATAGTAATTATTTAAGACAGTGTGATACTGGCCCAGGAAAAGGCATGCTGACCAATGGAAGAGAACAGGGAGGCCAGCAACACAGTCATATTATGGATGTGAGCATGGGATGGACGGCATGTCAGATCAGCACAGAAGGAACCATTCATTAGCTGGAACTGGAAAAACTGGTCATCCACAAAAAAAAAGACAAAATCAAACCCCTATCTACAGCTGGGCATGGTGGCTCACACCTGTAATCCCAGTACTTTGGGAGGCCGGGGTGAGCAGATCACTTGAGCCCAGCCTGACAACATGGTGAAACCCCATCTCTACCAAAAAAAAAAAAAAAAAAAAAAAAAAAAATTAGCCAGGCATGGTGGTGCACACCTGTAGTCCCAGCTACTTGGGAGACTGAGGCAGGAAGATTGCTTGAGACTGCAGGGGCAAGGCTGCAGTGAGCCTTGATCGTGCCACTGCACTCCAGCCTGGGTGACAGAGTGAAATTCTGTCTCAAAAAAAAAAAAAAAAAAAAGAAAGAAAGAAAAAGAAAAGAAAAGAAAAAGAAAATCCCTATCTTACACTATATGCAAAAAGCAACTCCTGATGGATCAAGGTTCATCTGTCAAAAACAAAACTTAAAAATTCCTAGTATAAAGTGTAAGTGAAAGGCTGGGCTCAGTGGCCCAGCCTATAATCCCAGCACTTTGGGAGGCCAAGGTGGGCGGATCACCTGAGTTTGGGAGTTCGAGACCAGCCTTGGCCAACATGGAGAAACCTCGTCTCTTCTAAAAATACAAAATTAGCCGGGTGTGGTAGTGCATGCCTGTAATCCCAGCTACTCGGGAGGCTGAGGCAGGAGAATTGCTTGAACCCAGGAGGCGGAGGTTGTGGTGAGCAGAGATCGGGCCATTGCACTCCAGCCTGAGCAACAGAGCGAAACTCCACCACAAAAAATAAAATAAAATAAAATGTAAGTGAATATCTTTTCAACTATGGGATAGGAAAGGATATTTTAAACATGAACTGAAAGAAGTATCAATAAGTTGAACCATATTAAAATTAACAACTTTTGTGAATCAGGAAGACTTTAAGTGAAAAGAGACGTTACAAACTGGGGAACATTTTGCAACATTCCTTTGGTGAGCATGTGTTGTAAATGTCTTTTTGATCCAGCCATTCAATTCTGTGTATGCGTGTGTGTGTCCAGCCAAGAGAAACTCTTGCACATGTACAACACGAGATGGAAAGGAGAATGTAGTAACACGCTTCTGGAGATCAAAAGCCTGGAGACACTTACTCACCACAGCTGTAGGTTCAACTGTGTCCCCCAAAAGGACATGTTCAAGTCCCAACCCCTTTAATCTCAAAATGTGACTTTATTTGGAAAGACGGTCATTGTAGATATAATTGGTTAAGACGAGGCCATACTGGAGTAGTGTGGTTCAGTTTTTTTGTTTTGTTTTGTTTTGTTTGAGACAGGGTCTTGCTTTGTCACCCAGGCGGGAGTGCAGTGGTGCAATCATGGCTCACTGAAGCCTTGACCTCCAGGGCTCAAGCGATCCTCCCACCTCAGCCTCCTGAGTAGCTGGGACTACAGGTGCAAGTCACCACACCTGGCTAATTTTTTTGTTTTTTGTAGAGAGGAGGTGTTGCCAGGTTGCCTAGGCTGGTCTCAAACTTCTGGCCTCAAGTGATCTGCCTGCCTTGGCCTCCCAAAGAGCTAGGATTACAGGCATGGAGCACCGTGCCGGCATGTGGGTGGGTATTCCTGGTGTTCTTATTAGAAGAGGAGAGGCGACACAGAGACAGACACGCAACATAGGGAGAGGGCCCTGTGATGACGGAGGCAGAGGTGGGAGTGATGCCTCTGCCAGCCGAGGGTCAGCAAGGGTTGTCGGCAACACCAGGACCTAAGAGAACACCATGGAACAGTTTCTCGCTGGATCCTTCACAGGGAGCACTGCCCTGCTGACACCCTGATTTCAGACGTGTGGCCTCCAGGAGGCTGAGGAATAAAATTGTTCTAAGCCACCCACTGTGTAGTAATTTATTACAGTGGCCCTAGGAAGCTATTCGCGGGGGTGAAAGGCAGTGGATTGATGCAATTTCTATACTTCAGCCAAAGCAACGCACAACAGGAAGACAGAAATGACGCGACACATCTCAGTGATGCAGACTACGTGGATCCACAGTGATGGAGGAGACGTTCTCAGGAGTACCTAGAGGTGACATCAGTGATGCGGGCTACGCAGATCCACAGTGACGGAGGAGGCGCTCTCTCTCGGGAATACCTAGAGGTAAGATCAGTGATGGAGACCACGCAGATCCACAGACGGAGGAGGAGTTCTCAGGAGTACCTAGAGGTGACATCAGTGATGCCGGCTACGCAGATCCACAGTGACGGAGGAGGCGCTCTCTCTCGGAAATACCTAGAGGTGAGATCAGTGATGGAGACCACGCAGATCCACAGACAGAGGAGGAGTTCTCAGGAGTACCTAGAGGTGAGATCAGTGATGCAGGCTACGCGGATCTGTGGTGATGGAGGAGGCACTCTCGGGAGTACCTAGAGGTGAGATCAGTGATGGAGACCACGCAGATCCACAGACGGAGGAGGAGTTCTCAGGAGTACCTAGAGGTGAGATCAGTGATGCAGGCTACGCGGATCTGTGGTGATGGAGGAGGCACTCTCGGGAGTACCTAGAGGTGAGATCAGTGATGGAGACCACGCAGATCCACAGACGGAGGAGGAGTTCTCAGGAGTACCTAGAGGTGAGATCAGTGATGCAGGCTACGCGGATCTGTGGTGATGGAGGAGGCACTCTCGGGAGTACCTAGAGGTGAGATCAGTGATGGAGACCACGCAGATCCACAGACGGAGGAGGAGTTCTCAGGAGTACCTAGAGGTGAGATCAGTGATGCAGGCTACGCGGATCTGTGGTGATAGAGGAGGCGCTCTCGGGAGTACCTAGAGGTGAGAAATCCGTATAAAAAGGAAAGCAAGAAAGACAGGTGTGGCAGTGCACACCTGTAGTCCCAGCTACTCGGGAGGCTGGAGGATGGCTTGAGCCCAGGAGGTCGAGGCTGCAGTGAGCTACGATCACGACGCCATGGCTCTCCAGCCTGGACGACGGAGTCAGACCCCATCTCTAATCAACTGATCTCTAATGTATTCTCATATTTGGGCCTCCTGGGATCTGGACCATTATGTGCTTTTTATTTTTGCAATTTAAGCTTTCAGTTTCCTCCTGTTATGACATTTTCCTTTGGTTAACACTATTTTTCCCCAGATTTTGTTCTTATAAGTCCAAATCCAACACCATCAATCAATATTTTCTGAGCTCCAAATTGGAGCATCACAGAATATGAATATGTGAGAAGGGATAAGAGCATATGCTGACCTTGCACATCTCTGAAAAATTAAGTGTGAATTTTTTTAATAAAAATATATATTTTTTACTTCTAAAAAATTAGAGATGGGGGGTCTCACTATGTTGCCCAGGCTGGTCTCAAACTCCTGGGTTTAAGTAATCCTCCTGCCTCAGCCTCCCAAAGTGCTGCTGGGAATACAGGCGTGAGCCACTGGGCATGGCCATAAATGTGAATTTATAGAATAAATCGCATGAAGGGAACCATGTAATAAAATGTGTGTAATTCAGTATGTGTTAGGACTTCCACCTCTCGCCCATGTCCAGTGCTGGGGATGCAAAGTGGAAGCTCACATGGCGAAAATCAACAAACACACACACACACTGACACGCACAGACACACACACACAGAGACACACAGACACACACAGAGACACACATGCAGACACACACACCCAGAGACGCACACACATTCACACACACACACCCAGAGACACACACACACACACACAGACATACCCAGAGACACACACACACACACCCAGAGACACAGACACACAGAGAGAGAGACACACACAGAGACAGATACACAAAGACACATGCACAAAGACACACACACAGACACACACACACACACACACCCAGAGAGTTTATTTTAAAAGTAAGTTTGGTTTTCCATCTATTCGGAGTTTATAAAGCAGGACACACCCTCATAAGTTTAAAGTAACAAACATGTGGCCAGCACAGTGGCTCACGTCTGTAATCCCAGCACTTTGGGAGACTGAGGTGGGAGGATTGCTTGAGCCCAGGAGTTCAAGACCAGCATGGGCAACGTGGTGAAACCCTGTCTCTACAAAAAAAATTTAAAATTAGCTGGGTGTGGTGGCACACACCTGTAGTCCCAGCTACTCCAGAGGCTGAGGTGGGAGGATGGCTTGAGGCTGGGAGGTTGAGGCTGCAGTGAGCCGAGATCCCACCACTGCACTCCAGCCTGGGTGACAGAGTGTGACTCTGACTCAAAAGAGAAAAAGAAAGTAACAAACACAACAGCCTGAGAAGCACGTGGAAGAAAGAGACCACGGATGGTCTACACAGCTGGAAATCAACTTCCCTGCAAGAGTTAAACCCACTCTGCCAAGCGGCATGCAGAGGAGTGGGACTACACAGCAACACAATCCGACAGGAACCACAGAGGCTGTCACACTAAATGACGACCTGGCTGCGCTCCGCATCACTAGATAATTATGAACAGGGCTGTAAAACTCACTGACAGAAAAGGCCGTCACACAAAGTGAAAAATGGTTAGGAAACTGCACGATAGTATAATCCCCTCTTTTTAGAAAACATTTGAAAGGATAGATGACAAAATGTCAGCAAGTTACCTCTAGTCGGGGGAACTGTGCCGACTGTGTCTGTTTTAACTGCTCCAATCCCCACACTGTCAATACCCAGCATGTATGACTTCTTCCCTTGGTAGGGGAAAAGGAGGTCAGACATGAGGGGAGGGAGGAAGCAAAAAGCAAATGCTTCTCCCCAAGACCTGCAGCTCTGCCCCACCCGGCTCCCCTGCCCGCCGGCTTCCAGCTGCCATTCCCTGCAATTTGGTTCCCATCCTTCATGCCTGGGGGGTGGTCACAGTGCTACCACCTTGTCACAGCCACTCGACCACCTGCCTGACCCATAGTTTTGTCACCGGAAACTGACCTTGACCGCGGGTATTGGTGGCTTTAGGCACTGCAGCTCACACCTCACACTTACTAACTACTGGAGAAGCCCCGAATCCTTTTCTCCTGCCTCATTAAGAAGCCCACTGCGTGGGTGGGGCTGGCACCTGGCATTCGCAGTGGCTACTCACTCAAGGGATGAGTCCGCTGAGGGGTTGGACGACGAGGCTTTGTGGTGGCCACGGTGCGACCCTCCCTTTCCTGGAGCACAGGCTTTGGGGGGGAAAGGCTGGGTGCCCCTGGACTCTGGGCACCCACTCCTGTTGCCAAAATCTTATGACGCTTGAGCCTTCTGTGGCTTCCCACTGTGTTCTAAATACCAAACCTGTAAAGCGGCTTATAAAAAACCCACACACCTGCTTGAGAGCCTCCACCTGCGCACTCCACCGTCCCTCCTGCTCTCCAGGGGCGCTTCCCCCTGAGGGTCTTTCCTGGACTCCACTGCCCTCCTTCTCAGGCCTCAGACCAGGCCCCTGCGATGCTCCCAAAGCCTCAGCTGTCCGTCCTCACACTCACTGTGGCGCTCAGCCTCATCCCAGGAACCTGACTGCCTGTCTCCCCAGGCGAAGGCTTCATGAGCAAAGCCACTGCAGCATCGCACGGTGTATCTCTGAGCACAGCTGACTTGACAGAAGGACTCAACTGTCCACATTACCGAAGACTGAGGTATACGGAATGGTTTCTGTTTTGCTTCTTCAAGGAGGGGAACTGAAACCCAACTAAATCCAAGGTGCCTCTTCCAACGCCTGTAACTAAACTTCAAGCATCACAGCCCCAACACCTGCTGATGGCACCATTTTAACTGAGGTCCATCCCGCAAGCTTCCCGACTGTCCACACTGGCTCTCTCTACTCCTGTGCACCAAAGAAACAAGCCAGAATAAATGGATAAAAGACAGTGTATGCGCATGCCTGTCCCAGCTACCCAGGAGGCTGAGGCATGAGAACCGCTTGAACCCGGGAGGCAGAGGTTGCAGTGAGCCGAGACGGCGCCACTGCACTCCAGCCTGGGAGACAGAGCGAGACTCTAAAAAATAAATAAATAAATTAAATAAATAAATAAATAAAATTAAAAAGATAGTGTAGGCTACAAACCTCAGGAAGAAAATACCAGCATGACTTCAGAATAGTCAGACCTAATGGTGTATAAAGTTCTCCCGGCTCCTCTCCACCCACCTCCATCAATCCCACCCTATCTCTAACCCCCAAGTTCTCTGTTCCTCGAGGTTCCCATAGAACATTTAATAAACACTAGGGACATGAGAGAGCAGCGACATGGCCCTCGCCCTCGTGGCAATTAGTCTAGGAAGGGAAAGTCGCTATCGCAAATTTGCCATGCTGACTAGGGCTGAAGGCAATCTTGTAATGTCTGTAGTCGGACATCCAACTCAAGGTAAAAAGCAGAGTGAACTCTAAAGGAACTAAAGCATTAACTGGTAGGACCGACTTCAGGAGAGGGAAGGGGGAGTTCTGGAAAGCAGCATGCACACAGATCTCAAGATGCACGTGTGACCAGAGCCTGCAAGACCTTGTAGGAAATGTGGAGCAGGCGAGATGCATCAGATGTTTTTTGAATAGGACTCTGACCCCTTAACTAAAGATAAGGTTTCCATGGTTAGGTGCCGTTTCTCCCCACCATGCCCTCGGCTTCAAGGGTAAAAGGTGCTGCAAGGAGTTAGGATAGGTGCTGTCCTAGTACAGGGTCTGCCTCATACAGGGAAAGCTTAGTCTCACGTAATCTTGCTGGGCAGGATAGCCCTGTACAGCCCGAGTGGCAGAAAACATCATACACGATGTCCGTCAGTTTGCTGGCAAGAAAAGCTGAATCCAACCCTCATCCCATTTGCTCAGCAGGTAATTTTTTGTGTTTCTGATCTGTTTTTGCAAAAGAAACCAGAAATTCTCTGTACTTGAGTTCCTTCAGGTGAACAGTTAGCCAGGAAACCAGTCCTCTTTGGAGGCTATTTTGGAGTCTCATCTTTTCTAGACATTTTATGATTGATACAATTTTTTAAAAAATCCCATTCTATGTGGTTTTTTAAAAAAACTGGCTCTCACACAAATTGAAACTACTAATTTACCAGTTTCACATTATATCCACACAAGACCTATGCACTAACTATGCTTTTTCTTAATGACTTTGCTCTAATAAGCTATTACTGGTTTGCAGTAACTTCATATAAAGCTTTCAAGGCTTCCCCCATTAGACACGAGATTTCAAAAAATGGAGAGCAGACTTTTCCCATTTGTACAATCTGGAGAGAACTGACCCCTTCCCCGCCGCCCCCCCAAAAGATAATAATCTCTGCTAACTCTTCAGCATTTCCTAAAGCAAATACTAGAGATGATTCAAAAAATCCAGGCAAAGTAGAAGCAATATATTTTGCAACAATTATTCTTTCAATAAAGGACTTGTAAATTCTCTCCCACACCACGTTAGACAGGTAAGTGACGTCACTTCCAAATTTCAACTGTTACATAGAAGATCCAGAATGTCAACACCACTTGCAATCTCCACAAGGTTACAAACAACACATACACCTTCAATTCAAAATACCTGAATGAAAGGTTTCATCCCAATTATGGGGAAAAAACTTCCCATCTCACAGGCTGGTTAGAAACTGGTTCTGAATACAGCGTAACATACACAGCAATTCAGATCTTAAGAAACTCAACTGTTGCCAGTTAATACAGTAAGTAGAACTTTATTCAGCTTCACCCTTATTTCATTTTTCCATATATTTAAGTGATCCTTTCTATACCTTTTAAGGTAAGCAATCATCTCAAGATTATCAGACATCTAAAGAAAACTTTGGTAAACTGGACTATAGTAATCGTATGAGAAAAAAATAGCTCAAGATTCCTAACTGCTACAAGAATAGTGTTGATGGGATCAAACTCCTAATTATCCTAATAGACCTAATTCATTTTTAAATGTGGAAAATATGCAAGATAAATTAAATGCTTAGTTAAAAAAAAAAAAAAGTTTCACCAACTGTTCTCCATTACTGAGAAGCCCCCACACTGCCCCACTGTGCATATTCCTAGTATTTCATCCATGTCCTGCTCTGCTGTGCTGCCCTACAAAAAAACCCTCCCGGGGGGGAAAAAAAAACAAAAAAACGGTGTAGTGTGAACTGCTGAAGAACTTAAATGTTCAAGACATCTTTAAAGTCTAGGAGTACCTGAAAACTGTGGGTAAACATGGACCATTTTCCTTGCGTATCAACTTCACACTAAGCATCTAACATTCAAACAAAAAAGTGCAAAATTTGTAATTATTTTTAACAGCAAGAATTCCCAACCTCCTGCCATCCACTGATGTTCCATCCTGTTTGAGGTTCTACATTAAAACATGATTACTTTTGCCATAAAAGAAAATATTACCCTTAAAATATCTATTTGATATGTACAAACCACATTTTTATTCTGACAGGTCACAGATTTTGAGCAAGTGCTTCCCTAGGTGACCCTACCTAGCCAATATGAAGGTGGAGCAAACACTGCTTTAGCTTAACTGCACTAATATTTACACCATGTAACCCTTCTAACCAAATAGAATACTGCTGACCTGTCATCATCAGTTTGTGTGACATGGCTCAAATGTACAAAAATAAACATAGGGAGAAATTAACCCAATAGATTTCAAATTAAGTGATAAAAGCAAGGCAATTCAAATATTAACATGGCATAAAACTTCCCTACTTTAGTGGTTTCCAAATGCTATTTATAAACAAGGGATGAGTTCACTTGCTTAGATATTTGAAATACAACTTTATTCTGATTCTAAACGAAAAGGAATGGGAATGACAGTAACAAACAAGATTTCACCACTGAATATTGTGATGTGACTGCAGCAGTCTTATATATGAAACTCAAGGAATCAACTGCGTTCCAAAACAGCTAAATATGCAGGTCCAAACAATGAAGTTATTTTTTAAACTGCCACATTCACTCCGAAGCCCACTCATCTCCTTCAGCATCCCACAGATGAAGCACATGTTCCGCTTAGCTAGATAATAATGAGGTGGCACACACGCTGCACCGCTGACATCACAGGACAGCTGCCTATAAAACTAGACTTCTGACGCTGGGCTCCAGCTTCATTCTCACAGGTCATCATCCTCATCCGGGAGAGCAGTTGTCTGAGCAACCTAGACGAAGAGATGGAAAAACGTTAACACTCCAGATCAAAACTGCCAGGAATAAACAAGCCAAACCGAACAATCTGAACAGCAAAGTGGCCACAATACCTCTAAGTCGTGCTCATACTGTGCTGCCAAAGCTGGGTCCATGACAACTTCTGGTGGGGCGAGAGCAGGCATGGCAACAAATTCCAAGTTAGGGTCTCCAATGAGCTTCCTAGCAAGCCAGAGGAAGGGCTTTTCAAAGTTGTAGTTACTTTTGGCAGAAATGTCGTAGTACTGTTTAAAAGAAAGGTAAAATTACTTTTTAAAATTCATTATTAAGATGACGATTTTTCTAGGACATTGCAAGATAAGAAAATGTTAAGATTCTTGGCAAGGCATGGTGGCTCATGCCTGTAATCCCAGCACTTTCGGGGGCTGAGGTGGGATTGCCTGAGGCCAATAGTACACGATCAGGCCTGGGCAACAGAGCAAGACCCCAACTCCACAAAAAAACAAATTAGGTGGGCATGGTGGTGAGTGCCTGTGAGCCCAGCTACTCAGAAGGCTGAGGTGGGAGGATTGCTTGAGCCCAGGAGTTCAGGGCTACAGTGAGCTATGTTCATGCCACTGCACTCCTGCCTGGGCAACAGAGCAAGACCCTGTCTCGAACAACAAATATATAAATACACAAACATTTCAGCTGACCAACCGGGCCAACAGTGAAACCCAATCTCTATCATTCTTTAAAAACAGTAGTATAAAAAAGACAAAATTATTTCCGGCCGGGCACAGTGGCTCATGCCTGTAATCCCAGCCCTTTAGGAGGCCAAGGCAAGTGGATCACTTGAGGTCAGGAGTTGGAGATCAGCCTGACCAACATGGTGGAAACCCCGTCTCTACTAGAAAAAAAAGTACAAAAATTAGCCAGGCGTGGTGGTACACACCTGTAATCCAGCTACTAGGGGAGCTGAGACAAAACTGCTTGAACCCGGGAGGCGGAGGTCGCAGTGAGCCAAGATTGCGACACTGCACTCCAGCATGGGGGACAGAGGAAGACTCCGTCTTGGGGAAAAAAAAATCATTTCCATATATAATAGACACTGGTTAATTTCATGGTCTTACATATAATCTCCGCTAAGAGAAATAACTCAGGAAGTTTTAATTTTACACACCTGAAGATTCTTCTTTCGGTGGAAGACAATGGATTTCGCCTTCACTTTCCTGTCCTTAATATCCACTTTGTTGCCACACAACACAATGGGGATGTTTTCACACACTCGTACCAGATCTCTATGCCAGTTAGGCACATTCTTGTAAGTAACTCTCGATGTTACATCAAACATTATGATGGCACACTGGGCTGAAGAAACATTTGTGGGAATTAGTACACTCAGTTTACTGCACAAGTGAAGAATGCTAAGAACCAGAGACTAGGATTCAACTAGTTATAGTCTTAGACCTCAACGAGTCACCTGTATCTCTCCCCTCACTTTCAAGGTCTCTGTCAATTCTAAAAATGTTAATACACAATTCCTCCTAAGAGAGATGAGCTGACCCTATCAAATCTCCCTGATATACTTCACCATTAATACTCCCCTCATCCCAAAAAAGTATCTGAAGTAATTAATGCTAAATGAGATTCTGGATAACCAAGCTGCCATATTCTGAGGGTAGGGCCTGGAAACACATTCTTCAGAAGGTCTTTAAATGGCTGGCTATACTGGAAAACATTATTCCTGTCTTAAAAAATCCAGATAGGCCAAGCAATGTGGCTCACGTCTGTAATCCCAGCACTTTGAGAGGCTGAGGTGGGTGGATCACCTGAGCTCATGAGTTCCAGACCAGCATGGGCAACATGGTGAATCCCCATCTCTACAAAAAAATACAAAAATTAGTCAGGCATAGTGGCACGTGCCTATAGTCCAAGCTACTCAGGATGCTGAGGTAAGAGGATGGCTTGAGCTTAGGAGGCGGAAGCTGCACTCCAGGTTGGGCAACAGAGCGAAACCCTGTCTCAAAAAAAAATTAAATAAATAAATAACCCAGATAAAGCCTATATATTCACCTGCAGGAATAACTATGGTACAGTTAGCAAGGCAAGAAACCACAACTTTTTGGTTAAAGGATTCTTTTGGGGGAAATTCTTGTGTTTATTTGTACATGCTCAAGGAAAGCAAAAGGCATGGAATGATTCCAGATAATGTGTTATCGGCAACGTGAGGTTCCAAGAGAGATGAGTATTTTCTTGATTCCTCTTTTTGGTACAATGAACATTTTCCTTGCAATTTTTAAATCAAACTATTTGAGAAAAATACTCTGCACAACTTAGTACAAACAATTTAACAAGAAATCAGCTAGTCTTGTATAACACTTGTTAAGATCTCCTATCTCCTCTGGTCTAGTATCTGGTGTTTATTGTTTTCTAATACAGTAAAAACATTCATTGATCACCACACCAAAATACATACATGAACCTAAGTTTCCAAATACTGAAACTGCTGTTAACAGCCTATTATTGTTTTAAATATGACTTATAAGTCCCAGTGTAAGTCATAGTTTTTTCTAAAGCATGCCTAGCATGACACAGCATGCAAATGACACAACTTTAATAAAATTTTCTCTGCCACCAAAATGGTGGTCAACTCCCCGAAGTCCACTTGTCTTTTTTTAACCCAAAAATGACACTATTTGTTGGAACAGACCTGATTTTCTATAACCTTGAAGACTGAAGTACACAAAACCTCTCAAAAACCGTTCAGCAAGTTACAAATGCCTACCTTGGATATAATAGCCATCTCTCAGTCCACCGAATTTCTCCTGGCCGGCTGTGTCCCATACATTGAACTTAATAGGTCCTCTGTTGGTGTGGAACACTAGGGGATGAACCTCAACACCCAAGGTGGCTGAAACGGAAACGATGCGATTGAGTGGATGAACTTACCCATTTCTCACATATTTCCACAAGCAAGGTTTTCCAGCACATACCTACATACTTCTTCTCAAATTCACCAGTCAAATGACGTTTCACGAAGGTCGTTTTTCCAGTACCACCATCACCAACCAATACAAGCTGTTGAAAAACACATTTTGGAAGTAAACCCTAAACACTTCACCTCTCAAGATCCCAGAGTCACGGAACTTTAACCACCACAGGCTCACTTAAAACAAAGAATGTGGATGCGGGGCCCCATTACAGCCATCGTGGCCCCAGGAGGAGGGACCCGCGAGTCGCACGCGGTCGGGCTCGGCCGCCTCCCGCCCCGCAGGGTTACCTACTTTGAACTGGACCTGGGGCTCTCCCTGCGCAGCCATCGCGGCGTTCCTGCGGAGGCAGAGGACGGAGGCGAGCGCTCGCGCGGCCCCGCAGCCCATGGCGGCCCCGCTCCCGCGCCCCCAGCGCCCCACGTGCCCGCCCCACAAAGGCCTCCCGCCCGCGGCGCCATGGCGGCCAGGCCTGGGAGCGGGAAGGCGGCGGGCGGGGCCGGCATCCGGGGCGGCGGGGCCCGGGGAACGGCGGCCGGAGGTGTAGGGATGGGAACGGGACTGGGACCGGGACGGGGATGAGAGCGGAGGATGAAACGGGGGTTCGCGGGGGCTAGCGCCGACCCCACGCCCGTCTCCTGCCCCGGCCCGGCCGGGCCCGCACCACCCACCTACTCAGCCGCCCGCTGCCCCTGGGTCCGCCACCCGCCCCGGCCCTGGCCCCGGCTCCGACCCCTATCCCGCCGCCGCCACCCCTGTCCCCGCCCGGCCGTGCCGGGCCCGCCGGGTCGCGATACCTTCCAGAAGCGTCTCCGCGCCCGTCCGACTGAGGCTGGAAAGATGGCGGAAGCGCAATTCAAACGCCGGAGACGCAGCCGACGCCGGCGCGAGAGCAGGGGCGGGGCCGGCGCGGGGCGGGGTTGCAAGGGGCGGGGCAACGGCGCGGCGCCCGCCCACGTGGCCCGCGCGTGCGCGCACGCACGCAACGCGGTTCGGTCGGCCGCTCGGGCGGTCGCTGCGCTTAGGGTGGGGCGGGAGGCGCGGTGGACCGCGTGGGAGGGCGAGCCGGGAGCGCGTACGCAAGCCGGCCGGTGGGGACCGCGTGCGCCGACGCCCCGGGCGGGCTCCCGGGCGCGCATGCGCTGAAAGCGAGGCGGCGCGCCCCTGAGCGGGAGACGTTGGGCGCGGCCCGACGGTCGCGGCTCTCCTGCCTCCCGGGTGGGAGGCGGTACTCGCTCGGGCAGACGTGGTCAGGCACGCGGCTTCCAGGCGCTGGCCAGCCTGTCCTTGTCTGTGCCCCGTGGGGTGGGGGTTCTTGAGGTCCTGGGGCTTAGGGTGGCTCGCGTGCGCGCAGGACGGGTGGGTGACAGAACGAATGAATGAATGAATGGGGTCTAGGCCCGTCCTCCAGAGGCAGCCCGCTGTTCTGTCTCTCCAGATCGTAGCCTTCACGCCCCCAGGACCAGGGCCAGTTGGAGAGCGAGGAACCAGAGAGGGATGCACCCACCCAGAAAAACGGCTACTTATTTTTTTTAAGAGACGGAGTCTCGCTACGTTGCCCAGGCTGGTCTCGAACTCTCAGGCTCGGGCGATCCTCCCGCCTCAGCCTCCCGAGTAGCTGGGACTACAGGCGCGCACCACATCAGGGGTAATTTTTTAAAAATTTTTTTGAGAGACAGAATCTAACTATGTCTCCCAGGCTGGCCTCAGGGGATCCACCCGCCTCGGCCTCCCAAAGCGTCCGGCTTCTCAAAGCGTTTCATAGGTTGGCAGCTTTGGCCGCTGCATGCTACAGACAAAATGATGAAATACTGTTTGCAGTCTGGACGCGTCTACCAGCCCTAGTTACCAACGGGGACGGAATGAGTAAGTGCTCAGCTTCCCAGCCCCCTGTTGGCCTGAAGCTGTAAGAGCCCAAACAAGCTTGAGCTAGAGGGACCCGACTTCCTGGGCGCCCCTGCCGACATGCAGACAGATAAAGGCCCAAATCAGCGCAGTCAAGCGCCTCAGAAGAGTCCACCATGGGGAGAGAGCCGCAGTGACCGAAGAGTCCTCCCTGCAGTCCTGAGCACACTTGCAGGCGAGTCCGCTAGGAACCCCAGTGACGCAAATTAGGCACAAAGCAGGCGACAACCGGCCTGCTGGGAACGCAAGTCCGAGCTCCCCCAGAACCCTCAGGGGAACCCCAAGCACCTCTCAGACGCTGCTGGCGGGAGAGCAGAATCTAACAGTAAAACGGGAATGCCCATTGCTTGTGACCCCGGATTTCCATTTCTAGGGAGAGGCCCCAGAGTTAAACTCATGCCTCACGCATGTGCACAACATTTAATACTGTATAACATTTAAAAGGAATGACGGTCATCTGTTTCAACAGGGTTAGATAGATGTCAAAAGGATAGTGTTGAGAAAAGAAGAAAGAGGTGATAACAGCTTTATAAAGTCTAGGCCACCTGTAATCCCAGCACTTTGGGAGTCCGAGGTAGGAGGATCCCTTAAACCCAGGAGTTACAGGCTGCAATGGGCAATGATCTCACCATTGCACTCCAGCCTGGGAGACAGAGCAAGACCCTGTTTTCAAAAATTAATACATAAAACCTAACACTATATGTAACTTTATCTAGAGGGATTATATATATAGTATAATGTCATTTATGTATATTTTTTACAAATACACATAAAACAAAAGCATATTGGCTATTGGATATATGTATTTTGTTGTTTTTTTTAATTGACTGCAAGGATCTATATACCATATCCTGATGGTTATTGCTTCAAGAAAGGGTAGAAAGGAGTGTGATGGAACTGAGAAGAGGAGTCAAAGAAGACTTTAACTTTACCTGCAATGTTCTATTTCCTTTTTTTTTTTTTTTTGAGACAGCCTCACTCTCGCTCAGGCTGGAGTGCAGTGGTGCGATCTCGGCTCATTGCAACTTCCGCCTCCCAGGTTCAAGTGATTCTCCTGCCTCAGCCTCCTGAGTAGCTGGGATTACAGGCATGCGCCACAACACCCAGCTATTTTTTTTATTTTTATCTTATTTTTATTTTTAGTAGAAACAGGGTTTCATTATATTGGAATAGGTAATCGAGTGGTCACTTTGGCAGCACGTATACCAAAATTGGAATGATACGGAGAAGATTAGCATGGCCCCTGCGCAAGGATGACAATTTTTTTTCTTCTTCTTTTTTTTTTTTTTTTTTTTTTGAGACAGATTCTCGCTCTTGTCACCCAGGAACTGCGGAGAGAGGTCATAGAAGAGTTTAACCTTACCTGCAATGTTCCATTTCTTTTTTAAAAAATGGTAATCAGGGCCGGGCACGGTGGCTCACGCCTGTAATCCCAGCACTTTGGGAGGCCAAGGCGGGCAGATCACGAGGTCAGGAGATCGAGACCATCCTGGCTAAACCGGTGAAACCCCGTCTCTACTAAAAATACAAAAAATTAGCTGGGCGTGGTGGCGGGTGCCTGTAGTCCCAGCTACTCGGGAGGCTGAGGCAGGAGAATGGCGTGAACCCGGGAGGTGGAGCTTACAGTGAGCAGAGATCGCACCACTGCACTCCAGCGTGGGCGACAGAGCAAAACTCCATCTAATCAGGCTGGGTGCAGTGACTCACGCCTGTAATCCGAGCACTTTGGGAGGCCAAGGCAGATGGATCACTTGAGCTCAGGAGTTTAGGACCAGCCTGGGCAACATGGTGAAACCCATGTCTCTAAAAAAAAAACAAGAAAGAAAATTAATTTTAAAAATGGTAATCAAAGCAAGGTGACAATATATTAACCATTTGTATAATTCTGGGTGATGAGAACATCAGTGTTTATACCTTTTGGCGTTTTTTCCCCTACAAGAATCCAGTCGAGGATTGCATGTTACGCTTTTAACTTGTTTCTCAGGCCTCCTTAGTCTCTAGTTTTTTTTTTAGAGACAGGGTCTCTGTCACACAGGCTGGAGCATAGTGGCTTACTGCAGCCTGGAACTCCTGGGCTCAAGTGATCCTCCCACCTCAGCCTGCTTAGTAGCTGGGACTACAGGCATGTGCCACCAGGCCCAGCTAATTTTTTATTTATTTTATTGTAGCAATGGGGTCTCACTATGTTGCCCCAGCTGATCTCACCTATATACCTATATGTGATTTTATAAAGACGTAATTAGGTGTGTGTGTATATATATGACTTTTTTTCTCTGAAATGTTTGAGGTAAGTGGCAAACAGGATGCCCTTTGATGTGCAGTTCTTAAAACCAAGGACATTCTGTTACATAACCACTGTACACTTATCAAAATCAGGCAGTTAACATTGCTCTAATTTGATTATCTAATCTCGACCCTTAACTGTCAGATGTCTCACTAACACCATTTGCCTGGTTTAGGATCCAGTCCGGGATTGCATGGAACGTTTGCTTGTCAGCCTCCTTAGTCTATTTCCATCTACAAGTCCTTCAGCCTTTCTTTATCTTTCATGACCTTGACACTTTTTGCAGAGTTTTTTTTTGGTTTTTTTGAGACAGAATCTCTCTCTGTTGCCAGGCTGGAGTGCACTGGCATGATCTTGGCTCACTGCAATCTCCACCTCCCGAGTTCTGGCATTCTCCTGCTTCAGCCTCCTGAGTAGCTGGGACTACAGGCGCACGCCACCATACCCACCTAATTTTTGAATTTTTAGTAGAGGCGGGGTTTCACGATGTACCATGTTGGTCAGGATGGTCTCGGTCTCTTGACCTCGTGATCTGCCTGCCTCGGCCTCCCAAAGCGCTGGGATTATAGGCATGAGCCACCGCGCCCGGCTGAGTATTTTTTTTCCCCCAAGACAGAGTCTTGCTCTGTCGCCCAGGTTGGAGTGCAGTGGTGCGATCTCAGCTCACTGCAACCTCTGCCTCCCGGGTTCAAGTGATTCTCCTGCTTCAGCCTCCTGTGTAGCTGGGATTACAGGTGCCTGCTACCACACCTGGCTAATTTTTGTATTTTTTGTAGAGATGGGTTTTCACCATGTTAGCCAGGCTGGTCTCAAACTCCTGACCTCAGGGGATCCACCCACCTGGGCCCCCTAAAGTGCTGGGATTACAGGCGTGAGCCACCACGCCTGGCCTTGCAGAGTATTTTAGAGGCCAGGTATTTTGTAGACTGTCCTTTCATTTGGATTTCTCTGATACTAGCTCATGATTAGATACAGGTTATGCAGTTTGGGTAGGAAAACCACAAAAGTGATGTTGTGTCCTTCTTAGTGTCTCAGATCAGGAGGCACAGGGTGGATTTTGTTTTGTAGTGACAGGGTATTTCTCTGTCACCAGGGTTGGAGTGCAGTGGCGAGATCATGACTCACTGCAACCTTGAGCTCCTGGGGTCAAATGATCCACTCACCTCAGCCCCCCGAGTAGCTGGGAATACAGGCAGGCACCACCACACCCAGCAATTTATTTTCTTTTTTGTAGAGATGGGGTCTTGCTACATTGCCCAGGCTTATCTCAAACTTCTGGCCACAAACAATTTTCCTGCCTTAACTTCTCAAAGTATTGAGATAACAGGCATGAGCCACTGCATGTGACCCAGAGTGATCTTTTAAAACCATATCAGAGGCAGGGTGTGGTGGCTCACACCTGTAATCCCAGCACTTTGGGAGGCCGAGGTTGGCGGATCATGAGGTCAGGAGATCAAGACCATCCTGGCTAACATGGTGAAACCCCGTCTCTACTAAAAATACAAAAAATTAGCCGGGCATGGTGGTGGGTGACTGTAGTCCCAGTTACTCGGGAGGCTGAGGCAGGAGAATGGCGTGAACCCGGGAGGCGAAGCTTGCAGTGAGCCGAGATTGCGCCACTACACTCCAGCCTGGGTGACAGAGCGAGACTCTGTCAAAAAAAAAAAAAATCAGATCATCCTCCTCCACTGGTAAAACCTGCAGTAGTTTTCTATCTGTCTCACTTAGATCCATGAAATCTGTAGCCAGGGAGGTACTATGGGCTCTAGCTCATGCCTACCTCTCCCACCTCGTCTCCTGCCTCTCTCCCTGTAACCTCACAAGACTTTCTGTATCTTACCCCAGCCAAATTTATTCCTGCCACAGGGCCTTTGCACTTACTGGTCCCTCTGTTTAAAAGTATCTTCCCTTGGCTGGGCACGGTGGCTCATGCCTGTAATGCCAGCACTTTGGGAGGCCAAGGCGGGCAGATCACTTGAGGTTAGGAGTTCAAACCAGCCTGGCCAATATGGTGAAACCCCGTCTCTACTAAAAATACAAAAATTAGCCACGTGTAGTGGCACATGCCTGTAATCCCAGCTACTTGGGAGGCTGAGGCAGGAGAATCATTTCAGCCTGAGAGTTGGAGGCTGCAGTGAGCCATAATCGAGCCACTGCCCTCCAGCCTGGGCAACAAAGCAAGACCCTGTCTCAAATAAACAAATAAACAAGATGCTCTTCTCCACATATCTTAGCCTGGCTGGCTCCTTCTCACCTTTCAGTCCCCTGACCACCCCTAGGCTTTCTCCACTTCAGCACCCACTTTCTTTTCTTCAGAGCACATTATTGAGAACATATTGCTTAATTATTTACGTGCTCGTTTTTCAATCTTTCTTTTCTTCACTAAAATAAGTGGCATACCATGTCATGACATTCAAAGTATCTAGCGCAGAGCCTGTCACATAACGTATGCTTAAACAATATTTATTGAAATATTGAATAAATTACTCTTTTTTTGTTTTGTTTTTTAGAGACACAGTCTTGCTCTGTTGCCCGGGCTGGAGTACAGTGGCATGATCATAGCTCACTGCAGCCTCGAACTCCTGGGCTCAAATGAACCTCTTCTCTTAGCTTCCCAAGTAGCTTGGATTACAGGTGTGTGCCTTCTAGGTGAATGAATGACTCTTGACCCCTTCTGAATACAGAAAGAGGAATGAGACACAGCAGCATTATATTCTAATGAAAATAATAGGCCAGGCATGGTGGCTCACGCCTGTAATCCTAGCACTTTGGGAGGCTGAGGCAGGTGGACTACCTGAGGCCAGAGGTTCGAGACCAGCCTGGCCAACAAGGCGAAACCCCATCTCTACCAAAAATACAAAAAATTAGCCAGGCATGGTGGCGGGTGCCTGTAATCCCAGTTACTCGGGAGGCTGAGGCAGGAGAATTGCTTGAACCCATGAGACACCCGGGAGGCGGAGGTTGCAGTGAGCTGAGATTGAGCCACTGCACTCCAGCCTCGCAACAGAGCAAGACTCTTATCAAAAAAAAATAATAATAATAATAAATATGCAGGCCTATTGAATGTTAATAATGGTACTTCATGGCAAAGACTAATCTTTGCATACACTGCACTCCAGCCTGGGTGACAGAGCGTGACCCTGACTCAAAATTTTTTTTTAATTTAAAAATAAAGGCTGGACACAGTGGCTTATGCCTGTAATCCCAGCACTTTGGGAGGCTGAGGTGGGAGGATCACTTGAATCCAGGAGGTCAAGACCAGCTTGGGCAACATAGTGAGACCTCGTCTCTATAATTTTTTAAGGTTTTTTTTTGAGATGGAGTCTCGTTCTGTTGCCCAGGCTGGAGTGCAATAGTGCGATCTGGGCTCACTGCAAGCCCTGCCTCCCAGGTTCACGCCATTCTCCTGCCTCAGCCTCCCGTGTAGCTGGGACTACAGGTGCCCACCACCACACCCGGCTAATTTTTTTGTATTTTTAGTAGAGACAGGGTTTCACCGTGTTAGCCAGGATGGTCTCGATCTCCTGACCTCATGATCCGCCCGCCTCAGCCTCCCAAAGTGCTGGGATTACGGGTGTGAGCCACCTTGCCCGGCCCTTAAGGTTTTAATAAAATGTTTAAATAGAATTGTTTAAAATCTTTTAAAATTTTATTTTATCTTTTTTTTTTTTAGACAGAGTCTCACTCTGTCACCCAGGCTGGTGTATAGTGGCATGATCTCAGCTCAGCTCACTGCAACCTCTGCCTCCTGGGTTCAAGCGATTCTCCTGCCTCAGCCTCTGGAATAGTTAGGACTACAGGCATGTGCCACCATGCCTGGCTAATTTTTGTATTTTTAGTAGAGACGGGGTTTCACCATGTTGGCCAGGCTGGTCTTGAACTCCTGACCTCAGGTGATCCACCCACCTCAGCCTCCCAAAGTGCTGGGATTACAGGCATGAGTCACCGTGTCCAGCCTGTATTTTTTTTTTTAATTTAAAAAATAAAAAAAAAATTTAAATAAATATTTAAAAAATAAAAAATAAATAAAGATGAAAATAGTGCTGAGTGTACTCTTTGGTGGCCCATACGAAACAGAACCTTCAAGGGCGTCATCTGACCTGTGCTGGGGTGAGTAACAACATGCTTTCCATCTGAACTCATTGACAGCGTTTTAAGATTGGATGGTTTTATGTCTGGAAATTCTTTGATCCCCCTCCATTGAAAAGGTTGATTCTAATTAATGTCTCCTTGAGTGTGGGCTGGACTTAGCAACTTATTTATAACAAGTGGAATATGTCATAATTGACAGTGTGTTACTTTGGAAAGTAGGTCACAGGGGCTCTGTGGCTAGAATCACTCACTCTGTGTGGACCTGGTCACCGTATTGTGAGGACAAACACAGCCCTATGGACAGGTTCTTGTGACAAAAATCTGAAGTCCACTGCAAAGAGCCCATATAAACCCGCCAGCCAGCCAGGTGCGGTGGCTCATCCCTGTAACCCCAGCACTTTGGGAGGCCAAAGCAGGAGAATTACTTGAACCCAGGAGTTTGAGTCCAGCCAGGGCAACATAGTGAGACCCTGTCTCTACAAAAAATAAAAATAAAAAAATTTAGCTAAGCGTGATGGTCTGCGCCTGTAGTCCCAGCTACTCAGGAGGCTGAGGCCAGAGTATTGCTTGGGCCCAGGACATCAAGGCTGCAGTGAGCTATGATCCTGCCACTGCCCTCCAGCCTGAGCAACAGAGAGAGACCTGGTCTCAAAAAAACAAAGCAAAACACTGGAAAACCTGCCAGCCACATGAGCGCGCCATCCTGAAATAAAATCTTCCAGCGCTGGTCCAGCCTTCAGGTGACTGTAGCCTTAGCTGACATTTTACCTGCAAATTTCATGAGACCTGGATCCAGTTAAGTCACATAGAAACTGTGTGAGATAAAAAGGGTTGATTGTTGTTTCAAGCCATTAACTTTGTTAATGTACTTTGTTAATGTACTGAGTACTTTGTTACACAGTAATAGATAACTAATATGAAAGAAAAGGATATTTCACATAAAATCCAGGTATCTGGATTCCTTTGAAAATCATAATAAGATTGGAAGGCATTGAGCCTCCTTTCTTGTGTGGCTACAACCTTCTGGAGGTATATAGCCACTGCCCCCTACAGACGGGGCAAATGCTGCCAGCTGCCATTGCCCCTAGCCCGCCATTCCCTGTTAAATCTCAGACGCAGGCCTCAAGCCATTTGCCCCTTGTCATCTGGTGCTCAGCCTGTTCTGCATGTTTGCTTACCTGCCTGAGCCCTGAACTGTTTGAGTTGCGAAACTCTACTGAGTCTAAGAGGGATGAAAAATGCACAGATGTATTAGTTCACCCACCTAATATTTATTGAGCATCTGCTGTGTACCAGGCACTCTCCAGGGACTGGGACATTCAGTAAAACAGACAGAAAACGAACCTGAGAATTAAGTAACATCTATGAAATAGTGATAATTACTAAGGTGAAAAATAAAGTAGTTAAAGAAAATACAGGCCGGTCTCACAACTGTAATCCCAGCACTTTGGGAAGCTCAGGTGGGTGGATCACTTGAGGCCAGGAGTTTATGACCAGCCTGGGCTGGTGACACTCCATCTTTACAGTATATACAAAAATTAGCTGGGCATGGTGGTGTGTACCTGTAGTCCTGATTACTCGGGAGGCTGAGACAGGAAAGCTGCTTGAGCCTGCAAGGCAGAGGTTGCAGTGAACTGAGATCCCGCCACTGCACTCTAGCCTGGGTGACAGAGAGTGAGACTCTGTGTAAAAAAGAACATACAGGCCGGGCGCCGTGGCTCACCCCTGTAATCCAGCACTTTGGGAGGCCGAGGCGGGTGGATAATCTGAGGTCAGGAGTTCAAGACCAGCCTGGCCAACATGGTGGAACCCCATCTCTACTAAAAATACAAAAATTACCCAGGTGTGGTGGCGAGCACCTGTAATCCCAGCTACTCAGGAGGCTGAGGCAGGAGAATTGCTTGAATCCAGGAGGCGGAGGTTGCAGTGAGCCGAGATTGCACCACTGCACTCCAGCCTGGGCAACAGAGGGAGACTCCATCTCAAAACAAACAAACAAACAAACAAAAAACATACAGACGGTCGAAGGAAGGAGGTGGTTGTGCAGGTCGGGTGCCCAAGAGACCTTCCCTAAGATGGTAATGTTTGAGCAGAGACCCACAGAAGGTGAAGGAAGGAGCCATGCAGATATTTGGAGGAAGAGAATTCCAGCAAAAGGGAGGGGCAAGTGCAAAGGCCCCAAGGCGGGAGACTGCCTGGAGCTGTCCTGGGACAGCAAGGAACCCAGCTGGCTGAGGCAGGTGAGCACAGGAGAGAAGGAGGAGGGCTCAGCCAGGTGCAGAGAGGCGAACATGCTGGCTTTGTTATTGTGGAAGCTCGGGGTTAGGGTGAGGGCAAGGAGCCTCTGCTGTGGTCTGAATGTTTCCTCCCCCAAAACTCATCTGTTCTGATCCTAACCCTGAAGGTGATGGTATTAGGAGGTGGGGCCTTTGAAAGGTGATTAGGTCAAGAGGGTGGGGCCCTCACGAATAGGATTAGTGCCTTTAACAAAGGGACACCAGGGAGCTCCCTCACCCATTCCACCACCTGAGTTCAAGACCAGCCTGGGCAATATGGCAAAACGCTGCCAATGAATGAATGTTAAAAATTCTTAATTTTGGCTGGGCACAGTGGCTCACGCCTGTAATCCCAGCACTTTGGGAGGCTGCGGTGGGCAGATCACAAGGTCAAGAGATCGAGACCATCTTGGCCAACATGGTAAAAACCCGTCTCTACTAAAAATACAAAAATTAGCTGGGTGAGGTGGTGCATGGCTGTAGTCCTAGCTACTTGGGAGGCTGAGGCAGGGGAATCACTTGAACCCGGGAGGTGAAGGTTGTAGTTAGCCGAGATTACACCACTGCACTCCAGCCTGGGTGACAGAGCAAGACTCTGTCTCAAAAAAAAAAAAAAAAAAATTCTTAATTTTGTGCATGGCACAATATAATTTACAACTTTGTGTGTTTTCATTGCTAGTACTTTTATTTCTGTATATGTTGTTGTTAAATGAACTCTATTATTAATTCACTTATTGGGTGTATTTTTCTGGGTTCTTTGACTATTTCCACATATCGCTGTTTTTGGTAATCTTTTAAAGTATATTTAACAATACATTTATGAATTATATAATCTATAATTCACTTTTTTCAATTTATCAAATCCAATGGAGACTATAGCAGTGAAAAGTCTATGAACCAGAAGGCACCATCTTTGAACAAGACAGTGGGTCCTCAGCAGACACCCTATGTGCTGGTGCCTTGATCTTGGACTTCCCAGCCTCCAGAACTATGAGAAAGGAGTTTCTATTGTTTATAAGCCACTCAATGTATGGTATTCTGTTATAACAGCCTAAATGGAATAAGACAACTGCCCCCGTTAGGGCCAACAGTAATGTGTTTTTTATTTTTTATTTTGAGATGGAGTATCGCTTTGTTACCCAGGCTGGAGTGCAGTGGCACAATCTCAGTTCACTGCAACCTCCCCATCCTGGGTTCAAGCGATTTACTTGCCTCAGCCTCCTGAGTAGCTGGGATTACAGGTATCCTACCATGCTTGGCTAATTTTTGTATTTTTAGTAGAGATGGGGTTTCACCATGTTGGCCAGGCTGATCTCGAACTCCTAACCTCAGGTAATTCGACCTCCTCAGCCTCCCAAAGTGCTGGGATTACAGGCGTGAGCCATGGCACCCAGCCAGTAACATCTTTCATTCAGTGTTACCTGTCACTTTAGGAGAATCTAGTCTAATTAAGGAGGACAGAAAAAAATGTAGGAAAGCATAAGAATATAACAGAACTTCTCAAAGGTTGAGAGATGCCTGGGGCACTTCACAGACATAGAGTTTCAAAATGTACCTATTACATCTTCCACTATATAGTTAAATTTTCAGTATTATTTTTAGGGTTTCAAAAATTGTGGACCATTTTGAATTCTTGCTTTTACTGACTCTTCTAAGACATACCAACACCCAGTGCCACATAACTGTGCTATTCATAAGATAATTATAGGGTACCATCAGCTTCCCAGGGCTGCCATAACAAAACACCACACACCAGTAACTTACAATAACAGAAATTTATTCTTTCACAGTTCAGGAGGGTAGAAGCCTGAAATTGAGGTGTGGGCAGGGCCGTGGCCCTCTGGCGTCTCGAGGGGAGACTCCGTCCTGTGCCTTTCTCTTAGCCTCTGGCATTGCGGGCAACCCTTGGTTCTCCTTGGCTTGTAGACATATCACTCCAGTCACGTGGCAGTCTTTTCCCTGAGTGTCTCCCTGTCGCCTGTGAATGTGAGGCGTCTCTGTCTCTGTGTATCTCCGTCTCTGTCTTTCCTTAGAAGGACTCCAGTCACCAGATTAGGGCCCACCCTGATGACCTCATCTTAACTCCATTACCTCTGTAAAGACCCTATTTCCAAAACAGGCCACATTCATGGGTACAGGGGAGAAGAACTTCAACACATCTTTGAGAGACACAATTCAACCCACAGCACAGGTTTTAGAAATATGTGTATACTGGCCAGGCACATGGTGGCTCACGCCTGTAATCCCAGCACTTTGGGAGGCCGAGGCGGGTGGATCACTTGAGGTCAGGAGTTCGAGACCATCCTGGCCAACATGGCGAAACCCCGTCTGTACTAAAATATAAAAATTAGCTGGGTGTGATGGTGCGCGCCTGTAATCCCAGCTACTCGCGAGGCTGAGTCAGGAGAATTGCTTGAGAATGGGAAGCAGAGGTTGCAGTGACCCAAGGTTGCACCACTGCACTCCAGCCTGGGCAACAGAGCGAGACCCCACCTCAAAAAAATAAAAATAAATAAATAAACACTTGTATATTGGTCGGGCACAGTGGATCACACTTGTAATCACAGCAGTTTGGGAGGCCTAGGTGGGCAGACCACCTGAGGTCAGGAGTTTGAGACCAGCCTGGCCAACATGGTGAAACTCCATCTCTACTAAAAATACAAAAATTAGCCAGATGTTGTGGCATGTTCCTGTAGTCCCAGCTACTCAGGAGGCTGAGGCAAGAGAATCGTTTGAACCCAGGAGGAGGAGGTTGCAGTGAGCCGAGATTGTGCCACTGCACTCTGGCCTGGGTGATAGAGGGAGACTCCACCTCAAAAAACAAAACAAAATGAAATACATATATGTGTATTTACATACACATGTAAATATATTATATTTGCTTATATATAAATTCAGAATATACTTTGGTAGAATAGTTCAGAACCAGGGCACGAGTTGAAGGCTAGCCGGGTGGCCGCTTTCCCCTGTGGGTCCCCACAGTGTGTTTCAGGAGCCTGGTACATGACCTCACCTGGGTGGAGGTGGGGCAGCCGCAGCACTGCTGGCTCATCTGATATGACTCTCTGCTGTACACAAGAGTCACTGCATTGCTGAAGCCCAAGTTATTCAGACCTTCCACTACCAATAGACCTTCAGGCTTTTCTAGCTCGCTTTCCCACGAAAACAATGCAGCAGTTAATAGCCTTAAACATATGTGCTTGCACACTGGGGCTTTTATTTTATGGATCTTTAGATTCCTAAAAGGGAATTGCTAGGCCAAAGAGGTGTGTATTTTTTTTTTTTTTTTGTAAGATGTAGTCTAGCTCTGTCACCCAGGCTAGAGTGCAGTGGTGCAATCTTGGCTCACTGCAACCTCTGCCTCCTGGGTTCAAGCAATTCTCCTGCCTCAGCCTCCCAAGTAGCTGGGATTACAGGCACCCACCACCATGCCTGGCTAATCTTTTTGTATTTTTAATAGAGACAGGGTTTTGCCATGTTGGCCAGGCTGGTCTTGAACTCCTGACCTCAAGTGATCCTCTTGCCTTGGCCTCCCAAAGTGCTGGGATTACAGGCGTGAGCCACAGTGCCTGGCCTTTTTTTCTTTTTTTTTAATAGAGATCGGGTCTCACTATGTTGCCCAGGTGTCCCTGAAACTACTGGGACCAGGGGACCCTCCCACCTCAGACTCCTGAGTAGCTGGAATTACAGGCATGAGTCACCATGCCCAACTGAAAGTGTGTGTTTTCTATTTCTGTTTTCACTAGAAGTTGGGAAAATGGTGTCACACCGTGGTTTCAATTTTTAAATTCTATTTAAAATAAATAGAAAATATTTGATTGGTTAATGTGGAAAGTCCCTGGGTGTGGTGGCTCACGCGTGTAATCCCAGTACTTTGGGAGGCCAAGGTGGGAGGATCACTTGAGCCCAGGAGTTCGAGACCAGCCTCTATAAATAAGTAAGTAAATAAATAAACAAGTTAAACAAAAGTCAAGATGTGTGAAGAAGTTCATGCTGTTTCCTTCTCATTCACATAAACTGATACATGAAATAATTCTCTGAAAACTGTGGTAGCCAATAATGGCCACAAGGAGGTCCCTGCCCTGGTCGCTGGAAAGTGTCAATGTCCCCTTCCATGGCGAGAGAGAATTTGTATTTGCATGAAAGGTACAGATTTTCAGATGGGGAGATGATCCTGGATTGTGCAACTCTACTCTGTCTAATCAGTTGACTCCTCAAAAGTGGAGCCTATTTCTGATGGTGGTCAGAGAAAAAGATGCATGGAGAAGGGTCAGAGCGGTGCCACGTTGCTGGCACTGAAGATGGAGGATGGGTCAGGAGCTAGGACATGTGGGTACCTCTGGAGGCCAGGAAAGGCGAGGAAATGGATTCTTCTTGGGAGCTGGCAGAAAGCAGCCCCCGTCACTCCACGGATGCCTGCACCTGATGTCTGATCCCCACAACTGCAAGATGGCAAATCTGTGTTGCTTTAGGCCACTAACTTTACAGCAATTTCTGACAGCAGGCATATGAACCTGATACAGCAAGTGACATCGTATTTTGAAAGCTATTTCCAGATAACATATTCGGCCTCATCTTTAAAAAGGATAGCTTATTTCTTTTTTTGAGATGGAGTCTTACTTTGTTGCCCAGGCTGGAGTGCAATGGTGCAATCTCTGCTCACTGCAACCTCTGCCACTTGGGTTCAAGCAATTCTCCTGCCTCAGCCTCCCGAGTAGCTGGGATTACAGGCACCTGCCACCGCACCCGGCTAATTTTTGTATTTTTAGTAGAGACGGGGTTTCACCATCTTGGCCAGGCTGGTCTTGAACTCCTGACCTCGTGATCCACCCGACTTGGCCTCCCAAAGTGCTGGGATTACAGGTGTGAGCCACTGCGCCCAGCCTAGGATAGCTTATTTCTAAACTTAAACTTTGCATAATTGTTAGAAATAAATTTTTGGTGCTGCAAAAGAAATAGCACTCGAGCATAAATTTTCTCAGCAAGGCAATTTACTACTATAGAAGGGTGTGTCTCACGGATGGAGCAATGGTGAAAGCACACCTGGACAAGGGAGGGGAAGGAGTTCTTATCCCTGACACAGGTAGCCCCTACTGCTGTGTGGTTCTCCTGTTGGCTAGGGTTGGACTGCACAGTCTAAGCTAATTCTGATTGGCTATTTTAAAGACAGCAGGGGTACGAGTCGGAGTGGCAGGGGAGTAGTTTGGTGAGAAGGATGGTTACAGAACAGGTGACTCAGGATGACTAAGAACAGAGCAGGTCACCAAGGATGACTAAGGTCAGAGCAGGGGACAAGGGTGACTAAGGTCAGAGCAGGTGATAGAGGCTAGGAGGGGGTTGTTTATTGAAACTAGGGGCAAGCAGATGAAGAGAACGAGGAAGTTAAACTTTAAAATGAAGAACAAAGAACGAGGGAGCTGAACATACGGATACATTGGTTCTTTGGAGAGGATCTCAGAACTCATTGTACTAAACAATGTACAGGCTAAAACCTTTAAAGAGGAATTTATTATATTCTACAATAATGATAAGCAAGGCGATTGGATTTTCAGATATCATTAAAGCTTCATACCCACTTAAATTTACATTCTGTATCCAGGATGAGGAGAAGACACAATGAATTCTAAGCCAGCCTTGAACTTACAAGCAGAAGAAACACTGCTATGGTTGACTGATATTGTCAATTCTTTAGGACTGTAAATGGGGGAATGGGGATGAATTTTAAATTTTCCCTATTATTTCATAAGTCCAGAAAAATGCAATACTTTGAAATCACAGAATTTTATTTATTTATTTTTAACTAAAAACATTTTTGTAGACACAGGGGTTTCTCCATGTTGCCCAGGCTGGTCTTGAACTCCTGTCCTCAAGAGATCCTTCCAATTCAGACTCCAAAGTGCTGGGATTGCAGGCACGAGCCGCTACTCTCAGCCAGGATTTTAAAATAGGAACCTTGCTGGGTTTGTATCCAAATTGCTGCTGAACAGAAGCCTCCTCCTAGGGGTGACAGGAGATTGAATGGGTTAGAATGCTGTATAGAGAAACTGCCTTTGCAGAATTATAAACAACAAGAGAAACCTAACATGACGGACTCCATCTTGCTTCTAACCTCACAGGCTAAATATTTTTTATTTCTTATTCTAGCACAGAGGCCATGATAACTATGAAAGGGATTTAGTTTATGAAACTTGGAGGCAAGGGAAACTGACACCCTCTTGTCCGGAGATTGAAGCCTCATTCATGAGGCAAAGTTAAAAATTATGGTAGTGGCTTGGACTTTGCTAAAGAATAGGCACAGTTGGCTGGGTGTGGTGGCTCATGCCTGTAATCCCAGCACTTTGGGAGGCCGAGGCGGGTAGATCACGAGGTCAGGAGCTCGAGACCATCCTGGCTAACACGGTGAAACCCCGTCTCTACTAAAAATACAAAACATTAGCTGGGTGTGGTGGCAGTCGCCTGTAGTCCCAGCTACTTGGGAGGCTGAGGCAGGAGAATGGTGTGAACCTGGGAGGCGGAGCTTGCAGTGAGCTGAGATCACACCACTGCACTCCAGACTGGGAGAGAGAGCAAGACTTTGTCTCAAAAAAAAAAAAAAAAAAAGAATAGGCAGAGTTAAAGGATGACCTCCGACTGCTTGACGTCTTTTCCTAGAAGTTGCTGACTGCCCTGGTCACATAACTGGGGGTGGGGTGTCACAAAATTTGTAACTTCCCCAACTGCTCCTATAGATAACAGCACTATTGTGAATCCTAAAGAACTGGTCTTTGAGGCCGGATGCGGTGGCTCATGCCTGTAATTCCAGCACTTTGGGAGGCTGAGGCAGAAGGATCTCTTGAGCTCAGGAGTTTGAGACCAGCCTGGGCAACAGAGTGAGATCCCCATCTCTATAAACAACAAAATTAGCCAGGTGTAGTGGCATGCGCCTGTAGTCCCAGCTACTTGGGAGGCTGATGGGGGAGGACCACTTGAGCCCAGGAGGTAGAGACTGCAGTGAGCCATGATTGCACCACTCCACTCCAGCCTGGGTAACAGAGTGAGAACATATCTTTAAAAAAAAAGAAAAGAAAAGAAAAAGAAAAAAGACAGCCAGGTGCAGTGGCTCACGCCTGTAATCCCAGCACTTTGGGAGGCTGAGGTGGGCGGATCACCTGAGGTCAGGAGTTTGAGACTAGCCTGGCCAACACGGTGAAACCCCATCTCTACTAAAAATACAAAAAATTAGCTGGGCGTGATGGTGGGTGCCTATAATTCCAGCTACTTGGGAGGCTGAGACAGGAGAATTGTTTGAACCCAGGAGGCAGAGGTTGCAGTGAGCCGAGATCATGCCACTGCACTCCAGCCTGGGCCACAGACCAAGACTCTGTCTCAAAAAAAAAAAAAAAAAAAAAAGAGAATTGGTCTTCGAGATCGTTTTCAGATTTTGCATTTTGGTAGACCAAGAGATGCCACCTAGTCCTGAGAATCCCCTTCCCCTCCTGGGAACGGACTCACCTGTGCAAACACACTCCTGGGATTTCATACCCAGCCAGTCAGTTGTTCCAGTTCCCCAGACCCCTGCCTGTCAAAGTATCTTTTAAAAATCTGAGCCTCCAAGTCGCAGGGAGAGGAGCTTGAGAAGTTTCTCCCAGTTCCCCTTGTGTGGCTGGCCCTCTGATGATTAACTCGTTCTTTGCTGTGGCACCTGCTGTTCTCATTGGCTCCTCCAGGACAGCAGGCAAGAAGAATCCGCAGCCTGTGATACCCACACAGGGTGAGCGCTTATTAAATTAAGCCACGAATGTGATCGGAACCAAAGTATTCACTCTGCAAATGAAGGCTGTGAAGTTCACAAACTTGTAATTTGCCATAACTCACCCACCACATTTACTCACCCATTTACTTTTGAATGGATAAACGTACTAAGCAAATTTTGCAGTGTAACCTTTTTCTTTATTCATTCACTCAGCAAATATTAAAAACCTCATGTGTGTCGGGTATGGTGGCTCACACCTGTAATCTCAGCACTTTGGGAGGCTGTGTGTGGCTCACCTGAAGTCAGGAGTTCAAGACCAGCCTGGGCAACATGGCGGAACCGTGTCTCTACTAAAAATACAAAAATCAGCCTGTGTGGTGGCGGGCGCCTGTAATCCTAGCTACTCAGGAGGCTGAAGCAGGAGAAACACTTGAACTTGGGAGGCAGAGGTTGCAGTGAGCCAAGATCGTGCACCACCGCACTCCAGTCTGGGTGACAGAGTGATACTTTGTCAAAAACAAACAAACAAAAAACAAACAAACAAAAAACCAGAAAACAAAAAACAGACAAACAAAAAACCTTAAGTGTGCCAGGCACCATTCTAGGTATGGAAGATAATTTGTGAACAAAGCAGACAAAAATCCCTGCCCGTAGGTTTTTGAGGAGGAAGGCAGGTAAGAAACAGCAGACGTCCATGTGTTGAGCAGAGCCTGAGGAGGCTGCAGGTGCAGCGGGAAAAGCGCACAGGGGAGGGGATGGTGAGGGTCTCCCAGGTGGGCAATAACGTGCCTTCGGTCTTCCTCTGGGTTCCCAAAACAGGGCTTCTGAAATCCTTGGAATTTCCAAGTGATGGGGCAATAGCGGCTTTTGTTATTCAGAACAGGCCCTTTCACCCGTTCTAGTGTTTATGCTAATGAGGTGACTCCTGGAGGGTCCCAGGTTGCCCCTAGATGGGGACTGGTTGCCAGGGGAACCAACCTTGGGATTAGAGGGTTGGGACTTTCAGCTCCACCCTCGATCTCTGGTGGTTGCAGATTGCATTAATCACCACTGGCCAATGACAGCAATCATGTCTCCCGAATGGGCTCTCCATAAAACCCTGAATGACGGGGCTCTGCGAGCTTCTGGGTTGGTGAACGCCAGGAGGCAGTGAGAGGAGCAGCTGGTAGGGAGAAGGCCTGGACAATGCATTGTTGCCTGGGCAACACAGTGAGACCCCATCTCTACAGAAAAACAAAATTAGCTAGGGCTGGTGGCATGAGCCTGTAGTCCCAGCTACCTGGGAGGCTGAGGTGGGAGGATCGCTTGAGCCCAGGAGGTTGAGGCTGCAGTGAACCACGATTGCACCACTGCACTCCAGCCTGGGTGACAGAATGA
This sequence comes from Homo sapiens, assembly GCF_000001405.40. NCBI lineage: Eukaryota > Metazoa > Chordata > Mammalia > Primates > Hominidae > Homo > Homo sapiens. The sequence continues at coordinate 130,853,257 of NC_000012.12, read as the reverse complement.
GACCTTGTCACACACACACACACACACACACACACACACACACACACAAGGATTCATCTTCAAGATCATTTTCAGATTTAGCATTTCAGTAGGCCAAGAGGTGCTGCCTAGTCTGGTCCTGAGACCCCCTGCACGCCCCTCCCATCCTTACCTGGCCCTGTGCACCTCTTCTTTGTGGCTGTTCCTGAGTTGAAGCCTTTGTAATAAAGTAGTAATAGTAAGTAAAGCACTTCCCTGTGTTCTGTGACGCATTCTAGCAAATTATCAAACTTGAGGAGGGAGGGGCTGTAGGAGCCTTCTATTAATGGCCAGTCAGTCAGACGCACTGGAGGCCCCGATCTGTGATTGGCATCTGAAGTGCGGGGCCGTCTTGTGGGCTGAGTCCCTGACCTGTGGGGTCTGGACCAATTCCAGGTAGTTCAGGGCAGAATGGAATGGAACCGTTGGACACTCTGCTGGGGTCTGGAGAGCTGGAGACTGGGTTGCTGGGGTAGAAAAGCCTGCGAGTCTCTTGTCTGAAGTGCTGTGCATAGAGCAGTTCAAAGGGGGTGGCAATTTTTAACCGGATGGGTCTGAAGAAGCCTCACAGAAACGTCATGGAACCAAAACCCCGAAGAAGGCACGGGACAGAGCTGGTCCCTGTGGGGACAGAGCAATTCCTGCAGAGGATGCCAGGGTAGCAGGGATGAGGCCTGAGAGGCGCTGGCTGAGCTCGGAGTGCGCAGGCCCCGCTGCTGCTGTCAGGGTTTTGTTGTTTTTTGTTTTTTTTGTTTTGTTTTTTTTTTGAGACGGAGTCTCGCTATGTCGCCCAGGCTGGAGTGCAGGGGCGCGATCTCGGCTCACTGCAAGCTCCGCCTCCCGGGTTCACGCCATTCTCCTGCCTCGGCCTCCCGAGTAGCTGGGACTACAGGCGGCCGCCACCACGCCCGGCTAATTTTTTGTATTTTTGCTAGAGACGGGGTTTCACCGTGTTAGCCAGGATGGTCTCGATCTCCTGACCTCGTGATCCACCCGCCTCGGCCTCCCAAAGTGCTGGGATTACAGGTGTGAGCCACCGCGCCCGGCCGCTGTCAGGGTTTTGCTTGGAGGTTGGCGCGGAGGAGCCACCTAACCCTCTGCGGGCTCCCTGAGCCCTCTGCTCCGCCCTTGCCCTTCTCCGTTCTCCCTGCGTGGAAAGCATGGCTAGTCTCCTTCCCCCATTCCCATCTGTCTTGGGTCCAGTTCCTGGGAAACAGGAAGTTATTGGGAGGGTTGACACTCAGGGAGGAGAGAAGAAAGTGGGATTGGGAAGTGGGTTTGACCACCAAGGCCTCACTGAGGTGCTCCTGCCCTGAGCTCTGACATCCGCGCTGCCGCTGGAGTTCTCCCACTTCACAGCAGTGGGCATCGCGGCATGCAGCCACCCCCAGGAAGCAGTGCTTAGCCAGGGACTCAGGTGAACGCCGTGGCTCCGGCAACACGCGGAGCAGTGAGCAGGGAGTCCCTGAGGCCCCAGAAGGATCTGGGAGGCCCACAGTGGCATCTCCATGGCATCATCTCAGTGATGCTTTTCCCAGTCGACCTGCCTGAAACTGCACCTGCCCCGACACCCTCTGTCCCCTTTTCCTGCGTCATTTTTCTCTGGAGCACTTCACACCCAGAACTTATTATATGTTTTGTTTTTTTGTTTGTTTGTTTTGTTTTGTTTTGTTTTGTTTTTTTGGGAGATGGGTCCTTGCTCTGTTGTCCAGGCTGGAGTGCAGTGATGTGATCAGATCTCAGTACAGCCTCCTGGACTCCTGGGCTTAAGCAATACTCCTGCCTCAGCCTCCTGAGTAGCTGGGACTACAGGCACATGCCACCGCACCTGGCTAATTTAAAAAGTTTTTTTTGTTTTTTTTTTTTTTTTTGGACAGAGTCTTGCTCTGTCGCCCAGGCTGGAGTGCAGTGGCGCGATCTTGGCTCACTGAAAGCTCCGCCTCCCGGGTTCACGCCATTCTCCTGCCTCAGCCTCCCAAGTAGCTGGGACTGCAGGTGCCCGCCACCACGCCAGGCTAATTTTTTGTATTTTTGGTAGAGACGGGGTTTCACCGTGTTAGCCAGGATGGTCTCGATCTCCTGACCTCGTGATCCGCCGGCCTCGGCCTCCCAAAGTGCTGGGATTACGGGCGTGAGCCACCGCGCCCAGCCTAAAAAGATTTTTTGTAGATCCCAGCTATGTTGCTCAGGCTGGCCTGGAACACCTGGCCTCAAGTGATCCTCCCACCTTGGCCTCCCAAAACACAGCAGTTACAGGTGTAGCCACAGTGCCTGGCCTTTCTCTTTTATCTTGTTTGTTTCTTACACACACACACACACACATGCGTGCACACACATATGCACACACACAAATGCACACACATGCTCACACACACGCACATGAATACACGCACACTTCCACCCTTGAATAGAAGCACACACACACGTGCACACACACGTGTGCACACGCAAATGCACACACATTCTCACACACACGCACATGAATACACACACACTTCCACCCTTGAATAGAAGCTCTGTGAAGGCACGGATTTTATATTCTATATGCTATACAATTCTATATTCCTAGAGCATAGAACGGTATATGGCACATACTGATGTGAACCCAAAAGTCTCTGAGACACAGATCTCAATCAGTTTAGAAAGTTTATTTTGCTGAGCTTAAGAATGCACCCATGACAGCCTCAGGAGGTCCTGATGACTTATGCCCAAGGTGGTTGTGGCACAGCTTGCTTTTATACATTTTTGGGAGACATAAGGCATCAATCAATACATGTAAGAGTTACGTCGCTTCGATCTGGAAGGGTGGGACAACTTGAAGTGGTGGAGGGGGAGGCTTCTAGGTCCTATGTAGATTTAAGACTTTTTTGATTGGCAATTGGTTGAAAGAGTTACTGTCCATAGAAAGAAATGTCTGTGTTACAATAAGCGGTTGTGGAGACCAAAGTTTATTATGCAGATGAAGCCTCCAAGTAGCAGACTTCAGAGAGAATAGATTGTAAATGTTTCAACAGACCTAAGGTCTGTGTTGATGTTAATGCTGTTCCGCTTTTCCTGAATTCCAAAGGGAGGAGGGCATCATGAGGCATGTCCAACCCCACTTCCCATCATGGCCTGAACTGGTTTTTCAGGTTACTTTGGAATGCCCTTGGCTGAGAAGAGGGGTCCATTCAGATGGTTGGGGGGCTTAGAATTTTATTTTTGGTTTACAGTGGGTACTAAATACACATTTCTACATAAATGAACAAGATTCTCTTTAATTATTTGCTCCAGTTATCTACTGCATAATCGACTACCCCAAAACTTAATGGCATAATACAACAATGATTTATAATTTCTCATGATTCTGTGAAGGAAAAATAAATACTCGGACCCCAATTCACTCTGCCAAAAGAAAAACATTAAGCTGAAAGCTGAGTCATGAATGAAACTGTCTTTCCTTTTGTTCTGAAGCAGACAGCTACAGATCAAAGGTTAAACACCTCCTCAGGTTGCTACTCTGCATTCACCTTATCTACATAAAGTGCAGTGGCTCACACCTGTAATCCTAACACCTTGGGAGGCCAAGGTGGGCAGATGCCTTGAGCTCAGGAGTTCGAGACCAGCCCGGGCAACATGGCAAAAACCCCGTCTCTCCTAAAAATACAAAAATTAGCTGGGTGTGGTGGTGGGTGCCTATGATTCCAGCTACTTGGGAGGCTGAGGCAAGAGAATCACTTGAACCTGGAGGGCGGAGGTTGCAGTGAGCTGAGTTCACACCACTGCACTCTAGCCTGGGTGATGGAGTGAGACCCTGCCTAAAATATATATACAAAAATAAAAAATAAAGTGCTGATTTACTGGGCACTAGATGAATACATAATTGATGATTCCCCTACCTGCTCCTTTTCTCTCGCAGCATGTGGATGACCACACCCTCCCTTTTCGCCTGAAGCCTGCTTTTCCCCTTTAAACACTGAAGCCCTCAAAATCATCTTTGGAGAAAGGCAGAGGCCACAGATGATTGCTTCTGTGAGTCTGTGTTTATTTTTTCCAGGCATGTCCTTAACCTACATTGATTGAGACCTGTCTCAGATACTTTTTGGTTTACAATTCTGAGGGTCACGAATATGGGCAGGGCTCAGCTTGTTGGTTCTTCTGCTCCAGGTGGTGTTGGTTGGGGTCCACTCACTTGCTACATTAAGCTGGCAGCTGGGTTGCAGTAGAATGCCCAAAATGGCTTCACTCACCAGTGCTTTTGTTTTTTATTTTAATTTTATTTATTTATTTATTTATTTATTTATTTATTTATTTTTTGAGATGGAGTCTTGCTCTGTCACCCAGGCTGGAGTGCAGTAGCATGATCTCAGCTCACTGCAACCTCTGCCTCACCAGTTCAAGCAATTCTCCTGCCTCAGCCTCCTGAGTAGCTGGAAGTACAGGTACCCACCACCATACCTGGCTGATTTTTTTTTATTTTATTTAGTAGAGATGGGGTTTCACCATGTTGGCCAGGCTGGTCTTGAACTCCTAACCTCAAGTGATTTGCCTGCCTTAGCCTCCCAAAGTGCTGGGATTACAGGCATGAGCCACCATGCCCAGCCTGTTTTTCTTTTTGAGATGGAGTCTCACTCTGTCACCCAGGCTGGAGTGCAGTAGTGCGGTCTCAGCTCACTGCAACCTCTGCCTCCTGCGTTCAAACAATTCTCCTCCCTCAGTCTCCTGAGTAGCTGGGACTACAGGCTCGTTTTTTTGTATTTTTAGTAGAGATGGGGATTTACCGTGTTAGCCAGGACGGTCTCAAGCTCCTGACCTCATGATCCACCCGCCTCAGCCTCCCAAAGTGCTGGGATTATAGGTGTGAGCCTCTGTGCCTGGCCCTGTTTTTTGTTTTTAATAGAGACAGGGCCTCACTCTGTTGCCCAGGGTGGAATGCAGTGTCACAATCACAGCTCACTGCAGCCTTGACCTCTTGGGCTCAAGCGATCCTCCCACTTCAGTCTCCCAAGTACCTGGGCCCACAGGTCTGCACCACCACGCCTTGCTAATTTTTTATTTTTTATAGAGACAGGGTCTTGCTATGTTGCTCAGGCTGGTCTTGAACTCCTGGACTTAAGCGATCCTCCCACCTCTGCCTCCCAAAGTGCTGGGATTACAGGTGTAAGCCACCATGCTGGCCTCCCTTGCTCAGTGTTTATTAACTTTCTCAGATTTCCTGTAGGAAGCAGTAAAGAGTATTTTTAAATCTTTTCTTCATTTTATGAAGCAAATTTGTCATCATCTTTTATAAGGCAACATCATTCCTTATAATGAAGGGCTTATGTTCTTAAGGTTTCAGTGCTTTTAAAACAACAGGCCAGGGGTCACGCATGGTGGCTCATGCCTGTAATCCCAGCACTTTGGGAGGCTGAGGAGGGTGGATCACTTCAGCCCAGGAATTCAGGACCAGCCTAGGCAACATAGGGAGACCCTGTCTGCAGAAAAAATAAACAAAATTAGTGGGTCGTGGTGACACACAACCGTAGTCCCAGCTACCTGGGAGGCTGAGATGGGAGGATTGCTTGAGCCAGGGAGGTAGAGGCTACAGTGAGGTGAGATGGGGCCACTGCATCCAGCCTGGGCCACAGAGTGAGACCCTGCCTCAAAACAAAAACAAAAACAAAAACACGATGCTAAGCCCCCCTGTTCCCCCATCTCCCTTTCTGCCGGCTTCTCTGCCTATTTGCTGGAAACCTTATTCTGTATAGTCGAGGTGTTCAGCCAGGCTTGTACACCGAGGAACACAAACACTACGAATATGAATCTAAGAATCCCATACATCTGCAGGCCATGTTGCCAATGTGCTCTAATCTTTAGAGTGTGGGCTCAAACTTCAGTGTGCTTATGAATCACGGCTATAAAAAAAGAACGAGATCATGTCCTTTGCAGCAACGTGGGTGGAACTGGAGGCCACTGTCCTTAGCAAAGGAACGCAGGAACAGACACCAAATAACCACGTGTTCTCTCTTAGAAGTAGGAGCTAAATGGTGAGAACACATGGACACATAGAGGGAAACAACACACACTGTGGCCTTTTGGAGGGTAGAGGGTAGGAGGAGGGAGAGGATCAGGAAAAATAACTAATGGCTACTAGGCTTAGTACCTTGGTAATGTACTAATCTGTACAACAACCCCCCATGACACAAGTTTACCTATATAACAAACTGGCACGTGCACCCCTGAACTTAAAAGTAAAAAAAAAAAAATTTCATTTCTTTTCTTTTCTTTTTTTCTTTGAAACAGAGTCTTGCTCTGTCCAGGTTGGAGTGCAGTGGTGTGATCCCAGCTCACCACAACCTCCAAGTCCTGGGTTCAAGCTATTCTCCTGTCTCAGACTCCCAAGTCGCTGGGATTACAGGCACCCGCCACCATGCCCGGCTAATTTTTGTATTTTTAGTAGAGACGGGGTTTCATCATGTTGCTCAGGCTGGTCTCGAACTCCTGACCTCAACTGATCAGCTGGCCTCCCAAAGTACTGGCATTACAGGCATGAACCACTGGCCAACAACCATTTCTGATGGGTGAGTCAAGTAGGAGAAATAAAACCAATGGTGCAGAGGAAAACCCTAGACTGTACAGAGAAAAGCTGGGGTATGTTAGACTGAATAGAAGATGTGTATATTGCCCATGAGTCTGCAGCCTGTAAACTCTCACATCTGTTTCCTATTGTGATTTCAGAATGCATTCAGCTCTGTTCTAACTCTATATATGCCCTTCTCATTCCCTGGGGACTAACTGAATATTTGATTTATTCAGTTCATGTCCACCAGAAACATAGCTGTGTGGGGTAGGGAAGGCTACCAAGATCAATAAATCACCTTCCTTGCCCTGTTCATTCATTCACTTGTAACATTTCTTGACAAGGGGTACATAATATATTATCTATCCTCCAGCCTATATTCCCTATTCTTCAGGAGCTAAATACCTAATTTTACTAAATGACTGCTAGTTTTCTGTTGCTGCTGTAACAATGATAAAGATGTAGCAACTCTAGGGCCAGGCACAATGGCTCATGTCTGTAATCTCAGCACTTTGGGAGGCCAGGCAGGCGGGTCACTTGAAGTCAGGAGCTCGAGGTCAGCGTGGCCAACATGGTGAAACCCCATCTTTACTTAAAATACAAAAATTAGCCGGGCATGATGGTGGGCGCCTGTAATCCCAGCTACTCAGGAGGCTGAGGCAGGAGAATCAGAGAATCGCTTGAACCTGGGAGACAGAGGTTGCAGTGAGCAAAGATCATGCCACTGCACTCCAGCCTGGGCAACAAAGCCAGACTCTGTCTCATACAAAATGAAACAAAACAAAAAAAGACGTAGCAACTTTAAATAAGGCACATTTGTTAGCTCCCAATTCAGTAGGTCAGAAGCCTGAGTGGGCTCCACTGGCTCTCTACTCTGGGTTTCACAAGGCTGAAATCAAGGTGCAGCCCCTGGGCTCTTGTTGGGAGGCACAAGGGAGAATTCACTTCCAAGCCCACTCCTATTGCTGGCAGAATGCAGTTCTTCACAGCTCAAGAACTGAGGTTCCCATTTCTTTGCTGGCTGTGTACTGAGGTCCATCCATAGCTCCTAGAGGTCTCTCTTGGGCCCTTGCATGGGGCCCCTACATTTCAGAGCTAGCAAGAGTACATCAAATCCTTACACTTGGGGTCTGACTTCCCCCTCTGCTACATCTTTTATTCCAGCTGGGGAAAGTGCTCTGCTTTTGAGGGCTTGTGTGATTAGACTGAGCTAACTCCCAATACTCCAGGAAAGTCTATGACCTGTGATTATAGACTTTGCCATCTAAGGTGACATAGTACAAATTCTGAGGATTAGGGTGTACTTCTGTTGGGGTCCATTCTTCAGCCTGTTACAGGTAGACAGGCATGAGTGGGGCAGGAGAGGGCTCTCCCCTGACCCACCAGGAATGTCAGGAGACCATCAGGTGCTGGTTCAACAATGATCACACTGCCTCTCTCAAAATGATAATTCAGCAGCTGGCGCCAGCGAGAGACAATCTCCTGATGGTCTGCAGCGGTTATATTAGAGTGTTAATTGAAGGCAAGTGCCAGGAGAAGCAGAAAGGGATTCTAATAAAATCTCAGGTATTGGGCAAGGGAGTCTGAGCATTTGCATTAAGAGACAAAATGGCGGAGTATGACCTCCTGTGGGGCTCTCTGCTAGGAAAGGGAAGAAAGTCTCAGATGGGCATGCGTACAGCTTGCTAAACATACTGCACATGCTCACTTCCCCAGCATGAAGAAAGCACTACACATGCGGGCAGGCCACCCTAAGGGAAGAATCATGGGAAAGTGGTGCAAGATGCCAGAGTTGGGCCAGCATAGAAAGTCCTAGAATCACAGTTAAACGGAGCACTTGACCCGTTATACATACATATATAGTATATACATATTATACATACAGAATATACATACTATATGTATATGCTGGGCATGGTGGCATGTGCCTGTAAGCTACTCAGGAGGCTGAGGCAGGAGGATTGCTTGAGCCCAGGAGGTCAAGGCTGAAGTGAGCTGTGATTGTGCCACTGCACTCCAGCCTAGGCAACAGAGACCCTGGCTAAAAAAAACATACATATATACACACACACATGCACACACACATGCACACTATACATATATAGTATATACATACTATACACACATATAGTATATACATACTATACACACATATAGTATATACATACTATACACACATATAGTATATACATACTATACACAAATATAGTATATACATATGATAAATAGCATGTATATACTGTATTATAGTATATACATACAATAAATAGCATGTATACACTGTATTATAGTATATACATACGATAAATAGCATGTATACACTGTATTATAGTATATACATACGATAAATAGCATGTACATACTGTATTATAGAATATACAGTATATAGTATATACAGTATATATACATATATAGTATATACTGTATATATACATATACAGTACATACTGTGTGTATATATATACATATACAGTATATACTGTGTATATACATATAAAATATATGCTGTGTATACACATATATGTATATATTGTGTATATACATATATGTATATATTCTGTATATACATATATAGTATATATTGTATATGTACTATATACAGTAGTATATACACAACATATACCATATATACAGTAGTATATACACAATATATACTATATATACGTAGCATATATAAGATATATACGTAGCATATATACGATATATACTATATATACATAGTATATATATGATATATACGATATATACTATATATACATAGTATATATATGATATATACGACATATACTATATATACGTAGTATACATACAATATATACTATATATACGTAGTATACATACAATATATACTATATATACGTAGTATACATACAATATATACTATATATACGTAGTATATATACAATATATACTATATATACATATATACATACATACATATGTGTATATATACTACATGTATATACTATATACATATGTGTGTATATACTATATACTATGTAGCATATACATACTATATAGTATATACTATATATGTGTATATGTAGCACGTACTATATGAGTATATATAGCATGTATATCCTATATGTGTGTGTATACCACTTGTATGTACTATATGGGTGTATATAGCTTATATGTACTATATGTGTGTATATAGCATGTATATACTATATGTGTGCATATAGTATGTATATACTATATATTTACAGTGGATGTGTGTGTATATATATATTATATATATTATATATATAATGTATATATAATATATAATATATATATATAAATTATATATATTATATATATAATGTATATATAATATATATAATATATATATAAATTATATATATATGTAATATATATTATATATATATTTAGACAGGGTCTCATTCTGTTGCCCAGGCTGGAGTGCAGTGGCACAATCACAGCTCACTTCAGCCTTGACCTCCTGGGCTCAAGCAATCCTCCTGCGTCAGCCTCCTGAGTAACCTACAGGCACATGCCACCATGCCCAGCTAATTTTTAAAAATTTTTTGCAGAGACAGTGTTTTGCTATGTTGCCCAGGCTCCAGTCAGATTTTCTCGGGAATGTAACTTAGCCCTTTGTTTCTCTTTTCTTTCTTTCTTTCTTTCTTTCTTTCTTTCTTTCTTTCTTTCTTTCTTTCTTTCTTTCTTTCTTCCTTCCTTCCTTCCTTCCTTCTTCTTTCTTTCTTTCTTCCATATTTCCTTTCTCCTTCCTTCCTTCCTTTCTTTTTCCTTTTTTCTCCTTCCTTCCTTTTTTCTTTCTTCCTTCTTTTTTCCTTCTTCCTCTCTTTTTTCCTTCTTCCTCTTCCTCTGCCTCTTTCGCGTTTTCTTCTTTAAGTTTTTTAAACATTTATTTATTTATTTATTTATTTTTTAGAAACAGGGTCTTGCTCTGTGGACCCGGCTGGAGAGCAGTTGCATGATCACAGCTTACTGCAGCCTCCAACTCCTGGGCTCAAGCAATCCTCCCACCTCAGCCTCCATGTAGATTTCATTCAATTTTAGTGTTTGGCTGTTATGATGGTGTTTTGAACGCACTGTTGTGATCTGGTTGATGTTTTGACCCCAAAAACACCTTGACTGCATATGTATGTATGTAATATGAACAAAAATGATAAATTACACATTATTATTTATCAGGGGAAATTCAGCCAGATATTGGGCAAAATTCATCCCCAATATTTCACGTAGGTTATTTTCTATTTCCCCTAAGTGTTGGCCGGTCTGAGAAATAAAGGGACAGAGTACAAAAGAGAGAAATTTTAAAGCTGGGTGTCTGGGGGAGACATCACATGTCGGCAGGTTCCGTGATGCCCCCTGAGCCATAAAACTAGCAAGTTTTTATAAGCGATTTTCAAAAGGGGAGGGAGTGTACAAATAGGGTGTGGGTCACAGAGATCACATGCTTCACAAGGTAATAGAATATCACAAGGTAAATGGAGGCAGGGCGAGATCACAGGACCACAGGACCGGGGAGAAATTAGAATTGCTAATGAAGTTTCGGGCAGGCACTGTCATTGATAACATCTTATCAGGAAACAGGGTTTGAGAGCAGACAACTGGTCTGACCAAAATTTATTAGGCGGGAATTTCCTCGTCCTAATAAGCCTGGGAGGGCTACAGGAGACTGGGGCTTATTTCATCCCTACAGCTGCGATCTGTATATACATATAGCTTGTATGTACTATATGTGTGTATATAGCATGTATACACTATATGTGTGTGTATAGTATGTATATACTATATATTTATAGTGCATGTGTGTATGTGTATATATATATTTTTTTAGACAGGGTCTCACTCTGTTGCCCAGGCTGGAGTGCAGTGGCACAGTCACAGCTCACTTCAGCCTTAACCTCCTGGGCTCAAGCAATCCTCCTGCCTCAGCCTCCTGAGTAGTCTACAGGCACATGCCACCATGCCCAGCCACCCCCAAAGCGGCCATTTCAGAGGCCTACCCTCAGGGATGCTTTCTCTTTCTCAGGGATGTTCCTTGCTGAGAAAAAGAATTCAGCAATATTTCTCCCATTTGCTTTTGAAAGAAGAGAAATACGGCTCTGTTCCGCCTGGCTCACCGGCAGTCAGAGTTTAAGGTTATCTCTCTTGTTCCCTGAACATTGCTGTTATCCTGTTCTTTTTTCTAGGTGCCCAGATTTCATATTGTTCAAACACACATGCTCTACAAACAATTTGTGCAGTTAACAAAATCATCACAGGGTCCTGAGGCGACATACATCCTCCTCAGCTTACGAAGATGATGGGATTAAGAGATTAAAGTAAAGACAGGCCTAGGAAATCACAAGGGTATTGACTGGGGAAGTGATAAGTGTCCATGAAATCTTCACAATTTATGTTCAGAGATTACAGTAAAGACAGGCATAAGAAATTATAAAAGTATTAATTTGGGGAACTAATAAATGTCCATGAAATCTTCATAATTTATGTTCTTCTTCCATGGCTTCAGCCGGTCCCTCCATTCAGGGTCCCTGAATTCCCACAACGATTATTCACAACTTCATTTTTTTTCTCTGGCAGGATAAGGAAAGTTTTGAGGTTGGGCATGGTGGGCTCATGTCTGTGGTCCCTGTGCTTTTGGAGGCTGAGGTGGGAGGATTACTTGAGCCCAGGAGTTCAAGGCGGCAGTGGACTATGACCATGCCACTGCACTCCAGTCTGGGAGACAGAATAAGACTCTGTCTCAAACAAACAAACAAACAAACAAAAAGTTTTGGTTGCCAATTCAACACCATCCAGCTGCTGCCAATATTATCATATGTTTTTGAAAAATCCACTGGGAGAGAGGGAGAAACGAGGGAGGGCCCAGTATTTACCAGAGAGGGAGAATTAAAATGGTGGTGGCAGAGGCAAGAAGGCCGAAAGAAAAGCACTTGCCTGTTGCGGGGTCCAGGAGGCATTCTGGTGGGGAAGTTCAGGATATGGAGAGAAAAAACATATCTTTTTTTTTTTTTTGGAGACGGAGTCTCGCTTTACTGTCCAGGCTGGAGTGCAGTGGTGCGATCTTGGCTCACTGCAAGCTCCACCTCCCGGGTTCAAGCAATTCTCATGCATCAGCCTCCTGAGTAGCTGGGATTACAGGTGCCCGCCACCACACTCACCTGGACAACTGGCTGTCAAGACCTTCCATCGGGTAACAGAACCACATCACACCTAGAACCAAGTCCAAAACGTCCTGTTTTTTAATGTGTAGCCTGTTGCTCTCAAGCAGATTTCTTAGCGCTGCCTTCTGGTCAGACCAAAGCCACCTCCTCCAGGAGGCAGTAAAGACTTTAACCTTGTTTAAAAACAAATCTGGCCTTGCCTTCTCCTCCTGGAAGGCAATCTTTGTTTGCCTGGGAGTCTTCGGCTAGCCAGAGAGTAACAGTGTGATTTATGGTGGGGGCTTAGGGTTACATGGATATCACTTAACCAAGAGGCTGAGATCAAGCATGAAAGCAATCAAACAATCAATCAATCATGCACATGCAATGGAGCCCAGTAAACGTTCTGCACACTGTGGCTCAAGTGAGCTTCCCTGGCTGGCAGTACTTCGTGTGTAAGGCCACACATCAGTGCAGGGCAAGTAATGAGGCCTGACTACACAGGGAGAGGACCACGGGAGGACCTTGAAGCTGCACGCCGTAATCCCCAGACTCCCCCTCTGCCCTTCTTCCTTGGCTGATGTTAATCCGTATCATTTTCCTGCTAAGAAACCATAGTTGTGAGTACAGTAGTTTTTAGTGTATTCTGTGATTCCTTCTAGCAAATTATGGAACTTGAAGGTGGTTTTGGAAACCGCCAGAATTTGCCGTTGGTGTCAGAGGTGATAATGGTCTTGGGGACTGTTCCCCCAACCTGGGTAGTTCACCTAAGCTCCTGCACCTTCATGACGACCTCTCTGCCAGTTCCGTGCCCATGCCCTTACTTTCTTTTCTCATCTATCATTTATTTGTCTGTGTCTGTATTGCCTGTTTCTCCTGCCAGAATGGTATCCCAGGGCTGGGCCTGCGGACGCTCTTCCCGTTACCGCCCCCTGCCGTGTTATGCTCCGTAAGCATCATGTGTGGTACACGATCTCTTCTCCTTCATTCACACCCGAGGCTGCGCGTGGACCCTTAAAGAGAAGGTTCGGCATATGTATTACCCAAAGCTGCACCCAGCACATTCCGGGAGCTTTGCTCTTTTGTCACTATTCGTTGAATGCTCTATATTTTGATAAATAAAACAATGAGTGTGAAAGCATAAAAGCAGATCAAGGGACAAACAGCACGTGTAGCGGAACTGCCAGCCTGGGGCTCGGCCGGACCCCGCCCCTCCCCGCCTAGGCCCCGCCCCCAGGCCCCGCCCCTCCGGGCTCCCGCTGGAAAGCGCTGCCGCCGTGTGGGTGGGTGCGGGGCGCGGCGCGGGCCGGGCATGCGCAGAGCGCGCGGGGCGCGGTTGCCGTGGCAGCGCCGGCTCCAGGGAGGGCTGCTGGCGCCGGGCCGGGACCGCGGGGCCTGAGGCGGAGACCGGAGAGCCCGAGGCCCGGCCGGAGGCAGCTCGGGACAGGCTTGAGCGGCGGGGCGCGCTGCCCGGCCGGCGGGGATGCGGGACCGGCTGCCAGACCTGACGGCGGTGAGCGGCAGCCGCGGGTAGCGGTTCAGGCCCGGCCGGGGCGGCGTCTGGAGGGCGGGCGGGGGCTCGGGGCGTCTTGGGCGGGGCTCCGGGAGGGTCCCCAGGGCGGGGATCTCCGGCGTTCTGGGGCGGGGGCTGCGGGCAGGGTCTCAGGGAGTCCTGAGCGGGGACTGCTGGTGGGGTCCCCAGGGCGGGGGTCCCGGGAGTCCTAGGGTGGGGGCTCCGGGCGGGGTCCCCAGGGCTTCCTGGGCGGAGTCCTCAGGGCGGGTTGGGGCAGGAGGAGGGAGCGGGGAAGGTCCCGGCCTCGACCCCCTCTTCGAGCGTGGCTCCCTGTCCGTCACTCCGCTTGGCGGATTGTATCTGGCGCTTACCCAGCCGGAGCCCACTGGCCTAACTGTGGTCCGCCCCACGGGGTCCCCGCAGCTGGCGTCAGCCCCGGGGAGCAGGCCGGGTCCTCTTGGTCGCTGCTTTATCCCTGGGGCTTCACAAAGGACTGTGCACCAAGCGGGAGGCAACAGATGGGTGTGAAATGTGGGCACCTTAGAGTGCTGGGTGCTTGGGGTGGGGCGAGCGCGAACAGCAGCTTGTGTCTGATCTCCCAGTAGTTTGCTTTGGAAACTGGGACCGTGTGTTGACTCTGAACGCACCTTACGCGCCCAGCAGCCGGGCACACAGCAAGTTACTGTTTACTTTAGCAAGGGAAAAGCAGGTCACTAAAAATTTTGGAAGGATTTCGATGCATTCTACACGTGTAAAGGTGACAGGACTGTGCATGGTGCAGTGACAGCGGAATGATAGTGATGGTCGTGCACTTTCCAAGCTTGTCTAACCCAGGACGGCTTAGGCCAGCAGAAGTAGTTATGACTTTTTCCCTTTACAATACAGGTACTAATTCATGCTACGTGTGTGCACAGATAGAGCCTCTGGTCTCTAAATTGTTGGCAGCCTCAGAACAGGGGTGCTAAGGCCCACAGCCCTACGACACCCACTGCATGTAATGAATTATTCTCTCTCCTCTGCTGCTAGAATGGAGCTGTTATGTACCCCCGAGTGGGAGAATAGAGAAAAGAGCCACTTAAATCATTATCTGTGTTCTGTGGTTCAGATGAGGAGCTCTGGTTGAGAAAGGCAATGATTTCATCCTTAGGATCATGGAAATTATGCTTTATATTCATTCCAAGGAAGTTTCTTCACGGTGATTTTTCCTTTTTTATTAATGGACAAATATTCCCTGTGTTCCGCAGATCAATATCATCTTAAACACAGCAAATTATAGTTGTGTTGTCTTGCCCGATGGATTATCTTTCAGTGCCGTGTAGTAGGAGCTCAGGTATTTATTTAATGAAGAAAAGCTGTGGCTCACTCCTGTAATCCCAGCAGTCTGGGAGATCAGGGTGGGGGCATCACTTGAGCCCAGGTATTGGAGACCAGCTTGGGCAACACAGGGAGACACTGTTTCTCGAAAAAAATTAAAAAATTAGCAGGAGGCCAGTCGCAGTGGCTCATGCCTGTAATCCCAGCACTTTGGGAGGCCGAGTTGGGTGGACCACTTGAGGTCAGGAGTTGGAGACTAGCCTGGCCAACATGGCAAAACCCCGTTTCTACTAAAATAGCCGGATGTCATGGCGCACACCTGTAGTCCCAGCTACTCTGGAGGCTGCGGCAGGAGCATCGCTTGAATCCAGGAGGCGGAGGTTGCAGAAAGCCGAGATTGTGCCACTGTACTCCAGTCTGGGCAACAGAAAGAGACTCTGTTTCAGAAAAACCAACAAAACAAAGCACGCACAAAAAAACTATCCAGGTGTGACTCGCACCTGTAGTCCTTGGTACTCAGGAGGCTAAGCTAGGAGGATTCCTTGAGCCCAGGAGATAGAGGCTGCAGTGAGCCATGATTGTGCCATGCCACTGCACTCCCGCCTGGGTGACAGAGTGAGACATTGTCTCATAAAAAAAAAAAAAAAAAGCTCAATGTCATTGAACGTGAGAGCTGTGACTATTTTGGCAAAATACAGCCAAATTTATATGTTGGGGAATCGTGAGAAAGTACGTTTTCTTGGCTTGAATAGCAAAAAGCAAATAAGGCAATTATTTGTCACTCAGTTTCTATATATCCAAACCCTTCCTGAAACAGTAGAACATGTCAATCAGTTTTGTTCTAGAACGGCAGAGCTAGAAGTCAGCTCATCTACTTCAATACCATCCTGCTTTAGACACAGCAGCTGAGCAGTCAGAGAGTATATCCGTGGAAGTTTCCACTCATGGAGTTTCTCATCTTGGGCAAATAATTTTTAAATCTCTCAAAACTTTTTCTTGTACGTGAAATGGGGACAGTGGTATCTCTCTTGTCCACCTCATAGAGGGAGTTATGAAGCATAAAATTATCTAATGTGTGAAGCTCTGGGAGAAGGTGGGAGGGAGCAAGTGCTATGTAATTATAAGTGTGATTAATGTTTACCAGATTTTTTGTTTTTAGGGAGTTATAAAAAGCAGCCTTCTGGCTGGGCACAGTGGCTTTCACTTGTAGTCCCAGCACTTTGGGAGGCTGAGGTGGGCAGATCATTTGAGCTCAGGAGTTCAAGACCAGCCTGGGCAACATGGCAAAACCCTGTCTTTACAAAAAACATACAAAAACTCAGCCAGGTGTAGTGGTGCATGCCTGTGGTTCCAGCTACTCAGGAGGCTGAGGTGGGAAGATTGCTTGAGTCCAGGAGGCGGAGGTTGCAGTGAGCCAAGATTTTGCCACTGCCCTCCAGCCTGGGCAACAGACAGATTGAGACCCTGTCTCAAAAAAAGAGAAAAGAACAACCTTCTCCCTAGTATAAAATAGTAAGTTAAAACTGAATTTGAAGTTTAATAACTTTTAATATTTAAAAACCCATCTTAAAGTTACCAGATACAAGTTTAATTCCCCTCCCCCGCCCCGCCCCAGGAAATGTGTCCTTTCCCAGTAGTTCTTAGAGTAGTTGAATGTGTACTCACAACCGTGCTTGTAAATGGCTGGTGTTTTTTTCTAGGTAAAGTTGAATATTTTGTTGGTTAAAATGCCTCATCAACAATGTCTGATTAACAAAGTATTTGTGATGCTTCCATGAAGTTTCTTTTCTTAGCTGCTGATGCTTGTTCCTGTGAAGAACGTGCCTCTGACAGTTACGTGGACAGGGCTTAAAGAGTAATCTGCTCAATACAATCTGTACTGACAGATGTAGTTTCTAACCAGTGATGCTGTTTTTGAGCAACCAGTCATTTGGGCATAGAAAGTTTGCGTGACTTGGTCCAGATCTCTGACACTCTAAATCCAGAAAGATATTTCTGATTTACAGAAAGTAAAAGACTCGCCCATCCAGCAGGTACTTGAATGTCAGGCCTCTAGCAGATCATGTGCTGGGTGCAGAGAGACACAGCAGTGAACTGAGCGTGGGTGGGGATGCATGCAGCCTGGGAAGGAAGAGTGACCGAGGTGTAATGAAATTCACTGTAGGACGTAAGCAAAATGGAATAGCTATTCTATAAGATAACCACCCCAAACGTATTTTGATTACTTTTTAAAAAAAGTTTATGAACATTGATGTATTTATATTTGATACATATATATGATATATCTATTTATTATAGTGAAGAATAGAGAAACCACACATTTCATCTGTGGGAATTGTTTGCATGATAATAAACAATAAATACACAGTAGCTGTGTGGTGTTCTTAGTAGACCTAAAAGAAATGAGAACGTTATTTTTCATCCTGGTTTCAAGGTGATGAATTGCAAATCTCTTTTTTTTTTCTTTGAGACAGGATCTCACTGTGTCGCCCAGGCTGGAGTGCAGGGGCACGATCATTACTCATTGCACCCTTGACCTCCCAGGCGCAAGCCATCCTCCCGCCTCAGCTTCCTGAGTAGCTAGGACCACAGGCGCGTGCCGCTGCACCCAGCAAACTTCTGTATTTTTTATAGAGATGGGGTTGCGCTGTGTTGCCCAGGCTGGTCTTCAACTCTTGAGCTCAAGCAATCTGCCCACCTTAGGCTCCCAAAGTGCTGGGATTTCAGGCGTGAGCCACCGTGCCTGGCCTGCAAATATAATTTCTTAAAGGGCGGAAAACACTGCTCAGATATTTTTAAAAGTTATTTTTTGACAGCTCATGTTTGTCCACGTAGTGCAGAATGTTGTATAGTGAAGATGCAGGTTCCAATTCATAAAATAAGAAGATTAAAAAACTTCACTGGAACTTAAAATACTAAGAGTTTAATATATGAACATAATTTTATATATGCATATATTTATAGTTTAGAATGTCATAACTTATGCAATCCTGCCAAATTTTTATATTTTGTGTGTTCTCATACAAACAGTTCCTACAGTTGGAGTCTATAGTTTCTCTATTCTTAATTATAATAGGTTTACTCATTTGTATATCTAAACATGTCCTTTAGTTTGAAGAGCAAAATCTATATGTTTTTACAGATTAATCACTTCTTGTTTTTAACTTGAGGTCTATTCTGAATTTAAGGAGTAGCAACTGTAAGAAATAACTGATCCATAGAAGAGCTCCCTAGGAGCCCAGATCTATCGCCTTGTGGTGGCAGGATTTGCTCCTGCCTCCGGACTGATACGCCCCTCCTCCCTGCCCTTGCAGGTGCTGCTCCCTTTGTCTGAACCACTGGACTTCTCCCTCTGCGCCTTCTCTCTTGCCTTGTACCTTTTTTTTTTTTTTTTTTTTTGAGACAGAGTGTCGCTTTCTTGCCCAGGGTGGAGTGCAATGGTGCAATCTCAGTTCACTGCATCCTCCGCCTCTAGGGTTCAAGGAATTCTCCCGCCTCAGCCTCCCATGACACCCAGCTGATTTTTGTATTTTTAGTAGAAGTGGAGTTTCACCACATTGGCCAGGCTGGTCTCGAACTCCCGACCTCAGGTGATCCACCCGCCTCGGCCTCCCAAAGTGCTGGGATTACAGGCGTGAGCCACCACATGTAGCCTTGCACCTTTTTTAGTCTCAGGTTAGGCATCACTGGGAAGCCTTCCTGCCTCCCTTTCCTCGCATGTTCCCACAGATGGCCCATCTTGTCTTGGGGCATTCTGGACACAGATGCAGTCCTGTTTTTTCCTGCACCCTTCCCCCAGTGCTTCAGCCTTTTCAGGACAGATGCATACTGTCATTTGTGCTCTGAAGCCTCAGTATTCTGCATGGTGCCTGATCCAGAGCACCTGCCAGGTATTTATTGAATCAGTCTGTTTCCATTTGAAAATGCCCATGGTAAGAAAAATGTAGATGCCACTGGAATCTGTTGTCTTCAAGGCCTTTTGGTTAAAAGGGACAGAAACCCATCAGCTAAAGCAGAAAAGGGAGATTTATTAAAAGGCAGAATGGGCTGGGTGGGGTGGCTCACGCCTGTAATCCCACTACTTTGGGAGTCCAAGGTGGAAGGATCACTTGAGGTCAGGAGTTCTAGATCAGCCTGGCCAACAGGGGGAAACCTCGTCTCTACTAAAGATGCAAAAATTAATTGGGGGTGGTGGTAGGTGCCTGTAATCTCTGCTATTTGGGAAGCTGAGGTGAGAGAATAGCTGGAACCTGGGAAGTGGAGGTTGCAGTAAGCCAAGATCCTGCCACTGCACTCTAGCCTGGCTAACAGAGTGGGAATCCATCTCAAAAAAAAAAAAAAAAAAGGTAGAGTGATTTCTCCCAGGCTTTGAGGGCACGTAGTACCATCAGCCCTCATGAGGGATGGAGTTAGGACGGAGCGAGCCACTGAGGTCCTTCCTGTCCTTGTGTCGTGGCCGTTTTGTGCTTGCGGGGTCTTAGTCTGTGTGTGTGTCTCTGTTTCCGTTTGTTGACGTTTGTCATTTGTGTGTACTTTCCCACTCTCCTCCCCCTTGTCTGTGTCTGCCCTTCTCTTGCTCTTCATTCATTCATTCACTCGTTTGTTGACCTGGTCATCACTGACTGGCGGCTGGGTGCCAGGCACTGCTGTGGGCAGAATGCCTGGGTTGTGAAAAGACAGAAGTCCTTGCTCTTGTGGAACCTGCAGCTGGGAGATAGACAGCAGCTGAGCAGATGAATCAAGTGTCTTTCGCAATCCTTGCTGTGAAGGAATAAGCAGGGCGAGGGTGTGGGTGTGGCTGCCTTGGCCGGGTGGGTCAGGGGGCCACCCCGTGAGCTGAGCTGTGGATAAGAAAGCGGCTGTGGACAGGGCTGGGGGAGGGTGCCCTGGGTAGAAGGCACAGCAAGTCCAGAGGCCCAGAGTTGGGAACGAAGTCATGCAAGGGACAGAAAGATGCTGTCGGTAGTGAGTGGATGGTCAGCAGTGGGCGGAGGTGAGACGTGAGTGAGCTGAGGAGGTTGGCTGGAGCGAGATCCTGAGGGTTTCTCTTCGTCTCCACGGCCTGGTGTAAGGGGCTGCCCCCGCCCCCAAGTTTAAATGCTCTCTAGTTCACGCTCTCTAGGCTTCATCATGTCAGTTCTGATCCTCATTCCTGGGGCGAGATCATGTGGTGGGCCCTTGGTAGCTCAAGATTAGCCTGGCAGTGTCTCATGTCCATGTGCCATGCTGGGGGCATCCAATTTATTGCAAGTGCTTTGGAGAGCAATTTGGCATTGTTTAGTGAAGCTGAAGACGCTTAAACCCCATGGCTCGGTGGTCCTCTCTCTGCATGTGTGTGTATGTTCCAGAAAACCATCCTGACATGCATGTGCAGCCTTGTAACTGTGGTTCGTTATATTGTTGGTAATGGAAAAATATTAGGCACAATAGGAGCCTGGATGGCTACCTCATGGCTGTTTATATAATGGAGTGTATGCAGCAGTAAGATGAATGTATGAGGTTGAACCATATGGTGTGGTTTCACCTAACACTAGAGCAATATATGCTGAGTGGAGAAATATGAATGTATAGCTGAGAGGAAAAAAAAAAATGATTAAATTGCAGAGGCAGGCCGGGTGTAGTCGCTCATGCCTGTAATACCAGCACGTGGGGAGACCAAGGTGGGAGGATTGGTTGGGCCAAGAAGTTCAAGGCCAGCCTGGGCCACATGGCCAGACCTCATCTCTAAAAAAATATGTGTGCCTGTAGTCCCAGTTACTCAGGAGGCTGAGGCAAAGGGATCACCTGAGCCCAGGAGGTTGAAGCTGTTGTGAACTGTGATCACGCTACTGCACTCCAGCCTGGGTGACAGAGCAAGACCCTGATTCCAAAAAAAAAAAAAAAAAAAAATTGCAGAAGTGTAATACTATTTACATAAAGTCTAAATGCCTGTTAAAAAGTATTTATATAATAATAATGGAAACAAGTGTTAGTAAAAATACAAAAAAATAAAAAAGTATAACATTTTATTATAGGTATAAAAGTGTAATTCACCATACAAAATATGAGAAAGTAGGTTACGTTTAGCACCATATTTACAAACTGGCCCAGAGTCAGCATTTACATATTTATTTATTTGTTTTTTGAGACAAAGTCCCTCTCTATCGCCAGGCTGGAGTGGCACCATCACTGCTCACTACAGCCTCAGTCTCCTGGCTCAAGGGATCCTCACAAGTGTGAGCCACCACGCCTGGCTAATTTTTGTATTTTTTGTACCAAAAATGGGGTATCACCATGTTGCCCAGGCTGGTCTCAAACTCTGGAGCTTAAGTGATCCTCCCAGTTAAGCCTCCCAAAGTGCTGGGATTACAGGCATGAGCTGCCGCACCCGGCCAGCTTTTACCTATGTTTAATTACAAGTATTCTTTTCTTTTTTTACCCAAGTGATTTAATTGTGAAAAGTAAGTCAAAGTATTCTAGCAACAAAGTACTAAAACCACTGTGTATATGTCAAGGTTTATAATTTATTTGCCCACAATTATTATTTGTATGGAAGGTCCTTAGCATGTGTGTGTGAACAACAGGCAGAAGAAAGCCAGGATTCTGTCCAGCTTTGGATTCTGCCATTTGTGGTAGTTCAGCTTCTATTGAATTATAAATGATGATCGTTCCAATGGCAAATTACTCTTCTCTGTTAAATAGTCTCTAAACCAGGAAGCTACCTGCTACCTGTTTCTGACAATAGTATTCACACAGGGAGAGTTGTGATTTTACTATAATGCTACTTTTAAGGAGACTTCTGTTAACATTTAACCGAAATGGAATGTTGATATTTAAATGTTTATCCTGTACTTCGACACTTGGGAAATCAAGTATGTCATATAGAGAGTATTCCCTGGCTTTTAGTAAATGTTTGCCACTAGCAGTTTGGTTATTTACAATAAATACCCTCTCATAATCATGGCTGTTGTACAGCTGTTGCACTATCTCAGCCTGAAAGACTGAACATGGACATTCATTGAAGACAAGAATAATGTAGCTTAGGGATAAAGCCAAAAAGATTGCTTTGGTCATTTTGTTTTGTTTTGTTTTTTTGAATGGAAAAGCAAAGACAGTATTATTGGGTCTGTTTCCTGTTATCTAATCAGTTTTGAGACTTCCAGGTAGAAATAAGACATATAAGTCAAGGCTTAAGAATAAGAAATAAGACAATAGAGGAAACATATTCCAGTCATGTGGATCTTTCCTGGTCTACAGGGAGAGAAACAAATTGTTTACCAGCAAGCGAATGACTTGGAACAAAAATCCGCCCGTGCCGTGGGTTCAGAGTGGAGGAGGATTGACGCCACGCCACTGTGGGGGGTGCATCGCGCAGCATGGGACGGTCACCATGGGAGAGGAGGGTTGAGCCTCTGGTTGTTTACGCCACGCCACTGTGGGGGGTGCATCACACAGCATGGGACGGTCACCATGGGAAAGCAGCTTGCTTTCACAGGGAAGCGTGGCGCTGGGGAGCATTGAGATGGGTGCAGCCTCTTTCCTGGAGCTGCAGGTGCAGCCTCCACAGTAGCATCTGCCTCATGGGATTTGCCTCACGATGGTCTTGTGGTGTGGGGGGTAGGAAGTAGTGGGAAGTGGTGGGTGTCCACCTGAAACAAGACAGGCTGTGGCTTGACCATTGTTGAGCCTGGGTGATGGCGACACTGAGGGCTCACCATAGTATTCCTTCTACTTTTGTATATGTTTACAGTTTCCCAAACAAACAAAAATGAGGTGACTTTGAATCTAGAACCTAAAGTTCCTGGCAGAGCAGGGAGGTGTGAGATGCCCTGAGAGCCATGTGGCACCTCCAGGGTGGGGTGAAGCACTTTTATGGCCCGGGGCTCAGGGCCACAAGGGCCGTCTGCAGCTCACTTTCAGCTCTCCACCCCTCCTCCCCACCCCCTCCATGGGTATTTGGGTGAATGCACAGTCAGTCAATGACTTAAAGCGGTGATGCTTCACTCCATCATTCCTGGCCCTGCGCCTCTGAGACCGCACAGCTGAGAAGACAAGGCAGATAGCCATAGGGAAGCAGTGAGACCCCGTGCCCAGCTAGTGGGATTTAATGCCCAAGTGAGCACTTGGAGACAGGGAGGGAGCAGGCTGTGGGCCCGAGAGGCGGGGCTGGCACGCACAGGGGAGTAGATCCTCTTTCTAAGAGAGGGGGTCCCCCGCAAGGGGAGTCTGTGGGACCTGGCCACCTGGCCTGCATGGCTGGTGGGGCTCCGCAGCACAGCTCCTCCCCGCATCCCATCTTCCCCCAGGGTAGAGTGTGCTTGTTAGAGCAGGGTGTGTGGAATCACAGTCACAGGCCGTTTTCTGCTCTGCCGTCCCTGCGAGTGATCCCTGCACTGTGTTTCAGCCTCCTCACTGGCAACATGGGGACCATAAAATTAATGAGAACATGTGTGTAGAGTATTTCAAATTGCCAACTCTTGTGAGCTGGAAGTAAAGGACGGCTCTTACTCTTTTTAAGAGGGTCAACATGGTAATAGTACAGTTGTTAAGATGGGAAGTTTTGTAAAGTCAGACCTGGCGTCAGCTACTGGTTCGGCACCGCTTAGCTCTGAGACCATAACCATTGAGCATGTGTTCTACTCTGAAATAGCGATGCCAGCACCTGCCTCATGGTGGGGACTAGGGGGTGTGGTACCAGGAAGATTGACAGATAACGCACCTGGTCTGACTCCTGCAGACCCTGGGAACCGACACTCAATATCCTTCAGCCATTCTGTTTTGGTTTTTGGAGTGGTGTGGGATCCTGGAGAAGAGTGTTAAACTATGTGGGTCTATCTTAATGTTAGTTTCTGCTGCTTGTCGGTTGATTGCCATTTTGTCTTTTCTTTTCTTTTCTTTTTTTTTTTTTTGAGACAGAGTCTTGCTCTGTCACCCAGGCTGGAGTGCAGTGGCGCGATCTCGGCTCACTGCAAGCTCCACCTCCCGGGTTCATGCCATTTTCCTGCCTCAGCCTCCCGAGTAGCTGGGACTACAGGTGCCCACTACTGCGCCCGGCTAATTTTTTTTGTATTTTTAGTAGAGACAGGGTTTCACCGTGTTAGCCAGGATGGTCTCAATCTCCTGATCTCGTGATCCACCCGCCTCGGCCTCCCAAAGTTCTGGGATTACAGGTGTGAGCCA
This sequence comes from Homo sapiens, assembly GCF_000001405.40. NCBI lineage: Eukaryota > Metazoa > Chordata > Mammalia > Primates > Hominidae > Homo > Homo sapiens. The sequence continues at coordinate 130,828,596 of NC_000012.12, read as the reverse complement.
CCGCGCCCGGCCCATTTTGTCTTGAAGTGCTGCTTTGCTTAGAATTACGAGTGTACAGGCTGGGCGAAGTGGCTCATGCCTGTAATCCCAGCAATTTGGGAGGGTGAGGCGGGCGGATTGCATGAGCTCAGGAGTTCGAAACCAGCCTGGCCAACATGGTGAAATCCTGTCTCTACTAAAAATACAAAAAAAAAAAAAAAAAAAAGCCGGGTGTGGTGGCAGGTGCATGTAATCCTAGCTATTCAGGAGGTTGGGGCATAAGCATTACTTGAACCCAGAAGGCGGAGGTTGCAGTGAGCCGAGATCCTGCCACTGCACACTCCACACTCCAGCCTGGGCGACAGAGTGAGACTTTGTTTCCAAAAAAAAAGAGTAGGGACTAGAAATAATTTTATTAATAGAAGCCTTTATTGGTTTATATATTAATATTACCCATGAAAGTAGTGTTACCTTATAAAACACTGATAAATATCTTATCCTTAGGGTCTTCTGATGGAGATGGGACAATACTATCTCTATTTCATGGACAAGAGGCAGAGACTGAGACAAGCTAATGGGCTGCTGGGGAGGAGGCTGGAGCCCAGGTCTTCAGCTCCTGATCAATGGTCGTTCTTCTGGGTGGTGCTGGGGTTTGCTTTGTTTTGTTTTGTTTTTAGAGACAGGGTCACTGCAGCCCCAACCTGCCAGGTTCAGGTAGTCCTCCCACCTCAGCCTCCTAAGTAGCTGGGACCACAGGCATGGGCCACTAGGCCCAGCTAAACCTGCCAGGTTCAGGTAGTCCTCCCACCTCAGCCTCCTAAGTAGCTGGGACCACAGGCATGGGCCACTAGGCCCAGCTAATTTTTTGTAGAGACAGGTTTTCACCATGTTGCCCAGGCCGGTCTTGAATTCCTGGACTTAAGCATTCTGCCCCCCTCAGCCTCCTAAAGTGCTGGGATTACAGGCGTGAGCCACTGCGGCTGGCCAGTGTTTTTACTGTTTATGGAAAATATGCAACACCAGCAGTTTCACTTCTTGAGGGTAAAACTGGCCTGTGTTATATTGACTTACATAGTGAGAACTAAATGATTCTAAGCAGCTTAGTTCTGAGAAAGCCACCCCTTGTTTCTCTCCAGGTCTTCCACCTTCTGGCTGCTTCAGCCAGGATCTGTTGTGTTGAAAATGTTGCGGAGTTCAGTTGGAGTAGATAGTGGTGGCTGCTAGTCTGTTACAATTTGGTGCTGTAGTGAGTTGAGATCTTGTGGGTATTGAACTGTTTTTGTATTTCAGTTCGCTATTTGTGCCTACATAAAAATTTTAAAAAACTGAATTTTCCATTTTTCATTGTAGTGTAGGAAGAATGATGATGGAGACACAGTTGTTGTGGTTGAGAAAGATCATTTCATGGATGATTTCTTCCATCAGGTAAGAGCGTTTAATGAAACCCAATCATAGCCTGCCTACCTGTCCTCCCTCCCTCCCCCCACCCCTCCCTCCTTTCTTCCCTCCCTCTCCCTTTCCTCCCCTCCCCTCCCCACCCCTCCCTCCCTCCCTTCCTTTCTTCCTCCCTTCTTTCTTTTTCTTTTTCCTTTTCTTTTTCTTGTTTTTGGAGACAGAGTCTTGCTCTGTTGCCCAGGCTGGAGTGCAGTGGCACAATCTCGGCTCACTGCAACCTCTGCCTCCCAGGTTCAAGTGATTCTCTTGCGTCAGCCTCCCAAGTAGCTGGGACCACAGGTGTGTGCCACCACACCCAGCTAATTCTTTTTTTTTTGCACTTTTAGTAGAGACGGGGTTTCACCATGTTGCCTAGGCTGGTTTCAAACTCCTGAGCTCAGGCAATCCGCCCGCCTCAGCTTCCCAAAGTGCTAGGATGACAGGTGTGAGCCCTTGTGCCTGGTGGCTTTCTTCTTTAAAGATTTATATCAATATGATTGTGCATTTATCATATTTGAAATAATACTTAAGCTAATATTTTTAAAAGTTGTTGTTTGAATTACGTAAGTTCTCTGGAATTTTTAGTATGATCACAATGTTAATAATGAGAAAAATGCAAATCATCGTTCTAATGCAGTCCGGGAGGGAACTGGGTGTGGATGGTGGAGCTGTGCACGTGGCCTCCGCGTGGGTTGGGGCCGGGCCTGCAGCGCCCTCTGCTGGTGGGCGGCCACTTCTCCCACCCGGTGCTGGCTGCTGCAGGAGCACCGCCTCCTTGCAGGCTGCCTTTTGGAGGTCCTGCGGCGCCCCTTAAGAGAGTTTTACAAAGGCCTTCCTGCAAGACTGGCAGTGTCTCAGAACGAGGCCTCCTTGGTTCTTCAGGAAGTGGTGGTTCCGGCAGCAGAGGTGGCGCCTGGCTGTGGGGGCAGGGGTCAGGTGTGCGTGGCTCCCACCAGCACTGCCATCCGTCCACTGGTGGGTGTGAGTCCTGAGGCAAGTGCCTAGAGCAGAGGGCTCAGGGTCTGAAATCGGTGACAGATCAGCTGTATATGAGCTCAGGTAGAAGACTCAGAGGAAAGTCACAGGTGACCCAGTGGCTGATATTTTAAAATGTGGCGGCCTGGCGGTGCTGGGATCCTATCTGAGGTGTGAGGCCTCCCCCTCCTGCTTATCTCCCCAGCTCAGCTCTTGGGCTTAGGCCCTGCTGAAATTCTCAAACCTAAGAATTATCTGATCTAATGTTGCTTAATTTCAAATTTTTGAAATTGAGTCACAGAACAAATATATTGACCTTGTAAAACATGAAGAAACGAAAACACACGTCCAGTGGGTTTTTTAATGACGGAACCTTCATTGCAGGACTCGTCTTGATTATGCTGAGTCTCATGGGATAGTTTCACTCAGCAGCCTCATCTGGCCTAGCAGTGCCTGGATTTGAACATTTTAATAGGTTTATAAAAGCATATGGAAAGTTACTAGTTTTTCAGATTCAGCCAGAATTTCTTGAATATCTCACGTAAGCCTAGTCACTGGTTTTCTAGTATTTGTTAGTTGCTACTGTTATTTAAAGGAAAAAACCATGAGATTAAATTGTTAGCTACAAGGAACTTCCTTTAAGGTATGAAGGAGTTAAGATGCTGGGATTTCCTGATTTCACTTCTTGGAAATGAGACTTTTTAAATTGTCTTTAGCCTTCCTGCCCCCTTTGTCAAATTACTATTTTTCTGATTTTATTCCTTTTACTTGGTTGCTTAACTCTTCCATGTAAGTTCTTTGTAAAAATGTATTTATTTTAAAGAATCTCCTGCCATTAAGTGTTGCATTTAATAGAAAAGTCACATAGTGCAGGCCGGGCCCAGTGGCTCATGCCTGTGCTCCCAGCACTTTGGGAGTCCGAGGTGGGTGGATCACCTGAGGTCAGGAGTTCCAGACCAGCCAGGCCAATGTGCCAAAACCCTGTCTCTACTAAAAATACAAAAATTAGCCAGGCATGATGGCAAGTGCCTGTAATCCCAGCTGCTTGGGAGGCTGTGGTGGGAGAATCGCTGGAACCTGGGAGGCGGAGGTTGCAGTGAGCTGAGATTGTGCCACTGCACCCCGGCTTGGGGCAACAGCTTGGGCGACAAAAAAAAAAAAAAAAAAGAACAGAAAAGTTACATTGTGCAATTCACTGAGTGCCATTAAGCTGTGGTCTTTGTCTATCTGGTGCCAGTCTGTCTTTGCTGCTGGCGTCTCAGGGGCATGTGGGAAACAGGTTACTCGTACTTTAGGAAGGCTTGCCCGGTGCTTGCCTCATTGGGTTCTAACTTAAGCTCAAGCTTTCATTTGTTAAATAGTCAATTTATTTTGCACTTAATTTCTGTGAAATGACTTCCTAGACAAATACAGAAGCAAATAATGTTTGGTAATATAAACTCATTCTGATCTTCAATATCACATAGAAGTTTGCAAGAGAAATGAATTTCACATGGTGAGTGTTTGGTTAACACTAAAACAGTGCTCTGAAGGGTGGCCAGGGAGTCTTGTTTCTGTGAAGATGATTTATAATGGAGCCAAAGGACCCCTGTGCTATGTTATTCCCGGACATAAAATGGTAGCTGGCACCATTCTCTCTCAGTGCCTGTCTAGGTACAGGGTGTATAGCCCTGCGGTCTCCTGTTCCTCTGGAGCCATACGGGGGCTTGGAGTTAGCAGCGGTGTATATTGCAGAACTCTCCAAGAGTTAAAATAATGTTTTTTTCTTTTACTTTCTAACATATGTGTATTACTTTAGAAATGGTAATTTTTCTTTCTTTTTTTGAGACGGAGCCTCGCTCTGTCACCCAGGGTAGAGTGCAGTGGTGTGATCTTGGCTCACTGCAGCCTCCTCCTTCTGGGTTCAAGCAATTCTCTTGTCAGCCTCCTGAGTAGCTGGTGCTACAGGCACACCACCACGCCCGGCTAATTTTGTATTTTTAGTAGAGACGGCATTTTGCCACGCTGGCCAGGCTGGTTTTGAACTTTTGACCTCAAGTGATCTGCCCGCCTTGGCCTCCCAAAATGCTGGGATTACAGGGGTGAGCCACTGCTCCTGGCCTGCATGATTCTTTAATACTTAGACTTTTCAAATCTGGTCCGGGGCTTGGGTTAGGAGTCCCTGGGGTCCCTAAGACCCTTTCAAGAGGATTCTGTGGTCAAAGCTCTTTTCAAAGTAATACTAAGATGATCATTGCCATTTTCATTGTCTTATGACTGCACAATGATGGAGTTTCTCAGAGCCAACACACCAAACCCAGAAATATCTGTGATGATCAGGGTGCTGTCTATTAAGCTGGACATTAGATTTACAAAAAGTGCAAATCACTGCCTCTGTTTCCACCGATTTTTTGGAGATCTATTTTTCACAGAAATGTGTTATTTATGTTGATCCGTGTGTCAGTTTCCTGCTGCTGCTGTAACAAAATCACCGCAATCACTGTGCTTCAACAACACGTTTATCACCTCCTCCTAGTTCCAGGGCCTGGAGAAGCTCAGATGCTGGCAGGGCAGAGCCGCAAGCCTCCTGGAGCTGCCTTCCTCTCCATCTTCCGCAGGCGGCCTGTGTTCTTGGGTTTCCTCCCTCTTGAAAGCCATCACTCCAGCTGCTGTTTTCACAATCAAGTGTCCTTCTTCCAACGTTGGCTCCCTTGCCTCGTCTTATAAGGAATCCTGTGGTTACGTTGGGCCCACCCAGATAATCCAGGGTAGTCTCCCATCTCAAGACTCAATTTGATCACATCTGCAAAGTTCCCTTTGCTATGCAAGGTGACATATTCACAGGCTCTGGGATTAGGGTGTGGATTGTGCCACAACATGTAATGGTTAATAATTACTTCTTCCTTTTTTTGTTTTTAAGAGCAGGGTCTTGCTCTGTTGCCCAGGCTGTAGTGTAGTGGTGCAGTCACAGCTCACTACAGCCTCAACTTCCTGGGCCCAAGTGATCTTCCTGCCTCAGCCTCCTGAGTGGCTGGGACTGCAGGCATGCACCATTGTGCCCGGCTAATTTTCTTTTTTTTTAAAGTTTTTGTAGAGATGGGGGTCTCTCTATGTTGCCCAGGCTAGTCTTGAACTCTTGGCCACAAGTGATCCTTCTGCCTTGGCTCCCAAAGTGCTGGGATTACAGGCATGAGCCACTGTGCCTGGCCTATAATTACTATTTTAAAATGAGGAAGGAGGTAGGAGCTGGCAGCAGAGCATCTTGCTCCAGGGCTCACCTTGCTGCTTCTGTAGCTGGATCTCCATCTACTGCTGTCTTCTAAGAACACTTGCGACTTTAACCCATTTATGCGTAGTGTTCCATTATTGGAACGCTAAGCTTTTGCGAGTTATTTATATCCTACTGCTCAGGGTCATCACCAAGGTCTGATTTTTCACACACACACATTGCAGCCTCTGGCATAAATGGGTTAATGAGGACCAAACTGGAGAATTCAGGATCATTTCCCGTCTCCAGATCCTTAGTTTCGTCACATCTGCAAAGTATCTTTTGCCCTATAAGGTAACTCCCAGGCCCAGGGATCAGGACCTGAACATCTTTGGGGTCATTATTCAGCCTGCCGTAGAGGTTTTTGAAGATAATGTTATGACTCCATCTAGATAAATCTTGCTAATGATATGTTACATTTTGAAACAAATATTGAATTTAAACATTTAGAGGTCAAAGATAATAATTATGAAGCCTTGGCTGTATGAGCTATAGATACCTCCTCCCATAAGAGTATTATTATTATTATTTTCTTCTTTTTTTTTTGAGACAGAGTCTTGCTCTGTTGCCCACGCTGGAGTGCAGTGGTGTGATCTTGGTTCACTGCAACCTCTGCCTCCCGATTCAAGCGATTCTTGAGCCTCAGCTTCCTGAGTAGCTGGGATCACAGGTGTGTGCCACCTCACTTGGCTAATTTTTGTACGTTTAGTAGAGAAGAGGTTTCTCTATGTTGGCCAGGCTGGTCCTGAACTCCTGGCCTCAAGTGATCCGCCTGCCTTGGCCTCCCACAGTGCTGGGATTACAGGTGTGAGCCACTGTGCCTGCATGTTTTATGGGCTTACTTCCTGGTTATACTGAGAATGGGTATTAGTAGTAGTATGCTTCTAATTGGCCCCATCTGTGTCATGCTTGGGACTTGACTAGAAATTTTTACAACCTGATAGGTTTTCCCGGTGAATGTTGATTGGTACTGCTTTAGGTATGAAGGTAGAAATATTCATAGGATATATCTTTATTTTTTAAATTTAACGATACCAGTGTGAGAATGGGAGAGGCTTTTATTTCTTATGTGGTAATTATTTATTTCCCTCCTTTATTCTTCCCCTTTTAGGGGATGAAAAGTGGTCACAGATTTGAGTTTGCCATGCTGTAATGACTCTCTCTCTCTCCTAGGTGGAGGAGATTAGAAACAGTATTGATAAAATAACTCAATATGTTGAAGAAGTAAAGAAAAACCACAGCATCATTCTTTCTGCACCAAACCCGGAAGGAAGTAAGTTGTTGGTTTTCACAACAAAACGTTTGTCTGTCTGTGTGTCCCTCTGGCTGTCTGCGGCACAGGCCTCAACTCTGGCCTCACGGGAGATTCAGGGGAGTTTGTATGAAATGCTGACACCCTAGAGAGTCTGAGGCGTTTGGCCTGGGGCGAGCCAGGGCATCTGTATGTTTTTTTTTTCTTAAAGCTGCCTGTATGATTCTAGTGGTCAGCCAGGGTGAGGCCCACTGATGGATCATGTCCTAAAGAATACACGAAAGTGGCTTCACAGAACTTAGGGGCCAAGATTAGACCACAGTTCAGCAAGACAGCATTTTCTGTTCAGAGGGCAGTGAATCAGGGATTGATTTGGAAAACAGTACTTGTAAGAGCAGAGTGAAATAGGAAGACGCACTGAGGCGACTCTGAAAGTCTTGAGGAGCTTTTGTATGGACTGTGCTGCGCTCAGTGGCTGTGGGGGATGGCACGGAAGAAACGGTTTTCTTTCTTTACCTGTTTATCCAAATTCTCCCTGCCTCACATTTGCTTCCTTTTGAATCTGAGGCACACAGGAGAGTGAAAGGAGCTCAGTGGAAGCAGCTGGAGAACCTGGATTTTTGTCTCAATTTGCTTCCCCGTGGTATTTGCATCTCCTCATTGGGAGAAAAGACATGATTTTAAATTAACTCAGCGTTAGGGGCGTGGGAGCTATAGAGAAGAGAGTTTCATTGCTCTGGAATGATAAATATTGAAAGCTTTACAGGGGACATGGATCTGAGCAAGCCAGAGATTACAAATAGGAGTCCACACATCATGGTGGGGGGAGTTACTATGTTAACAACGTTGAGTCTTTGAATCCATGAAAATGGCCCCTACCTCCACGACACAGGCCGCCTTTAATGCCGGTCTGTGCGGTGCTGTGGGTTCCGAGGAGGGTCGCGCACATCTTTCGTTGTATTTATTCCTAGGTAGTCAATGTTTTGATGTTAATGCAAGTCGTATGTACTTTATTTTTTATTTATCTATTTTTTTTTTTATTTTGAGACGGAGTCTCACTCTGTCACACAGGCTGGAGTGCAGTGGCACAGTCTCGGCTCACTGCAACTTCCGCCTCCCGGGTTCAAGCGATTCTTCTGCCTTGGCCTCCTGAGTAGCTGAGACTACAGGTGCCCACCACCACGCCCAGCTAATTTTTGTATTTTTAGTAGACATGGGATTTCACCATATTGGCCAGGCTGGTCTTGAACTCTTGACTTTTGTGATCCACCTGCCTCGGCCTCCCAAAGTGCTGGGATTTCAGGCATGAGCCACCGTGCCCAGCCGTATCTACTTTAAATGTCATTTTCTCTGTTTGTTGTTGGTATATAGAAATACAATGATTTTTGCATATTGGCCTTGTACCCCTTGCCTAATCAGTTATTAATTCTGATATTCTCTGTAGCTTATGTTGGATTGTCTCTGTACCCAGTCATGTAATTGTGAATAAATAGTGACCGTTTTTTCCTTGCAGCTCTTATGCTTGTTAGTTTTAACTGATTTATTTAGCTGACCTCCAGTACAGTATTGAATAGAAGTGGTGATGGGGGCACATGTATTCTTGGTCTTGGAGGAAAGTTGCCAGCAAATACATTTTTTGTTGGAATATTACTTAGTGTAGCCGTACGTTGAAAAAATAAGAAAGTAGTATTAAATTGAAAAAGTGCATTTTAAAATTTTATGTATCTTGTAAAATAATATTCTGAGCCTCTGTTTATGCCCTCTCAGTGACTCAGAAGTGTGTTTCCCAAAATGTTTCTGGAGCCGCCGTCTCATGAGCTAGTCCGTGCAGCCAGGGTGCTGCCTGCGGCCAGATCTTTCCGGGGACCTCTTCGTGCCGTCGCCCAGCCCCTCTTGGGAAGTTGCAGTACCCGTAGAATAATCAAGGCTCTGAGAAGGCTTCCTAGAAGGAAGCCTGTTTAGCTTTGTTTAGTGTTTCACACATTTATTTGCCCGTAGGACCTTTTATGTAACATCTGTTAACATCATGCTTAATGCTTAGGGAAATTATATTTGAATAAGTATCCGCATTTTTTTTTGAATAATTTACCTCCAAAACATTTTTGCTGCCAAGTCATAGCAGAGAGAACTATTTTTTGAGTAAATTTAGAACTGTTACTGTTTCATGATAGTCCCTTTTGGGCTCTAAAGAAAACCATTGCTTTTTTGTGTTTTGTTTTGTGACAGAGTGTGAACCAAAATGTAGGCAGCAGCCTCCAGCCGCTTCCTTGGTCAGTCTTTAAAAAGCAAAATGCAGTGATTCCTCTCTCCCAGTGATGGGCCCGGGGTAACGCAGAGAGGGACAGGCTCTTGGCCTTCCCGCCTTGTTCCTAAAGGAAGAGGGGAGGGTGGGAGGGAGGAAGGGGGACTACTGTGCTCCGCCTCCCGCGTGTCTCCCTATTCTCGGGCAGGCGCTCTGCTTAGGTCCCGGTGAGCAGGGCGATCCCCGGGCTGCTGCCCTCCCGGAGGTCCCCCGTCAACCTCAGGACCCGGGGCAGGGCTGGGCACGGCGGCCGCCAGGTGGCGCCAGAGGCAGCCGGTCCTGGGCGGGTCCCCGGTCCCAGCACCGCCCGCGCCGCGCCACCTGCAGCCGCGGATCCCAGGGCAGAGAGGTGGACGAAGGACCTTTTACCTGCATTTTTCTTTTTTCACTTTCTACTTTTGTATTATTTCTTTTTTCTTTTGTATTAAAAGAGCGTCTTTGCAAAACGTAGAAATTTCAGGCCCTCCAAGACGCGGATCCAGCCCTGCAGGAGCATGAAGTGTGTGTGATTCTGGTTTGGGTTTTAGTGACGACGAGGCTGGGATTCCCCCTGCAGGACGGCGGGGATTTGATTCGCTCCTGCAGTCAGCCGTCAGCCTGGCTTGCACCCTGTGTTCGGGTGCGGTCGTCCTTGCGGCTGCGCACGCTCCCGTTTTCTCTGCTTCCTGTTCCCTCAGCCGTTCCCTGGGGCTCCGCTCCGAATGCGCTGGGGCAGCGTCTGCACCGTCTGCACCGTCTCCATCGTCTCCATCTCCAGCGCCGCCTGCTCCCGTGCATTCTGTGCTTTTCCGCGGGAAATCAGACTCATGGAGACCCGGCTCCTTGTGCGGAGGCCCCTGAGGCCCTGGAGGAAGCCGCGCCTCTGTGGCTCTGGATTCAGATCCTGTCCCACCGGTTATCCCTGTGTGGCCTTGGACGCATCACTTAACCTCTCCCGGGGCAGTTCCCACACGTGTGAAATGAGCTAGTGGTGGCATCTGCCTTCCAGTGCTGTTGTGATTCTTCCTCCCCCGCCCTCTCCCCCCCACCCTCCAGAGGAGTCTCCCTGTGTCGACCAGGCGAGAGTGCAGCTGCGTGATCTCAGCCCACTGCCACTGCAGGCTCAGCCTCCTGGGCTCAGACAGTCCTCCCACTGCAGCCTCCCGAGTAGCTGGGATTACAGGTTTATGCCACCACGCCCAGATAATTTTATATATATATATATATATATATATATATATATTTTTTTTTTTTTTTTGTAGAAACAGCGTTTCTCACTGTGTTACCCCTCTCCTGTCCCCTCCCCTGCAGGGCATGGGGACAGCTCACGGGGCCTTCTCCCTTCAGAAACGAAGCCGCGCGTACTCCCCGTAAGGAGCTGCGTGGCCAGGCTCCGGCATCCCCTCCCACTGCAGGGCCTTCCTGGGGAGTCTTGGCTCCGGGACCCCTGCCCTGCTTCAGCCCAGCTGCCCCCACCACAGGCTGGGACCACCCCACCCGAGGCCTTCCTGCCCTTGCGGTTCCTCTCCCCTTCCTTCTTACCTCCTTCAGTGAAGATTCGCTATTATCTGAAATTATCCTCAGTTTAGTATTATTCTCGAAGGATATTTTCACTGAGTAGAAGATTCTAGTTTAGAAGTTGTTTTCTTTCACCACTCTGAAGATTTAAAACATATTTTTCCAGTGTCTTTTGGCTTTACTTTTTTTTTTTGTCAGCTAATTAGAGCTTTTAAGATATTTGGTTTTTGGTCTTTGGTTTTAGCAGTTTTACTGTGAAGTTTTGAGATGTGGTTTTCGTTTTCTTTTTCCCTCTTCTTATAAGGCTTCTTGAGTCTTTGGACTGACGTTTTCTGGCTGTGTTTTTGAAAAACTTTGGCCATTACTTCTTCAAGTAGCATCCTTGCTCCGTTTTCTGTCATCTCTCTTTGCGGCTGGAATTGTATGTCTTTAGAGCGTTTCAGTGTATCCTTTCTGTCTCTCCTCTTTTGTTCTCTATTTTTCATCATTTTTTCTCTATATATTTTATTTTGAAAATGTTTTCCCTGACTTATCGTTTGATTTCTCTTCAGCGATTGTCTTTCAGGTCAGGGAATCTTTCTTCATCTATGGAATTATTTTTGGATTGGTTTTAACTCCTAGAATTCCACTTGGTTCCTTTTAATACTGTCCTATTCTCTGACAAAATTTATGATCTTACATTTTATCTCTTTGAATGTAATTGTTTTAACGTCTGTGTCTTGTAACTTTATTAGCTGGTGCCTCTGTGGATGGGTTAGTGTTGTCTCTTTTTGTTGGGTTTTCATTCATGTGTTTTTTTTTTTCTTTGTTTGCCTGGTTATTTTTGATTGAGTTTTGAGCTTTGTATTGGAATTATTTGCAGTAATAATTTGAGTCCTGAATGGTATTTTCTTTTTAAAGAGATGATTTATTTTTATTTCTGGCAGATGGCTAGAAGCACCAGCAATTCTGGATCTAATTTTAGGGATTGAGATGATTTAGACTGAGGCTTCAGCCCCTGCGAGGGCCAGCTTCCCACCTGACTGTTCCTCCTAGGGCATTGTCTCTCCAAGTCAGCACAGTTTTCTCAGCTTCTCTGCAGCTCAGCTGCCTTTTATGGAGTTGGCACATGCCCCCAGGTAAAAGTGGCTGCAAAAGTGGGGCCCATGTCTTTGGGTTTTCTTCTTCTGAGTCTTCTTTCCTGCCTTGTTAGGTTTCTTTTGTTTTTATTTCTTTTTTTAATTATTTTATTTTATTTATTTTCGCACCTTGTTAGGTTTCTAATGGCTTTACACAGATTTAGAAAGAGTATTGTGTCTACCCTTTCTAATTGTTCTCAGCAGCAGGATTGAGCTGAATCACCTAGGCCGCTGGAAGAGGAGGTTCCTGATCCCCGTCTGGTCTCTGATTTGAAATACCACCTTTATCAAATGTGACCTTATGGCCTGCGTCTGCAGCTTGCAGGATCAGACAGGCAGTGCCTCTTTTGTTTTGCTGATGAGTTGCTCAAGCCCCGTGGGCCTGTAGTGGCAGCAAGTTCACTCCGTCATGAGTGCCCCCCACCCCTGCTGTGTAACGGCCAAGGGCTTTCTTTCCCCAGGGGAGTGAGTCCTGCTGTGGCCCGCCAGCTCAAGAGGGAGACTCTCATCCACTGGCAGGCCCAGCTCTCAGATCTTGTGGTTTCTGTGGCTGCGCGGTGGCTCAAGACCGTCTCCCGAGTCTAGTCGTCCTCAGCTGTGCTCAGGCGCTGGCTGGGCCGGACCCCTGCACAAATGCCCTTGCTGTGTGTACGTTTTAGCTTCGACTCCTACACTCAGCCCTCATTCCCCAGGCACAGTGGCCAGGCCTTGGGGGTGTTTGCATCAGCCTCACGCACCACAGGAGCCAGCACCCCTGCCACAAACTATGGACCTGCCACCCTCTTTATTCATAGCAAGTCTCTCTAATTCCTGTCAAATGCCCCATTTTATAAGGCATTTTGTGTTCCCTTTACTATTCTAAAATGAAGTTCATAGATGATATAGCCTACCTACCTCCATGATTTTAAAAAAACATATAATATCCAAACTAATATGAAGGAGACATAAAATGGAAGTAACTTACATATTGAAGTACAAATTGTATTGTGCAGGCTCAGGCACAACACCAGAAAACAAAATTCAGGCGCTTGCCCCCCTACAAACAAGTGCTGTGACTGTCACAGCCAAGGCTGCAAGCTGATGAGGTGCTGTGATTCAGCTGCCGTTAGCAGGCTTCCCTGTGCTTTTCCTGAGGCAGTAGGTGTCACTGAAATAGACTGAAGTACAGCTTTCTCGCCATGCAGAGCGGTGACACGGCAGTTGCATTCCTGAAAATCCACTGGATATTGAAACGATGCAGATGAAAACAGGGCTTATTTGTAAGCTGGAGTCAGGTTCTGGGCTCAGGAAAACAGGTCTTTTCTCCTGCCTGAGTGAGCAGCGTGCATCTGGCAGTTATGCAGGCCAGTGGGTGATGTGCTGATGTAATGAGGTTCGAGGGTGGCACATCTCACACGCGCACGAACACCCCGTCGTCACGCTCAGGAACTACAGGAGGATGGAGGCCAGTTCTTTGTTGTGTGGTGCTGGCTGGTGCCATTCCTGGCTTATGTCTTCTGGATGCCAGTGGCTCTCCCTTTTTTATGATGACTGGAAATACCCCACAAATTTCAGAATACCCCTTGGGGTGGTAGAAAGATTCCCCTGAGAATCTCCCTTTAGAAACATGTTCACAGAGGAGAATCACGAAATGACCCCTTTGTGTCTAGTTTCTCTTTTTTTCTAGTTTCATCCATTATCAGAATAATTTTTCTTTGTTTTTTCTTTTTCTTTCCTTTTTTAAATAGAGATGGCATGTTGCTAGTTGCCCAGGTTGGCCTTAAAGTCCTAGGCTTAAGTGATCCTCCTGCCTCAGCCTCTGAAGTAGCTGGGACTACAGGTGCACGCCACTGTGCCTTGCTTAAAAATAATCTTTTTAGGCTGGATGCAGTGGCTCACGCCTGTAATCCCAGCACTTTGGGAGGCTGAGGTGGGCGGATCTCGAGGTCAGGAGCTCAAGACCAGCCTGGCCAATATGGCGAAACCCCATCTCTACTAAAAATACAAAAATTAGCTGGGTGTGGTGGCGGAGGCCTGTAATCCCAGCTACTTGGGAGGCTGAGGCAGGAGAATCGCTTGAACCCAGGAGGCGGAAGTTGCAACGAGTCGAGATTGTGCCACTGCACTCCAGCCTGGGTGACAAGAGCAAGACTCTGTCTCAAAAAAAAAAAAAAAAAAAAAAAAAAGTCTTTCTAATGCATCTTTGCTGATGCCTTTCTTTGCTGAGAAACCTTCAGTGCTGACTGGTGCCCTCAGTAAAAGCCCCAAACTCAGCTGGGCCTGCACACTCCTGCCCAGGCAGCCTGTAGTTGGCCTCCTCCCACGCCAGTCACTACAGCCCACCGTCCCGCTGCTCTGTGCCATAGACCCTTCTTCTGCCTGGAATGGAAGCCACCAGTCTCTCCACTCCCAGGTCAGATGTCCCCTCCTGTGGGACAGCTGCAGCAGACGCTTCTCCTCCTCGCTGCCCATGGCATTTTGTGAACCCTGTCTCGTCCGTTGTTAGTCTCTGCGTGGCATTGGCGCTTCCTGGGTTTGTCTTGTCTGTTTTTACCGAGTTGTTAGGTCCCTGGCGGTCTTGTTAGCCTCCTTAGATGACACGGGCCTGCACACAGAAAGTACTCAGTAGGTGTCACTGGTGCGTGACCTGTCACCTCTGGAGATCACTCAGTCTCTGATCTGGCTCTGAAACCCTGGACGAGCCAGGCTGCGTCTGATGACTGTAGCTGAGCATGGAAAGAAGACTTAGCACACGCTTGTGTGCAGTGGGTACTCGGGGCACCCTGCGTATGCTCAGCTGAGGGGGTGTCAGGAAGAGAGTGGGCATCTCTGAAAGCTTTCATTCTTGGCCAAGTTGTCTACGGCAGAAACGTTTGCCTTTTCCCCGGCTGATGCGTGTGAGATTGAGTGAGAGAGGCAAGTGCAGGACTCTCTAAAACGACAACAGGACTCCAGAGACGGGGCGGGGGCCTTCCTGTTTCAGCAACTTCTGCCCAAAGGAGAGAGAAACCCCCTTCCCTTCTGGTCACTTCAGCCACTGGACTGGCAAATGTGAGTGTGCGGCATGGAGCAGACATCCTGCCACCCTCCCTGGGCTCTGGGGCAGCTAGGCATGAAAGCAGAGGCTGCTATGACGCCCTGGGTGGCCTTAGGTCTCAGCACTGCCCTGGAGTGTCAGCTCCTGCTCTGCTGGCCTCCCTCCGTGTTAGGAGGCCGGCCCCTGCCTCCATCGCCCCCTGCTTGCAGCCCTGAGTGTCTGAGAAGCCAGGCCAGGGCGACCGGCCCAGCAGCCCTGAAGTGGTGGCTGTGATTATTCGGGCGTTTTGGGGAGACAGCTGACAGCACAAGAGAAAAGCACACACACGGGAGACTTTGTTGAGATCATCGTTACGTCTCCGTTTTCCTTTCCCAGGTCTAGGTGTTAGCAGTGGATTTAGGCAGCAGTTTCATTCATGGGTATAGAGCAGCAAGTCTCAAACTTGTGTCACCTGGAGGGTTTGCTAACTCAGATTGCTGGGCCACTGTCCCCACCTCAGTTTCTGAGTAGGTCCAGGGTGGGCCCCAGGGATTTGTGTTTCTACTAAGCTGCCACCTGATATTTATGAAAGCTGCTGTCTAGGGACCCACCTTGAGAACCACTGGTATAAGCGGTAGTTTTTCTTACAGAAAAAAAGTGAATATTTACTAAGGATACTGTTTCACTTAAATTTATTGGATATCATTTATGTTGGATATTATAGCTCAGATGCTGTATTTTATTTTTTAATTTTAAATTTTTATAGAAATAAAAGAAGAGCTTGAAGATCTGAACAAAGAAATCAAGAAAACTGCGAATAAAATTCGAGCCAAGTTAAAGGGTAAGTTTGAAGTTTTATGTTTAATTATTGATGTTGGGAGTATGGGTATTTGTTATTTTTTTCTTTATTGGTTTTTGTTCTTTTACATTTTTAAAAATTAAAATAGTGACTGCTTTAAAATAAATTATTTGTATGTAATTCAGAGTACTAATTAATATTCAAAAAGGTTATGTGTTTGCTTATAAACTGTTATACTGTTACATTTTTGATGACATTTCAGGCTAAGTTGCAGATGTTTGGGAAGGTGAGTTGCCAGGCTCTTCTTGAATGGACCCTTTAATTGCTCATTTCTTTCAAACTTTCTGTAGAATTTATTCGATGATGTTTGGCATTCCACTTTAGCAGCAGTAGTTTTTTGGGAGGCTTATAGCTTTGTCATGTAAAACAGGGGACTTAAACAGAGGTTGCTTTTTCTCGATTTGGTAGAAAACATGTTGTATTTGATTTTTGCAGAATGGCATCAAGATCAAAAACAATCTCTGTGCAGATGATAAAATACTTTTATTACGGCAGGTTTCAGATGTGTGCAGAAGCAGAGAGAGGCGACCACAAGCCGACCCCCCAGCTCCACAGTTCTCCATGAGCTCCCACCCGCACCCGCTCCCAGACTATTCTGAAGCCCATCCCAGGCATCTGAGATTTCATCAGTGTGTATTTCAAAAACAGAAGCTTCCCCAAAAGCACAACCACAATTATATCTAAACCCAAATTCATTATAATTACTTAATAGTACAGAATATCCAGGCAGAATTTCCCCAGTGGTCTTACGATTTTTTTTTTTTAAACAGTTTGCTTGAATTGAGTCCCAAATAAGGACCAAACCCTGGCTTTTAAAAATGAGATTCTCCCTTCATGATTTTTCTCTCTGCACTTTTTCCTTTGGTTGGTGAAACCAGGTCATTTGTCCTACAGAATCTGCCATGCTGCAGATTTTGCTGATTTTACCTCTGCAGCACATTTAATAGGCTCTGCCGTCCTCTGAATTTGCTGTAGGTTGGTAGTTAAATTCTCCAAGCTTTATCTGATTCAGGTGTTTTTTGTGGGTTTTTAAAATGTAAAGATGCAGCATCTGATTACAGATTTTATGTCCTCATGGTTACGTTAAGATGTTAATGGTGGCCTGGCACGGTGGCTCACGCCTATAATCCCAGCACTTTGGGAGGCCGAGGCGGGTGGATCACAAGGTCAGGAGATCGAGACTTATCCTGGCTAACACGGTGAAACCCCGTCTCTACTAAAAATACAAAAAATTAGCTGGGCGCAGTGGCGGGTGCCTGTAGTCCCAGCTACTCAGGAGGCTGAGGCAGGAGAATGGCGTGAACCCAGGAGGCAGAGCTTGCAGTGAGCCGAGATCACGCCACTGCACTCCAGCCTGGGCGACAGAGCAAGATTCCATCTCAAAAAAAAAAAAAAAAAAAAAGATGTTAATGGTGACATTAACATTTTTTCTTGGCTCTAAGTAAGTTCAGTAAAATTTTAAATAAGATATAACATTCTTTTCTATTCTGTGATATTGTCAAAAATGGATGATTATTTCCAAGATCCATAATTCATTAGAAGTTGCAAGCAGTAATATCCTGATTTTTTTTTTTTTTTTTTGAGACAGAGTCTCACTCTGTCACCCAGGTTGAAGTGCAGTGGCACAATCTCGGCTCACTGCAACCTCCACCTCCTGGACTCAAGCGACTCTCCTGCCTCAGCCTCCTGAGTAGCTGGGACTACAGGCGCCCGCCACCACGCCTGGCTAATTTTTGTATTTTTAGTAGAGATGGGGTTTCGCCATGTTGGCCAGGCTGGTCTCAAACTCCTGACCTCAAATGATCCGCCAGTCTCAGCCTCCCAAAGTGCTGGGATTACAAGCATGAATATCCTGATTTTATTCTTCCTTCTTTGTTTAGTTGCTGGAATAGTTAAAAAGAAACCTTTCCCCTTCAACTCTTGAATTGGGTAGTTTGGAGAATTTAACTATGAGCCCACAGTAAATACAGAGGACAGCAGAGCTTACTGAATGTGTTGCAGGGTGAAATCAGCAAAATGTGCAGTGTGGCAGGTTCTGTAGGACGAATGACCTGGCTTCTCCAACCAAGGGAGCCAAAGCACATTCTGGGTCACAGATCATGGAGGACAGAGAGGATCAGCGTTGGACTCTCTCTCTCTCTGGTATAATTTTCATAGGTCAGTTCCCTGGGGTCCTCCAGAGATGACCAGGGAGAGTCTCTGTTGCTGCTTGTCGTCCATCATCGTGAACACATGGATTTAAACACATCTGATGTTTTCATTGCTGCATTATCCTTAATGCTCAGATGGTCTCTTTGGCTAGTAGGGTGGACTCTTGAGTCCTTTTGGTAGGCCCCTCATTGTCTGTGACAGCCTTTCCACTTTTTGCTGTGACAAAAGTCCCCATGCTCATTTCACCCCTTTCCTCCCTGGGCCTGGCATCAGCCATTTCCCCAGGAAGCCCTGCTCCTGTGTCTGAAGAATGTGATCTAGACACCGAGGTCAGCATGCTGGGGAATGTATTGCTATACATGACGATGACCTGACCATTCTTTCCTAGGCTTTTTCAGTGGACTGGGCTAAGATTTTTTTAAAAGATAAAATGAATCATGATTTGTTACTGAGAATCCAAATTAAATTAAGAATAAAGGAAGGACTAAAAATTTTTTTGAAAGGATTTTTACTTAATAAGGGCAATATTACATCTTTATTTCCTTTCAACTATGCCCCAAATTCTGGTTCTCACTGACACATAATTATTCACTTGCTATTCATAGTACACACACAACAGACTCAAAATAATTATGCCAGCATCTACTGTCAAGAGTATGATTACTTAAAGGTTTATTTTTTATTTTTTGTGTCATTCTTTTTGTCTATAGGTATATCCCACTGGGCTAGATAATCAAATTACTTTTTGTTGTTGTTGTTGTTGTTTGACCTGGGGTCTTGCTGTGCTGGCCAGGCTGGAGTGCAGTGACTGTTCACCAGTGTGATCATAGCGCACTACAGCCTCGAACTCCTAGGCTGAAGTGATCCCCCGAGCACTTGTGACTACAGGTACACGCCACTGTGTCCAGCTACAAATTACTGGGTTTTAAAGTTGCTTTGAATAGTTTTTCCTCTGTGTGTTTATTTTTTTGAGATGGAGTTTCGCTCTTGTCGCCTAGGCTGGAGTGCAATGGCACTATCTCGGCTCACTGCAACCTCCGCCTCCTGAGTTCAAGCAATTCTCCTGCCTCAGCCTCCCGAGTAGCTGGGATTACAGGCACCCGCCACCACACCCAGCTAATTTTTGTATTTGTAGTAGAGACAGGGTTTCACCATGTTGGCCACGCTGGTCTCGAACCCCTGGCCTCAAGTGATCCGCCTGCCTTAGCCTCCCAAAGTGCTAGGATTACAGGCGTGAGCCACTGCACCCGGCTCCTCTGTATGTTTATATCATTAACTTGACTTACTGTTAGGTTTGCTTTATTTTTTCTTTGAAGTTTAGGGATTAATTTTTTTAAATTTAATTTTGCATTAAGTTTTGTGAAGTATTTATGTCATTCTGACGTCAAATATATAAAACATATTCGGAGTCTAGCTTCTTTCTTCATCGTCCCCTTGTTTCTCCTTTCCCTTTAGTGGTACCCAGTTTTAAAGTTTGTTGGTTATGTTTCCATTTTTTTGTATGTGTGTTTTCCATGTATTTGTATATATGTGTGTATATATATCTGTGTGTATCTGTGTATATATGTGTGTATGTATATATATCTGTGTGTATCTACATATACATGTTTCCTCTTGATGGGGTTGGGCGCAGTGGCTCGCACCTGTAATGCCAGCACTTTGGGATGCCAAGGCAGGCGGATCAGTTGAGCTCATGAGTTCGAGACCAGCCTGGGCAACATGGCAAAATCCCGTCTGTACAAAACATACAAAAATTAGCTGGATGTGGTGGCACACGCCTGTAATTCCAGCTACTCGGGAGGCTGCGGTGGGAGGACTGCTTGAGCCTGGGAGGCAGAGGTTGCAGTGAGACGAGATTGTGCCCCTGCACTGCAGCCCGGGTGATAGAGCCAGACCTTGTCTCAGAAAATAATTTCCTATTGAGGGATTGTCTTTTTAGTAGATTGTTTTAGAAGGTCACTTGTTCATTAGCTTTAGTTTTATAAAGATACTTCAAAGATAAGAAATAAAAGGAATTTGAAGTCAGGCTTGGAACATTTTCATTTTTAAATTTGGAAGGTAATTATTTCCTATTTGTTCCTAGCTATTGAACAAAGTTTTGATCAGGATGAGAGTGGGAACCGGACTTCAGTGGATCTTCGGATACGAAGAACCCAGGTTTGCTATCAGCCTCGTTTAGATTAAAGTAATGTCGCAGAATAAGTGTTTTTACTTTCTTCTTGCAGACTCTGAATAATTTCATCTTTACTGTCATGCTTATCCTCATAGTATTTCTGCACAAAAATAATATAGTATTGTAAAACAAAAGTATCTGAGACAGAGGTTTATTTTGCCAAAGTTGAGGACACACTTGGAGAAAAGAAATACAAATTAGAGTAGGATCTGTGGTTTGTGCCTTTCCTGAAGAGGGTTTTGAGGACTTCAGTATTTAAAGGGGAAAGAGCGGGCAGGAGAGGAAGGAGGAAAGGGGAAAAAAAAGAGAAAAAGTGGGGGTAGGCAGCGGGGTGGCCACACTGCTGTGAGGCTTTGCTCAGGGCTCACTGCGTTCACATTTCACATGTGGGAAGAGAGGAGTGGGGGTCGATTCTGCACTCCTCCCGTGCCCAGATCCGCCTCTTACGTGGGCCAGTGTGAGCCTGAGGTGAGGGAGGAGCTATACATGCATTTCTCAGGGTGGGCCGAGGGTGACTTCTAGTCTTGTCTTTGTCCTGTACCTGTGAAGGTAAGCGGCTAATGTACATTGTCAGGGTGAGATTCTGCAGAACTCTGTTTTAGAGTTAGTTTTTGGTGGGGGGGATATGGATTCTGAAAGATTCTGGGACCTACGAGGAATTTCCTTGTGAGCACTTTGTGCAGGAGGCTGCTGGGGCGATGTGCGGCCTTCTGTCACTGCAGCCATCTGTTTGAGAAGAGGAGGGAGGGCAGTGTTTTGCATGACTCAGTTCCCAAGCTTAACTGTCCCTTTGGGATAGTGAGTGTGAGGTCCTGCGATTTTATTTTCCTTTCACAGTATTTATAGAAATCTCTTTATTGTGAAGAAAAATCTATTCGGTCCATCAACAGAGTTCTATTCCAAAGAGTAGGGAATTATCCAAATGATTTTAGTGTTTGTGGTAAGGCCGCCACGTTTTAGTGGTTTGTGGTACTGCCCAGAGGAAGACAGAGCCCTGAGGCCTCGAGGGCACGAGGCGATGAAGCACGCGGGCTCTGGGGTCCGCCTGCCTGGGTCCCCTCATGGGCACAAGGCGATGAAGCACGCAGGCTCTGGGGTCCGCCTGCCTGGGTCCCCTCATGGGCACAAGGCGATGAAGCACGCGGGCTCTGGGGTCCGCTTGCCTGGGTCCCCTCATGGGCACAAGGCGATGAAGCACGCGGGCTCTGGGGTCCACCTGCCTGGGTCCCAGTGCTGATCTGTGTTTATCAGAAAAGCCTGTGACCTTGGGCTAATGACCTCAAAGTCATGGTTTTCTTTAAGTAGGGTTGTGACCGGCATAGTAGGGGTCTTGTAAAAATTAGGTAAGATCATGCATGCAAAGTTCTTAGCACAGATGCTGCCATGGGGACTTTGCCATTGTCATTTTCCATTTGCAGGAGCAGAATAACATGTAGTTTGAGTTTCCAAAATGCATGTCTTGCATGTCACTTTCAGTAGAAGGCATGGCCCTCAGATACGAATGTAGTTTTCCTGTGTTGTTAGCATTCGGTGCTGTCTCGGAAGTTTGTGGAAGCCATGGCGGAGTACAATGAGGCACAGACTCTGTTTCGGGAGCGGAGCAAAGGCCGCATCCAGCGCCAGCTGGAGATAAGTGAGTAATGGAGACTCCGTCTTTGTTAAAATCATGTTTTTCTCCCTTAAGGTCTCACTTCAAATGACTTTAACTTCAGAAAAGGAAATCCATGTCTATTTTCACCAATAGTGTAAAACCCAAAGACCACTCGTAGCTTCCTATGCCGTGAGTCAGGCAAACCTGTTCTTCCTGTCTTCAGGAAGTCCTAAGCGGTGGGGTTTACCTTGCTCATTGCTGTTGCTTTTAGAGTTTCAGGGAGATTGGGAGAGTGCTCAGTCATTTCCTCTTTGAGTGTTTCTGTGTCCTCAGTCCCGCCCTGCCCTGGTTCGGGGGCATCTTCATGGCTCCTCACATCTCTCCTTGTCTGTGAGCAGAGGCAGCGGCCCTATTGCCCCAGACTCTTTTCAGGGGTGTCTATGGGGACAGTTGGCTGTGGCAGTGGAGATGGCGCCTTCTTCGGGGACAGACGGGTCTGTTTCAGGGATAAAGGTTGGTCAGGTTTGTAGACTCCCCATTGTGAAAGATTGGGGTTCCCAAGCTCGGGTCCTTCAGCTGTGACACAAACCCACTGTGAGGACGTCCCACTGCAGCTGCTCTGCCTCTCCCCATGAGACTGGGGGCCGTGGACAGCTGCTCATGAGCCTCAGGTTGCCTGCTGTGCTGTGAGTAGGAAATCCCTTTGTCCCTGACCTGGGGCCTTGGACCTTCTGCCGGCCCCCACGGAGCCCTGGCAGGCCAGCGTGTCAGCTCGCAGGTCAGATGAAGCCTCAGGCCCATCCCGGCTCCCAACGCCGCACATCCCCCTCAGAGAATGTTGTCATATGCCCGCCAGGCCGCTTGACCTTGTCCCACAGCTCAGCGAGGCTCCTCATGTTTTAGATACTCTTTTCCAGTGTGTTTGGTTTTGGTCAGTTTCTCTTGCTTGTCTGATCTGCCTTTAACCTCCTCTGGTGTATGTTTCATCGGAGACACTGGTTTCTGTTGCTAGTTCTGCTGGGTGTTTTACATGTCTGCTGTGTTGCTCCCCACTGTACAACTGGGACGCACTTGTAGTAACTTGAACCGTCTTTGTCTGCCAACTCCAGTGTCCTGTCTGCTCTGGTTGGTTGATTTCCTTCCTTTCTGTGGCTTGTGTTTTCCTGCTTCTTTGCGAGCCTGGTAAGTTTCGAGTGTGTGCCAGACATTGTGAACGTTACTTTGTTGGGTGCTGAGTATTTCTGTATTTTGAGTATTTTTGTAAATCTCCTTGGGCTTTGTTTTAGAATGTAGTTAAATCACATGAGCATGGTTTAGCCTTTGGGATCTTGCATTTAGAGGGAGCAGAGCAGCTTTATTTGAGGGCCTGTCATTCCTCACTCCTGAGGTAAGACCCTTCTGAGCACCTGCTCTGATGGCCGTGAACCTCATGGCACCCTCGTCTGCCTGGCAGCGTGTTCCCTCTGGCATGCTGGTCAGCACTCCAGTGAGCATGCGGGGTCTGTGCAGCTCGCTCTCTGCATCTCTCTCATCTCTCATACTCCATCTTGCAAATCCAGTTGCCTTGGTCTCCCCTGAGCTCTGTGCCTTTGCCTTAGGACTTCCCCTGGGCTCCACCTGGGCCCTTTCTGCTCTGTGGCTGACACGAGAGTTCCGTCTGAGGGCAGCAGCAGGCTCACCTGGCTTGTTTCCATCTGTTGGGAATCAGTGTGTGGCCTGATGCTCAGTGTCTTGGAAATCGTTTTGTAGATTTTGGTGGGTTTGTGGTTATTTCAAGTGGCAGGGAAAATACGGTCCCTGTTGCTCCATCCTGGCAGAAATGCTCAATCATGATGTCGACTAGACTGCTTTTCTATGAAAAAGTTTTTACAAACCACTTTGACTTCAGGGATCTGTTAGTACTTTTTAAAGTGAAAGTCATCATTACAGGCAGCCGGTTGCACTGTGAGGATTTATGCTCTGGGACTCTGTGGTGAGCGCTTTTCTAGCACAGAGTTCCCCAGCCTGGGCTTGAAGGCCCCGCACCATCTCTCCTGCAGGTCCATCCTGTCTTCACTCCCCATGTGAATCCGGTGGCGTGATCAGATCGCCTAAGTCTCTTCTCTCTTTCCCACATTATTCTATCTCAGCCCACAGAATTCATTTCCAGTTTCTTCTCTTGCAATCATACTCTATCGAATGCAGTACTGTTTGTGAAAGTGTCTTATAAGCAATGAAGTATCATATACGTGTTGGGAGTTTTTTTTAGTAATTCCTTTAAGTCTGTTAAATTCTAAACCCTCCATGTGGCTATTCCGAAGTGAGCAGGTCTATGCAAACTCACCCCCAAAGGCTGAGCGAGCTGAGACGCCAAAGAAAGAGGCTAACAAATCCAGTTTCTCGAAGGAAACATTGGCTAGGGACGTACGAACAGAAGCCCCCGAGAGACAGAGACGGTGGACCCCACAGCCGCCTGCCCTCAGAAAGTGTTCTTTATACAGCAGGCTTTCAGGGTAGAACGTGTGCAGCCGGCCCTGTCTTCTGACTTGCTTGACAACACTTGGGACCACTGGTCAGGCTGGATGAGCATCTTGATGAGAGGTTGCCTGTGCCGGAGGCATCGTCTTCAGACCTCATTGCAGAACAGCTTGGCATGCACGAGTCGAGCATCGGTCATCACGGTGGTTTTGCTTCAGGATGGCGTCACTCTGGCCACACAGCGGGCTGTCTTCATACAGTGGTCTTCTCCAAATCCTTGCACCTAAAACCATTTTGTCCCCTTTCTTTCTTCCTTCCGTCAGCCCTGTCATCAGGCAGGTTTCTTACCTTGTATCACAGGATATCTTTTCCTGTGCTGTATGCTTTGTTTCTTCAAATGGCAAGTGAGTTTCTTCTTGGACCAGGGCATGTTACATAGGTCCACAGTGCTTTCTCTGGAATGGTTGGGGCTGTATGTGTTTCAGAGTTCAGAATTTTTCAGATTTTAGGAAGATAGTACAATGTATAAGAGGTGTATTATGTAATCCCCAGGTGGGGTCTAGGACTGCACCCTGTAATCAGGCACATTCACACAGCTCTCCAGTGAAATGTGAGTATTCACAGTAAGGGGGAGGAGTTAAGATTATAAATAGCCATGACTCAGTTTAGGTCAGATTTTGCCGCTCATTGAATTTTGACATCGAGCTTAAGGAAAACCCAGTTTTCATAATGTTGTGGATTTCAGCATTCTGGATAAGGAATTACGAATGTATACTGCATTTCACATTCTGTAACCCCAGGCTGTTTCTTAGACTTAGCAGTTAGCCGGTGGGAAGACCTTTGTGAACGTGAGACATGAACTGTAACTTTTAGTTTGTTTTTTTTTTTTTTTTTTTTTTTGAGAGAGAGCCTCACGCTGTCACCCAGGCTGGAGTGCAGTGTTGTGATAACCACTTATTGTGGCCTTGAACTCCTGGATCCAAGGGATCCTCCCACCTCAGCCTCTCGAGTAGCTGGGACCACAGAAGCACACCACCATACCTGGCTAATTTTATTTTTTGTAGAGACGAGGTTTTCACTATGTTGCCCAAGCTGAAATTTCTAGTTTTGATGATTATATTTTACATTATTTAGAACAAGTTTCATGTTTTTAAAAAAGCAAAGCAAAACTCAGAGAATCTCCTTATTGAGCTATTTTGAATAGATTTTTAAGTTTTATTTTATTTTTTGTAGAGATAGGGTCTTGCTGTGTTGCCCAGGCTAGTCTCAAACTCCTAGCCTCAAGCAATCCTTCCACCTTGGTCTCCCAAAGCACTGGGATTATACATGTAAACCACCATGTGTGCTCTCAAATAGATTTTTAAATGATTGAGAATTACCTCCCAAAAAATAGTGTAAGTAAACAAATTTTGCAATTTACTAACTTTAAAACTTTTTTCATTAAATGACATCTCAACAACTTTATTGAGAAGTAAATCTCTTAATATGTGAATGATATTTGGAGCATACAATTAATTCAGTGGTTTTTGGTGTATTTCCACACACAATCAATTTAAAACACTTTTATCAACCCAAAAAGAAACTTCACACCCACCACCAGTCATTCCCCATTTCCTCTCCTAGCCCAAGACAACTGCATTCTACTTTTTACTCCTGTACATTTTCCCATTTTGGATGTTTCATATAAATGGAATTATACACTATGTGTTCTGTGACTGACTTCTTTCCTGTAACACAGTTTTTCCAAGGTTTCACCATGGGGTGGGCAGGGTGTGGTGGCTCACATGTATACTAATCCCAGCGTGTTGGTTGGGAAGCCAAGGTGGAAGGATCGCTTGAGGCCAGGAGTTCAAGACCAGCTTGACAACATAGCAAAACCCCATCTCTGTAAAAAAAAATAAAAATAAACCAGGCATGGGTGTGTGCCTATAATCACAGTCACTTGGGAGGCTGGAGCAGGAGGATTGCTTGAGCCTAGGAGGTCAAAGCGGCAGTGAGCTGAGATTGCACCACTACACTCCAGTCTGGGTGACAGAGTGAGACCGTATCTTTGTTAAAAAAATAAAAAGGGCTGGGTACGGTGGCTCACACCTGCAATCCGAGCACTTTGGGAGGCTGAGGTGGGCAGATCACTTGAGGTCAGGAGTTCGAGACCAGCCTGGCCAAAATGGTGAAACCCCACCTCTACTAAAAATACAAAAATTAGCCGGGCGTGGTGACGCACGCGTGTAGTCCCCACCACTCAGGGGTCAGAGGCATGAGAATTGCTTGAACCCGGGAGGAAGAGGTTGCAGTGAGCTGCGACGGTGCCCCTGCACTCCAGGCTGGGCGACAGAGTGAGACCCTGTCTCAAAAAACAAAGCGACAAAAACCAAAAGCGTCCTTTGTTTTTGTGGCTGAGTCGTATGTCAGTGTGCAGCTAGACCGCAGTTAGCTCCTTCAGGCATCGGGGGACGGACGTTTGCGTTGTTTCCACTTTTTGGCAATTATGAATAATGCTGCTTATTAGATGACATTTGAATTATGACATTTATTCATTTACTTTTGTCTTCTGTGGCACAAACTATGAAAAATAGTAATTAACAATTAGGTTTCCAAAACCTGTGTACATGTTTCTTCGAAGTCATTACACATTTAACTCAAAAGGAAAGCATTAACTTCCAAACATGGAAAGTGTTCAGGCATCTGACTCTCATTACGTGGACTTTATTGATCCTCATTTAATACATGCTACATTCAGCTCAACCCCCTTTTACATGAGGCGGAGTTAAACTCTTAGGGAAACCAGTGTGCCGAGACATTGTTTACCGATTTCCTTTCTGCAGTTGTTTCTCACTAATATTAAAATGAAATTTTATTGTTTATAACATTTACAAAGTTTCTCGGAGTATTTTTATTTCTTCTTGCTCCTCAATCTTAGGTTCACTTCTCATTGTCAATATCTGCTTAAGAAAAGGTTAAAAAAATTACTGAAAAATGCTAACAACTATGATTGTAGTTGCTAACTTATGGTTGCAAATGGCTTTGTTTTTAAATTGTGCTGCATTCTGAGTGGGGCTGTGGTTGCGGGTCTTTCAGCTGGGAGAACCACCACAGACGACGAGCTAGAAGAGATGCTGGAGAGCGGGAAGCCATCCATCTTCACTTCCGACGTGAGTGGGGGTGCGGCCCTGTGGCTCCATGTCCTCTTCTGTAGACAGAGCTTTTTAAAAACCCTTTAACTTCCAAACCCATCATAAGTTTATTAATATTATCTTTTATTTTTGTTTTTCCAAGATTATATCAGATTCACAAATTACTAGACAAGCTCTCAATGAAATCGAGTCACGTCACAAGGACATCATGAAGCTGGAGACCAGCATCCGAGAGTTGCATGAGATGTTCATGGACATGGCTATGTTTGTGGAGACTCAGGTAGTTACAGACTCTTGCATTCTCCAAGAGAGATATCAGTCATGTGTAAAATCTTACTGCATCCCACTCTGTCTAGTGGATGTATCTAGGAAAGCTGTTATTTTGGATCCACCAAATTCAGGTTAATTGCAGTGTTATATGTGATGCTGAAATGCTGGAAGCAGCTTTAACAGTTGAACTGTTAACAGGAAGGGACTGGTTCAGTTGATTAAATTATGGAGTGTTCATAGGTCAGCCTTTTAGGCAACCATAGGCAACCTAAACTTTGTTCATGGAGAATTCTTACTGAAATATGCAGATGTTTGTGCTAGAATTAAGAGAAAAGGGAGATACAAAGATCTTCTGTGTATGCCCGTACATATGTATGAGTACATAAACACAAACACATGGCACGAGCTTGGCTCCATAAAACAGTATCCACAGAAGGAAAGGCGTATATCAAACAGTGTAATGGCAGTGAGACTATGGGAATTTTAATCTTCTCTAAAAGTATTTATTTTCAGATTTTCTATAAGAAGCATATATTACAGTAATAACTAGGAGAAATGTCTGAAAGAATCAACCCCAAGTGGGGATACAATCTATGACACAGATGCAAGCTTGTGCCTGTTACACGGGGTTTCCCATCTGCCCAGTAACACAGATAGGGAGTGAAAGCAGGTGTGGAAAGGCCCTTCTGAGTGAACCGAAGAGTTAATGCAATTCTTAATAAATAGAAAACTCCTCTGGGAGGCTGAGGTGGGAGGATTGTTTATGCCCATGAGTTCAAGGCTGTGGTGAGCTATGATCATGCCACTACACTCCAGCCTGGGTGACAGAGTGAGACCCTGTCTCCAAAAAAAAAAAAAAAAAATACACACATATATATGTATGTATGTATATATTGAACTCTCCATGTAAAGTACGGGATGGATCACAGATCACATGCTCTGTGATGTGCATGGGTATGTTCACACTCGCTCTTTGTCTTTGAATAAGGTCTTCTCGTTATTTTTCAAATACCATGGAGATAAGACTCTGTTGCTGGTTAGGATTCAGCTGACCACCAGGTGAAGCGGAAGCATTTATATCAAACCATCCTAAGTAAATGGTTTCCTCACTTGTCCTGAGCCTGGTTTCGGATCTGTTTTGGCTGGAGTCATCCCCTAAGTAGGTTCACATCTGATGGGCTTATTTTCTGAGACTGCCTGGATTGTGTAAGGATAGGAATCCATCCACACACAGGATTGTTCCTGCCTGCTTCAGCAACCTTGTTAAGAAACACTGTATTTTGAAGAACTTTATAATGAGAATGTGTGTGAAAAACTCAGGCACCATGCCTATTTTTTTTTTTTTTTTTGAGACAGGGTCTTGCTCTGTTGCCCAGGTTGGAGTGCAGTGGTACAATCTTGGCTCACTGCAACCTCTGCCTCCTGGGCTCAAGCAGTTCTCCTACCTCAGCCTCCCGAGTAGCTGGGACCACAGGTTTGCACCACTACGCCCGGCTAATGTTTGTATGTATAAGCATTTGCTAGAGGAAACCAACAGCTACACAGAGGGCAGGGATGGGACGATCTTACTCCTTTTTGATTTTGGGGGCCCCGTTGCCATTCATTATATGGTAAGTGGAGTGTGGGGAGTCTGATTACCATTGGTTACTTATTTCCAGGAAGCATTCCAAAGGAAACCAGCTGGACAGAAAGAACGAGAGATGATTTCTGTAATTACTAAAGCTTTTGTAGTACCTTAGACTTCAATTGTAATTGCTCTATACCAAATGCATTGCATTAAGCTCCGTTAGAAAAATGGCTGCATCCCTGGCTTTGTTTCACTGTTTCCTTTTAGAAGTCTGTTGGTATTGCATTATATTGACTCATCTAATGCAAATGTGTGCATAGTCAGAGATTACTAGTAAGTTGAAGTTTGTGACTGAGTGAGTTAACTCTCCGTCATTCTTCAATGCTTTACGATTCACTGCTGCAGGTTGTGTCTGGACAGACAACCAGGTAATACGTTACCTCCCTCACACTTTGCTGAATTCACCTCTGTTTACATTTTGCTCATTAATGTAGTCAGCTGAGTGTCAGATGTGAGCTATGCTCAGTTTACTGATTTAAAGAAGTAGTTACAATTTTCTACTTTGTGGAAAAGATGTCATTCTTTGTATATTGTCTGTCTGTGCATAATGGTAAAATACTAGTTCAACCAAAAGCTGGCTGCCTCCCTTCACCCTGCCCATCTGTCGAAAGTGTCTGCGTGTTAAAGGTATCTCAGAATTGACTTGAGGTGCCTTTAATTATCAACATGGTGGCCCATTCCTTTTCATTCTTTTTAAAATATAAATTGAGTTTTGATTGCTTTGCACTGGCACATGTATAATGGCCTCATCTTTTATCTTTCTGTAAATGTGAAAAAAACCCTCAGTATCCATTACATGCACATCGTGTTTATATAAAACCTTTGTTCTATGGTTGTCTTAAAGATACATGATTAAGCCATTTGAAAATGTCTTCTAAGTTTGAAACTTTTTGTTTTAAGGGTGAAATGATCAACAACATAGAAAGAAATGTTATGAATGCCACAGACTATGTAGAACACGCTAAAGAAGAAACAAAAAAAGCTATCAAATATCAGAGCAAGGCAAGAAGGGTGAGTTTGGCTTCGAAGAATTAAGCTGCGTTTTTCTCTTCATTTGGTTTCAAGTTGTAATACATTGATGTAAGCCTGCCTAAAAGGTATTCCAAGAAATAATTAATTAATAAATGTTTTATTTTAAAATGGAAATAATTTTTTTTGCTAAAAATTTAAAAGGTTTATTAGATGAATTATTTGTAGTTCATCTTTTGTGTTCTAAGTAATTGAAACCCTAGGGCTGGGTGTGGTGGCACGCCTGTAATCCCAGCACTTTTTTTTTTTTTTTTTTGAATTGGAGTTTCGCTCTTGTTGCCCAGGCTAGTAGAGTGCAATGGAGTGATCTTGGCTCACTGCAACCTCCACCTCCCGGGTTCAAGTGATTCTCCTGCCTCAGTCTCCTGAGTAGCAGGGATTACAGGCACCCGCCACCATGCCAGGCTAATTTTGTATTTTCAGTAGAGAGAGGGTTTCACCATGTTGGCCAGGCTGGTCTTGAACTCGTGACCTCAAGTGATCCGCCCATCTCGGCCTTCCAAAGTGCTGGGATTACAGGCGTGAGGCACGGTGCCTGGCACCAAATTGTTGGCTACACATTTGATGCAGTGAACATTTATTTTTAATTTAGGTTATTCGTGACTTCTTGGTTTGGAGGAAAGAAGAGAATTATTTGAGACCGTGGACCTGCAGTCTTAGGTAGCACCCACTTAAAGGGATCCTCAAAAGAAGGGAACCCCTTTCACTCAAGATGCACAGACTTTGCATTAAAAAGGGTTCAGGGAACCCTGTGTGATTTTTTTGTTACGGGGCAAAAATTTAAAACTTACTCTCCTAACTTAGGCATTTTATGATAGTGCCCCTGACACTGGAGAGATTATGGGTTTTTCACATTGTCACCTCCTTGTGCTAATACACAGAGATGCTGATTTTCACCGTGTTAGGAAAAAATGGAGTGAGACGGTGTGTGTGGATGCACCTCCAGGCGATGGCCCTGAGACGCACCCCCGGGCTGCAGGCTCAGCCGCCAGGGCACACCCTCACTCACACCCCCGGGCTGCAGGCTCAGCCGCCAGGGCACACCCTCCGCTTTTCCTGGGTATGTCTAAGTATGCTCGTCATCTCTGAAATGCCAGACATGGTTTCTCATGTTATTTCATTTATTGCTTTGAAAAAATTGGCCCCTAATGTAAACTGAGGTGAAGAGATACCTGTATAAAGTGCTTAACTTAGTTCCAGGCCTAAGTCAGCTTTCATTAAAAACAGGCAGTCCTGTTCCTTTTCTCCATGACCTGAACACGTCAGTCTGGTGAAAACGATAGTGAAAGTTCGTTGGTTTTACAAAGGGGGAAGGTGGTGGGTGTGATACGTTTTCATTCTCCTCTGTGGATGAGCAAGCCTGGCTCTGTGAGGTGCTTGGGGTCTGTGCGGTAGCTGGCGTATAAACTCGTCAGAGACGTGATGCCTGTTTCAGAAATGACACTGTCTTTTTGATGAGATGCCTGCTAATGGAACCCTCCTGGCTTGTCTCCCTGTCCCCTTGCCGCTCAAATGCTTTGCTGCTGCCCCTGGCTCAGGTGTGGGTCGTCCCCACTCCTAGTGTCCTGCATTTATTCCCGCGGAGCCATGTGGCCCTCAGAGGGAGGCCAGGCAACGTTTGTAGAAGGGTTTTTTTTTTCTGTGTGCTATGTCAGGAGCAGTGAAGAAGTAACTGCCAAGAACATAAAAGAAGGAGCGAAAGGCCAAGTACTGAGTGTGTCGGGGCTTCATGACGAGGCAGTGGGGCTCTCCGTCACTGAGCTAGCAGGCCCGCACCTCTGTACATGCGGAAAACTAACTGCATGTCTCAGTCATCAGAAATGTGGCAAAATGACTTGGTCGTGCTGTCCCCATGGATGAAACCTGAAATAACAGTTACATAGCAGCTTATCGCCAAGTAGTCTGACCTTATTAAGTCACTCTCTCAAGAAGTCGCCCAACAGTATTAAGCAGTGTCCTGTAACTTAGCTTCTAAAGTGAGTTCTGATGGGTTGTTTTGCTTTATTTTATTTTATTTTTTTGAGATGGAGTCTTGCTCTGTTGCCCAGGCTGGAGTGCAGTGACACGATCCTGGCTCTCTGCAACCTCTGCCTCCTGGGTTCAAGTGATTCTCCTGCCACAGCCTCCTGAGTAGCTGGGATTGCAGACCCACGCCCGGCTGGTTTTTGTATTTTTAGTAGAGACAGGGTTTCGCCATGTTGGCCAGGCTGGTCTCAAACTCCTGACCTCAGGTGATCCATCCGCCTCGGACTCCCAAAGTGCTGAGATTACAGGCGTGAGCCACCACACCTGGCCAGGTCGTTTTATTTTAAATGAAGGATGTCTTTTAATGTGGCAATATGAAATTAACCATGCATGATATAATCAGCTTGCTTTTCTTTGACAGAAAAAGTGGATAATTATTGCTGTGTCAGTGGTTCTGGTTGCCATAATCGCTCTAATTATTGGCTTGTCAGTTGGCAAATGATGGTGTGGATAACGTCAGTGTGCATGCCTCTCTGCCAGGGTGGGAGTAAGTAACTCATCAACTAATTTACTTATTAACTTTTGCAATTAACCAATAATAGTATTTGCTTAATTGTAATAGACATAAAACTAATAAAAGCTTGCCAGCCACGCAGTACAGATAATGCCATCTAGTGATACATCTGCCTGTGTGCTGATTCGAGTGCCCAGCCACTGTGTTTACTGAGAACAAGCACAGGCTGGGCGGTAACTCATTTTTAAACCAAGGTCACCTTCTTATCCCGTTTTTAAAAGTGTTTTTGAGACAGGGTCTAGCTGTGTCACCCAGGCTGGAATGCAGTGGCGTGATCATGGCTCACTGCAGCCTCGACCTCCTGGGCTAAAACTGTCCTCCTACCTCAGCCTCCCGAGTAGCTGGGACTACAGACGTGCACCAGCACACTCGGCTAATTTTTAAAAAAATTATTTTTAGTAGAGACGAGAACTCTCTGTATTGCCCAGGCTGGTCTCGAATTCCTGGCCCTCAGCCTCCCAAAGTGCTGGGATTATACATAGACATGAGCCACTGTACTCAGCCTGAATCTTTTGTTTTTGATCTAAGACCATTAGCTCTTTACATGTAGTGGATCCTTCATTAAATGTCATAGAAATTCAGTGAAGATTAATTCTCAGTTGTAATGTTTTGTCTCCTGAGTTTTAGCTTTTAGAGTAATTGCAACACTGAAAGGTACTTTATAAAATACACTAACGCATCATTTTACTATGGAATCGAGGGCATGGATGAACGCTGAGAAAAACATTGACTGAAAGGAACATCCTTCGACCTTTCTATAGGCAGCATCTATTTTATTTAAAAATATTTCCTTTAATATTAAAAGGAAAATTACGTATTATATTTAGTTAGCATGCCTGTTAATTCTTAAAGAATTCTGAATATAAAAGGTATCAGTTTATTTAAAGAATCAAGGTGTGAGTGTCACCTTTCCTAAACTTCAGCAGGCTTTGTGGTTTCCCCCTGGTTTTCTTCTGCATTGGGAGCCATCCTTGCACTGGCCCTGAAGTGGCAATGCTGTCGGTGTGTTACAGGTGGACACAGCAGTGATTTCTCTGTAAATGTTTGGCACAATTCTTGTATTAGACAGTTGTGAACTGTTCCCAGGTGTCTAGAGTGTGGCAAGTCATCCCCAATGAATTTATTCTTGGGTTATGGAAGTGACTGCAGACTTGATAGTCACCCAAGGCTTTTTAAAAAGTTAACATACAGCAGAAAGGAATCACGAGCATGGTTAAGTCTCACTATTGCTTTGTAATCTTTAAGATTTATTCCTTCAACATGGCAACACCCTGTCTCTACAGAAAAAAAAAAATCCAAAAACTAATTGGGCATGGTGGCACACGTGCCTATAGTCCCAGCTACGCCAGAGGCCGAGGCAGGAGGATCACCTGAGCCTGGGGAGGTCGAGGCTAGAGTGAGTCTAGATCGCACCACGGCACTCCAGCCTGGGTGACAGAGCGAGACCATCTCAAAACAAGAGATTGATATCTTAATGTGAGCATCTGTTACGCTCACCATGCAGTTACCAGATGAGAAGTTTTCCAGTTAGTCTTCTGACATTTATGCAAAAGCCACAAAATTACACCTGAAATTACTCTGTAAGGAGCTCTGGGATGCTGCGTGTGTTAACATTCCATTATTTGGCAGTCAGAACTCTCTTACCGTCTATTTTTATTAGGCAGGATGTTTGTGTAGGATGTTTATTAGGCAAGATGTTCTATTTTTTTCTTCTTAGCTTTGCTGAAAATATTGTACGTGATTTTTCTTCATTGTTATAGTAGTATTTTTCAATATTTTCATGATTCTAACATGTACTTTCTGAGTTTTTTCCTAGTAGCTATAATATGGTTAGTTTAATGTGGTTACACTAAAGATAAAATTACAATTTGTAGCGCGGACACAGTGAAATGCGCGACTTTTCATGGGCACTACTTGGCATTAAGGTTGACTAAAAGAAGGCTCCTCTCAGTGTGACCCCTGGGGAGTGGGGCTTGAAGTCCTGTGCCCCGGGCCTGGCTGGCCATTTCACCCTAGTGTCTGTAAATAAGAATGAACATAGAAGGATCCTCATTCATAAAAAGCAGACCAAAATGAATACCAGCAGTTATCTTTGCATAGGAAGGCAGTGGTTAATGTCCTTAACTTCACTTTTAAAATATTAACATAGCCTTTCATCCTTTAGCAATTGGCCTTCCTGGGGCTGGCTGCTGCCCCTCCCTGCAGGGTGTGCCAGGTGCAGGCCTGTCACCCCGGAGCATGGGTGGGATGGGCTGCTTTAAGGAGACAGGTGGAGTCTTACAGGTATTCGGTGAGAGGGCCCTGGCCCAGACCTGGAGCTGGACTCCCCAGGGTGTACCCTTTCCACTCTCGCTGTCACCAGGAGATTAGATGACTCCTGAGTCCTGTACCCTAGACTCCATGTAGTTGACAGTCATCCTGAAAGCCAGATGTGGCAGGAAAGTGCACACACATCGAGCACCCAGACACGTGGCAGGCAGCACAACAGCAGCAGGAGATGAGAGCACGCTGCGTGGAGCTGACTCCAGGTGGCCCAGCTGCCAGCACACTCACTTGCTGAGCGGGAGGGCGCGCGCCTCCCTCTGGAGGGAGGGAAGGCATCACAGAGAAAAGGAAGAAGAGGTTTCTCTAGGAAGGTGCTGAGAGTGGGGCGTAGGAGCGCATATAGAGGATGAGAGAGTGGCTGGGGCTTTGCAGGAAATGTGCGTGATGTTAACAGGGAACCAGAGTTTGAGGGAGGGGCCCTCCTGCAGGCAGCTCTCCCCGGTCCTGAGGAGTCACTGGGAGGCTCACCGGGGCCTGCCATGCGCCTCTTGATAACCCTGTATAACTGACTGAGCCGGCAGTCTTGGAACTGTCCAGGCTCAGCAAACAGGATTTCTTAGGTAAAAGCACTCGTACATTTGGAACTGTAATTAAAATGATGGATCTCTGCTGTTCAAAAAGAGAACTCAAAGTCCTACAGCGCGGTGCCTCCTGTTGTGTCTTCCTTTCCTTCCCTCAGACAAGCTTCCTGGAGGAGACTCCATTTATTAAGCCAAAGGTGGTCTCGCTTTGCCTTGTGTGAGGATACTTGTTAATTTTAAAAAAGTTAAATGCTGTGTCGCACCCTGCTTCCAGACCATCAGTGCAGTAGAAGAATGAATGAATGTCTTGTTGATTTCTTACACATTTGTCATATTTAAATGTAAAAAATGGATAAGGCCAGGTGCAGTGGCTCATGCCTGTAATCCCAACACTTCGGAAGGCCAAGGCAGGAAGATCGCTTGAGCCCAAGAATTCGAGACTAGTCTGGGCAACATAGCAAGACCCCATCTCTTAAAAACATATTTTTTAATTAGCTGGGCATGGTGGTGCATGCCTGTCATCCTAGCTCCTTGGGACACTGAGGTGGGAGGATTGCTTGAGTCCAGGAGGATGTGTTTGCAGTGAGCCATGTCTGCACCACTGCTCTCCAGCCTGGGCGACAGAGTGACACCTCCTTTCAGAAAAGAAAGAAAAAATAGGATTTTTCAGCCAACAAGAAATTCGTTTAAAGTTTTACAAATATGTGTAATTCATCCAATTAAAAGCAATCCTGGAGTTTTATTATGATTAAAAGAAAGTGTCGGCCGGGCCTGGTGCCTCACGCCTGTAATCCCAGCATTTTGGGAGGCTGAGGCGGGTGGATCACGAAGTCAAGAGATCGAGACTATCCTGGCCAACATGCTGAAACCCCGTGTCTACTAAAAATACAAAAATTAGCTGGGCGTGGTGGCGGGTTCCTGTAGTCCCAGCTACTCGGGAGGCTGAGGCAGGAGAATCACTTGAACCCGGAAGGCAGAGGTTGCTGTGAGCCAAGATCACATTCTTTTCTATGACATGGAGGAGTCCTTTCTTGATAATGGATGTATTTTTTAAACTATCCCAAATCCCAGAAGGATTAGTTAGCAAATGCCATTGTTGATTTCTTTGATACATTGCAAATTAATGTTTTTCTTTATCTTGCAGAAATTGATGTTCATTATTATTTGTGTAATTGTTTTGCTTGTGATCCTTGGAATTATCCTAGCAACAACATTGTCCTAGCAACCATATCCCAAGAGCCATTTATCCTTGAGACTCAGACCACATCTGCAACCAAATCAGCATCCTGTCATTTCGTGAATGAATCTCAGACGCTGTAACCCGGCATCGAGTGCTGACCTTGTAATGTATGAGTTCACGGAAGAAGCACAACCGAACGTCTTGTTCAGTGACAGCGCCGTAAGCACAGTGGGTGTGATGCGTGACCCTGAATGACACACTACAGAATGTGAGCAGTGTGAGACTTCTCTCACTGGCCTTGAAATAAGAAAATATTGAACATTTTAATATTAAAAATATTTCAGTGTTAACAAATGTGCATGAAGTTTAATTAGGAAGGAATGCTTTATGTTATGAAGGCTTTTTTTTTTTTTTTTGAGACGGAGTCTCGCTTTGTCATCCAGGCTGGAGTGCAGTGGTGCGATCTCAGCTCACTGCAACCTCGGCCTCCCGGGTTCAAGCAATTCTCCTGCCTCAGCCTCCCGAGTAGCTGGGATTACAGGCATGGGCCACCACACCCAGCTAATTTTTTGTGTTTTCTTTTTAGTAGAGACGGGGTTTTACCATGCTGGCCAGGCTGGCCTCAAACTCCTGACCTTGTGATCCACCCACCTCAGCCTCCCAAAGTGCTGGGATTACAGGCGTGAGTCACCGGGCAGGCTGTTCTGAAGCTTTTAGATCTCAGGTCTAAGGCTTCCTTTCCCTCCCTCTCCCAGCTAGTTTGTGCTAATTAAGAGACCTTTTATACTGTTTTATTGCCTGTTTGAAGAAATAATTTTTATCACGTTTTTGTAAGATATCTATAATTTTAAATGTTTATAAATTGTTTAATTTATTAGCATCTTAATGTACCCCATTTTTATATACTGAATGTGGCCTTT
Source organism: Homo sapiens (assembly GCF_000001405.40). NCBI lineage: Eukaryota > Metazoa > Chordata > Mammalia > Primates > Hominidae > Homo > Homo sapiens. Next base: position 130,791,021 of record NC_000012.12, on the reverse strand, counting down.
TGAGTGAAATAGGAAGCTTCATGGTGTTGGAGCCACCTTTGTACAGTTGTTTAAAGTTTCCCATTGTCACGGAAAACATTGGCTGCAAAGCCCCTCAAAGCCCTCAAGTGCCTTCTGTGAGTTTAAATGTGCTGGTGCCCTCCAGAAAAGCCTCGGCCTCAGCTCCGTTTCCGCCTGTTCCCTCCCCCAGGATAATGAATGGTTACTGCACTGTAAAGACCGTGGTCTCTTTTCACTAAATAGGAGATTCGAGTTTCCCAGTTTACATGAATGAAGTCTGAATTTAAGACGGTGATGAAACTGAGGTTCAGTACTCTCGGGACTCGAGGAAATTATTCCTGAGACATGGAGTAATTCTTACAAATTTAAACTATTGTACAGATCCACATACATGTTGTTAAGTACCTAATGTTTTGCTGAACTTTTAAAAGTTAATTTCCAAAATGTATAGGGATTCATGATAATTAAACCTTTTTATTGCTCATTTTTTTAGTAGAAGAATATCACTTATTTTTAGACTTGTAAAATGTATGAACTGGTGAGCGGACATCTGTTAAGAGAGTCACTAGTCAGAATGTTAAAGGAGTGCATGCAGGATGCCCCAAATGTCGTGAACTCTTGTTACTCCTGTATGTAGTAGTGTAAGCATGTGACTTTTAACACCATTTGGTTTGAAACTAATGTAGAGATGCCTGATTCCAAACAGGTGTGGAGAATATTGAATGGCTCAGAAGCCGCGTCCCTTACTTAACACAATTCCGAATCTCCCTCATCCATGATGCGTCCATTGGATCACTCGCTGGTGGTCACTGTGTGGCAGTTACTAGGGGAATTCTGCCTCTGACTGTTCTTTTTCTTTTGGTCTTTAAACACCCTGTCGTGGGATGTGCTCACTGATTTGTGGCTATGTTGAAGGTATCACTTGTCTTGAGGGTTTTCAATATTTCAGGATCATGCTGGTGGCAAAAGGACTCCACGCCTCTGTGGAATCATGTCCACAGGGGGACCTGCCTCCCGTGATGTCCCACCTTTCCTTCAAGGTCTGTCATATGAGTCCTCCCCTTTTACAACACTTATTATGGTATTTTTCAAGTTATTCTTCTTAGATTTGCAGTACCTACTGAAATTTGTGTTTTTATAGTTGAAGTTAGGAAAATGCTATTTGATTTGTATTTAGATATTTAAGTCACTTGTCCAATGATGTGTATGTCTAAGCCTCATGTACCGATTTGAAGTCAGACTTAAAAATGTATTTACAGATTCACTTGAGACTTTTTAATCGGTTCTTCAAATATTTCATGTTTACATTAAAAATTTCCAGAGAAGCATAAAAGTATTCACTTTCCTGCCTTGTCATTTCTGGAAAGATTTTGGGGAGATATTTTATTGCATATTAATTAATAAATTGTTCTACTAGGAAAATTGCTCTTGTGGCTGTTACTGTGTGTCATGATGTAATTTTTGGAGTATTTGGTGATTTGTTGATGATTAGTGTATATTACAAGCTTCTGTGGTTCACGGCTCAGTTGTCAGTACCATGTATTAAGGGACTTGCTGGAATTCTTGCTGTTTCTAACAGATACCAAGTCAGTGAATTTGGGCTCTATCTCAAAGTCACTCTGTTTGAATTCTTTTGTCAATTTGACACATTCCATTTGTTAATGGGGGGATCTCCCCGCCCCCCACTATGTTCTGAGTTATCCTCTATACTTAATCCTCATTCAGAGTTTTTCTTATTAAGTAGAATTTCTTTACTTCCTCAACTGAATTCTGATCATATTGGAAAGTGACAGTTGAAAACCACTATTGAAAAAAAAGAGAAGATAGAACTGGAGAAAACTAATTCATGGAGACAGAGCCCTAGATGTTAATTTTAATCTATTTCTCTATTTCTCCCAGAATGAATTTCCTTCCAAATCAGTCTTGACGTGTACAGTCAATAATTTATTTATACTTTTTAAAGACACTGTAATCCTATAGTATTTATTGCCTAAATGACTTTTTATGAATGTCTTCAGCAAATCTACACTCACATCCTTTCATGAGTTTAAAAAGTGGATTAAACCGAGGTGGAATTCAAACTGGAAAGGTTGCATGTCCACTAGAGTAGCAGAAAAACCTGGAAAAACTGCTGGCCTCGTGGCGAGTCCCACTCAGCCCCGGGAAGGGGTAGGGCTGGGTCCCCCACACCGTGGCCAGTGCGCAGACCCCTCCTCCCGCCCCTGCCCGCGCTCCCTGACTCCTGCGCTCTGCTAATGCAAACGCGAGTGCCCCAGGCGTGGGTCTGTGGCCGGTGCCTGCACCTGCGGAGTTGCCGAGGTTTTCCTCCCTAGGAGCACTGGCCGGCTCCTTATTTTAGTTGCCACAACAACACTCACTGTTAAAAGCGAGCCCTAAAGGAAAGAACAGACCATACAGGGGCGCACACAGCTTCTCAAATGAATAGAAACCAGGCCCTCGGCGCAGCTGAGGAAGAGCCTAATGCGGATCTTCCTAGTTGGTTTCACATGGAACCAAATGGACCTGGTACCACGCAACCTTTTGTTAAGTTCTGCTTTGAAGATTTTGTTAAAATTCGTATGTGTGCGGTGTGGGAGGGGTGGAGCGTCACACCGGGTTTAAGGCAAGAACATTTAGACATCCAGAGGCAGGAGCCCTCCGGAGACGGGTCTGATTGTCCTGGCGTCAGAGGAGCTATGGAAATGCGCGCCAGGCTCTAAATGACTGGCAGGTGGCAGGCTGTGATGTGGACAGCCCTGTTTCATTGTTTTCCATTTGAGCAGTAAGAGAAATTCAAGGCGGCACTTGGCCCTCCTCTTCTGACTCACAGTCTTTGAACAAGAGAGTGCAGATTCCTAAGCCTGAGAAAACAGGGCCTCTGGCTTCTTGGCAGGGAGAGGTTCCAGAGAGTGCAGGGGAGGCCCTGCCTCCTTGGGTGGGGTGACCTGGGCCTCCTGGGACCTCAGTTCCCTGCCTGTGAAAAAGACGGACGGAGGTAGAGAATCCCAGGGTGCCTTTCCAGGACTAAAGACGGTGCCTTCTTTATGTAAATTCCATCCTTCGCAAGTTCACTGTGGAGCGCTCTCCCGGGGCCCAGTCTCTAGGCGCAGAACACCCAGCCAGGTGGTAGCTCTCCTTTGCAAATTGTACTTTTTAATGTGTCGTTGAGTTTGCTAAAGCAGGTTGCCCTGTGAGTAGAGTACAAGGCTGGTCGTCAGGCGGGGAGAGTGACAATGTTTTGAAATTGTTGAATTTCCTGAGCATGCACCAGGCTCAGTGTCTTGGAGCAGTGCGGGAAGGCTGGTGTTGCGGCGGCCTGAAGAAGCACAGCTGCAGATGCTAACGCAGGCCTGGTGAGCAGGAAGCCGGGGCGTGGCTCAGGCGGAGGGGAGAGGCCGGGGCAGGTCTGGCCCGGCCATGGGGGCCGGGCTCTGAGCTGGAGAGCAAGGTAAGGTCCTAAGCGTCATGTCCGGAGGAGTGGGCAGACAGCGAGGGTTGCACTGAAGTGGCGGGAGACTGGAGCTCTGTGACGGCCTGGGGGTGAGGCCGTGGAGCCCGGGGTGGTGTGGGCAGCGGACTCTCCAGCTGCTTCCTTTCCCCCTGTGTGGCGTGGGCAGCTGGGTCTCTTAGGACTCAAAGCCCCCCCAAAAGCTCATGTCTACAAGCTGGTGTGGCCTCGGGTCAAGTAGGGCCAGGTCCCATGGGACCAAGACATGGCCCATGCAGCTCCCAACATTCCCTGTGTCCTTCCGTGCTCCCACTAGGAATTAGGACCCAGACGCGGAAACACTCAAGTGTAGATCCCTGCCCTGGGCGCGGGTGGCCGGCCCAGTGTGGGGAGGGAGGGCCTCTTTCTCTGGCAGGCCAGCAGCAGGCCTGGAGGGAAGTATTGTCTGCCATTCCTTCGTCGTGTTTGAAAAAGTGCTTTACTGAGGTATAATCTACCATACATTCATCCATCATAACTGTGTAATTATATGATTTTAGTAATTAATAGAATTGTGTAACCACAACCCTCTTTTTTGGGAACATTTCCATCACCCCAAAACTACCGTTACGCCCATTTGCTGTTAATCCCAGCTCCCACCCCGGCGCTAGGCCACCCCCGGCGATGCTTTCTCTCCATCAGTTTGTCTTTTGGACGTTTCATGAAAGTAGGGTCAGGTATGAGAGTCTTCTGCATCTGGCTTCTTTCACTCGCAGCGTCACCGAGGCTGTCCCTTTGAAGCATGCGTGGGTAGTCGGTCCCCTTTTGCTGCTGAGCGTCCTTTATTGTAGGGGGACACTTTGTCCCTTTGCCACCTCACGGACATGGAACTGTTGCCTTTTATTTTATTTTATTTTATTTTATTTTGAGACGGAGTCTCGCTCTGTCGCCCAGGCTGGAGTACAGTGGCGTGATCTCGGCTCACTGCAAGCTCCACCTCCCAGGTTCACACCATTCTCCTGCCTCAGCCTCCCAAGTACCTGGGACCACGCCAGGCTATTTTTTTGTATTTTTGGTAGAGACGGGGTTTCACCGTGTTAGCCAGGATGGTCTTGATCTTCTGACCTCGTGATCCGCCCGCCTCGGACTTCCAAAGTGCTGGGATTACAGGCGTGAGCCACCGCGCCTGGCCGCCAGTTTTACTATGATGAATAATGCTACTATGAACATCTGTGTACATATATTTATATGGACTTATGTTTTCATTTTCCTTAGTAGCTTTCTGGGAATAGAAATACTGGGTCATATGTAAATTTATGTTTAACATTTTAAGGAACAACTGAACTTTCCAAATGCTGTGTCATTTTACTTCCAAGTAAAAGGGAATGTATAAGGATTCCAGTTTCTCCACATCCTCACCAACTCTTGGTATTGTGTTATGTTTTTAAACCTATCTGTGCTAGTGGGTGTGGAGTGGTGTCTCACTTTGGTTTTCATTTGCATTTTCCTACTGATGAACAATGTTGACATCTTTTCATGTGTTTATTAGCCATTCATAGATCTTTTAAAGTAAGATATTAACTCAAATCTTTTGCACATTTTAAATTTGGCTGTCTTATTTTTGAGTTTTATTTAATTTTTTTTTTTTTTTTTTTTTTTTGAGACAGGGTCCTGCTGTGTTACCCAGGCTGGAGTGTAGTGGCACAGTCATGGCTCACTGCAACCTCGACCTTCTGGGCTCAAGCGATCCTCCCACCTCAGCCTCCTGAGTAGTTGGGACTACAGGTGCGTGGCACCATGTCTGGCTATTTTTAAATTTTTTTGTAGAGATAGGGTCTCACTATGTTGCCCAGGCTGTCTTGAACTCCAGGGCTCAAGTGATCCTCCTACCCCAGCCTCCTAAAGTGTTGGGATAATAGGTGTAAGCCACTGTACCTGGCTTATTTTTGAATTTTAAGAGTTCTTTATATATTCTGGATAAAGTTATTGTCTTATGCAATCTTATATCTTTTAAAGAAGTTAAGAAAATAAAGGAGAACGTATATTTGCAGAGTGTTTTATGTTAACATAGTGACCATTTCTGGTGCTCTTCATTTCTACCTGCAGGCTTGGATCACTCTCTAGAGTAGTTTTCTTCCAGCCTCAAGGACTTCCTTTGGTATCTCTTGTAAAGCAAGTCTGTTAGCAACGCATTCTCTGTCTTTTTTTCATCTGGGAATTTCTCAATTTCACCTTCAGTTCGGAAGGATAGTTTTGCTGGATATTGAATTCTTGGTTTACAGTTTTTTTTTTCTTTCAGCCCTTGAGGATCTTATACTACCACTCTCCAGCCTCCTCTGTCTCATGCATGAATTTGGCTGTTAATCATATTGATGCTCCTTTATATGTGATCAGTCATTTTTCTCTTGCTGCTGTCAAGATTTTGTCTTGTCTTTTAGAAGTTTAGGTGTAGATATCTGCATATTCTGTTTTTCATCACATTTTGGAAGCTCTGGGCCACTATTTGCTGAAATGCTTTTTCTGCGTCTTTGTTTTCTTTCCTCCTGCCACTCCCACTGTGTGTATTCTGGGATGTTGGATGCTGGCCTATATGTCTCTGAGGTTCTGTTTGTTTTTCTTCAGTGTTTTTTCTGTCTTTTCTTAATAATGGGTAACCTGTGCTGATCTAACTTCGAGTTCACAGATTCATTCCTGTACCTTCTTGGGTCTACTGTTGAACTCTTTTAGTGAGTGTTTTCATTTTGGTGATTACTTTTCAACTCTAGAATTTTAGTTTGGCTCCTTTTAAAAAATAATTTCTGCATAGTTGAGAATCTCTATTTGTTGATTTATTATTATTTTAATTATGTAAATATAGTTTTCTTTAGTTCTTTGTATTTTAATTTTTTTACCTGCTACCTTAAACTATTAAGCGTTATTAGTTCTTTTTAAAATTAAGTTTCTTTTTGTTTCCAAGACAAGGTCGCACTCTGTTACCCAGGCTGGAGTACAGTGGCCCAATCACTCTCACTGCAGCCTCAACCTCCCTGGGCTCAGATGATCCCCACTCCCCCAACCTTAGCCTTCCAAGTAGCTGGGACCACAGGTGCATGCCACCATGCCTGGCTATTTTTAAAATGCTTTTTGTAGAGACAGAGTTTTGCCATGTTGCCCAGGCTAGTCTCGAACTCCTGGGCTCATGTGATCCTCCCGCTTCAGCCTCCCAAAGTGGTGGGATTACAGGCATGAGCCATCATTTTAAAAATGTTTTTTAGAGATGGGGTCTTGTTATGTTACCTAGGCTGGCCTCCAACTCCTGGGCTCAAGTGACTTTCCTACCTTGGTCTCCCGAAATGTTGTGAGTACAAGCGTGAGCCACCACACCTGGTCTTCTTTAGTTCTTTGATCCTGTTTATAACAGCTGCTTTGAAGTCTTTGCTAAATCAGAAACCTGGAGACACGGAGAGAGAGTTTCTATTCGCTGCTTTTTTATGCTTTCATGGATGAGTTCCACTTTCATGTTTCTTTGCATGTATCATTTGTTTAAAGCTGGATGTTTTTAGTAATGTAGTAATTTTGGAATTGGATCCGCGAAGATGATTGTTGTTGCTGCGTTTTTGATTGTTCATTTTTAATTCCTTTCTTCGTTGGTAACTTGCCCAGGCTCAACCTGTGAAACCTGTCTCTGGTACGTAGGCGTTGATGTCCCTCATCAGTTTTTAAATTTATTGTTTCTATTTTACGTCTGCTTCCCAGGGGTTGTCCCCTTGTCTACATATGTCAGCGGTCAGCCAATAGCTGACAGAGGTTGAGCTGCATGCCCTTGAGCCTCTGCTGATGCACCTGTGTGAGGGTGGGGAGCGTCTTCAGAGGGGAGCCTGTTTTTGAGTCCGCCTAGGCCCTTACTTTCTCCTGTACCCCCATGGTCGATGAGGGAGTAGGCGTGAGCCTGTTCTTCTCTATCTGTATCCCCTTTCCCGCCACCCTCAGCCTCCTCTTGCTTTGTGCCCAGGTGCCAGGCCTGAGGGCCGCATCCACCCCTCATCTGCGCTCGGATTCCTGAGGCTCTGCGGTGGGAAGAACAAGCAGCAGGAGGGGCGGAGGGCGCGCCTTCACTGCCAGCTTGCTTTGGACCCACGCCCCGGGCTTGGTCACTGCCTGACCACAGTTCCCACCAGGAAGAGACCCACCTTCCCTGGCCTCCGAATATTCTGTTTCTCTCTGGTCCCTTCTGGCCTAGGGTGGTGGGGACTTCCTGCTGTCGCTGGTCTCTGGGTCCTTAACATCTGTCCTTTGTTGCTTATCTCTGCCCCCATCTCTGAGAGTAGCCCTTCCAGTCAGGCCTTTTCATGTAAATCGTCCTTCTCACTGGCTTGTTTCCTGCGGGGATGCTGAGGACTCAGGGGTGGTCCCAGGTGTCGGCCCAGGCAGACAGGTCAGTGGTGAGATCATTTGCTAGGAGGAGAAAACGCAGGGGAAAGTGTGTTTGCTGGTGAATAATCAAGAGTTGTGCTTTGTAAATGGTAAACCTGGACATAGAAGTCAAAAATTAAATCAGCCATTGAAGATATGAGGCTAGAGCTCGGGAAGGAGGCGCTGATGACGGAAAATCAGGGAAGCATCTGTGTAGATGGTGCCCCAAACCACAGACTAGAGGAGACCAACCCGGGAGAACGTGGGAAGAGAGAAGGGGCTCAGGACTGGGAGCTGGGGCATTGCAGAACTAGAGGCCTGGAGGAAGACGAGGGTTCAGCAGAGGAGCCTGAGGTGGAACTGAGGGGAGGGCAAGGATGGGAAAGAGTACGGGGTCCTCAAGTCCAAGTGAAAAAAAAGGTTCAAGAAGGAGGGAGTGGTCAGTCAGGGAAGCTGCCCCTGGGAAGGCCAGGAAGAGGGGGCCACCGGGTTCGGCAACACTGACCTCGCTGGTGACCTGGACAGGTGTGGTTTCAGAGGGAGCTGGGGACGGAAGCCTGAATGAAGTGGACTCAGCAGAGATGGGAGGTGAGGCCGTGCCCTGCTGAGGTGGGAGGTGAGGCCGTGCCCTGCTAAGGTAGGAGGTGAGGCCGTGCCCTGCAGAGATGGGAGGCGAGGCCGTGCCCTGCTGAGATGGGAGGTGAGGCCGTGCCCTGCAGAGATGGGAGGTGAGGCCGTGCCCTGCTGAGATGGGAGGTGAGGCCGTGCCCTGCTGAGATGGGAGGTGAGGCCGTGCCCTGCTGAGGTGGGAGGTGAGGCCGTGCCCTGCTGAGGTGGGAGGTGAGGCCGTGCCCTGCCGAGGGCTTCGTTATACAGGGAGGATAACTGGAGGGAATGTGAGGTCAGTGGAGGGTGTTAGTATTTTACATGGGAAATAATAGATACTGAAAAGGGAAGAAATTATATGCAAGAGAGAGGGATTAATTATAGAAACCAAGACCTTGAGTCAGTGACAGGGTAGGGGAACCAGGGCAGCAGCAGAGGGTCGCTGGGCAGCGGGGGTCGCTCATCAGCTGGAGGGGTCCATGGAGCGACACCTGCCCCCACCTCACAGCTGGAGGGGTCCATGGAGCCGACACCTGCCCCCACCTCACAGCTGGAGGGGTCCATGGAGCCGACACCTGCCCCCACCTCACAGCTGGAGGGGTCCATGGAGCCGACACCTGCCCCCCGCCTCACAGCTGGAGGGGACCATGGGGCGACACCTGCCCCCACCTCACAGCTGGAGGGGACCATGGGGCGACACCTGCCCCCACCTCACAGCTGGAGGGGACCGTGAAGCCAACACCTGCCCCCCGCCTCACAGCTGGAGGGGACCATGGAGCTGACACCTGCCCCCACCTCACAGCTGGAGGGGACCACAGGGTGGACACCCCCCCACCTCATAGGCCCGTTGGACGATCACGTGTGGAATAATGCAATGTGTTTGGGTTCGTGCCTGGCACATCGTAAGTGTGAATTAGTACTGTGTGGCTTTACTCTTTGGTTTTCTGAACATTTTTATTCTTGAATAGAATTCGGGCTTTATCTTTGCCTGTAGCCAGAAGGCCTATCTGACTACTTTTCCCTAGACCAAAACAACAAAAAACTACACTCCCATGACATCTCTCCAAACGGGATTCTCTGTAAGTAGAAAAAGATGACTGAGTTTGAAAATACCAGTCGCTCCCCGGTTCTCATTATCATATTGTCAGAAGCATCCTGTGACACCCACAAAGTTTAGCACGTAATCCCATGCACGGCAAGCCCAAAGCTGGCGGGCTGGGGCGGCCCGTGGTAGAGAAAGCTGTCACCTTTGGGATTCCGCAGACAGCAGCCTTGGTGCCACTGGGGTAGAAGCATCCGCGTCTCCGGCATTCGGTGTCAGCATCTACAGTTAGACCTTCCCATCCTTATGGGCTGGGCCCCTCTGCTGTCCTCGAGCTGCATCCAACACCGGGGAAATGAGTCCTGACGACCGAGGGACGTCACCAAGAGTGTCACCACCCACACCGAGCAGCCACAGGCTCCATGTCCAGCCCCTCCTTCCCCCGGGAGGGTGAGCCCAGGAGGTGAGAGCAGAGATCGGGGCCTGGAGGTGCGGCCTGGGAAGCCTGTTGTGGGTGCCGCCTCCCTGAGCCACAACCTGTCCTGGGGATCGGTGGACGCTCCGTGGCTCTGCAGAGCTGCTTGTACCACCCTTGCTGGAGGAGGAGGTTCTCGCAGTTTGCTTCCGTTTGTGGATGAGAGACAGGTGGGTTGGTTGGTTCTTCCCATCATGGCATCACAGCCATTCCACGGGAGGTGATGGCAGCTGATTGTTCTGAGTCTCTGCTAAGTGGAATCACCCCAAGACCTCGAGTGCATGGACCCACTGGGCTCTGGGCCCCGCAGAGACGTGCCCAGGCCTGGATGTGCTGACTGCTGGGCTGTCCCACACAGCTGGAGCCAGGAGCCCACAGTGGGCAGCAGGACCTTGACTTCAGGCGGGCAGAGCCGGGCATCTCCTGTCTCCTCCCTGCCCTGGCTGGGATAGGTTTTTAGGAGTAACTTTGCTAGAGGGAAGATTCTGAGACATCTGCGATCCTGAGCTGCTCCGGTGGGCACCTGCCAGAAGACAGGAGCCCAGGCTGCAGGAGTCGCTGGTGGAGGAGGGGTGAGGCGGCGCCCCTGCCTCTGTGGTTCTGCATGGGGCAGGGCCCCTGCTGCTCCGGGCGGGGAAAGAAGGTAGGAGGCCCTTGCTCCCATGACTCACTCCAGGCTCTACACACGTTGGAGTTTTCTGTTTCTTTCTGAGCTTCTAATGCAGGAATCACAAGCTCAGATCCCTCACAGATGCTATGTTTTGCTTCGGCGTGCATCCTAGGTGGGATTCTTAGACATGGGAAACACACAGCAACATCTGGCCCTTCCACAAAGAAGTACGTATGCTCCCCCAGCACCCTTTGTTTTTTGAGATAGAGCCTCACTGTGTTACCCAGGCTGGAGTGCAGTGGTGCAATCTCGGCTCACTGTACCTCCGCCTCCCGGATTCAAGTGATCCTCCGACCTCAGCCTCCCAAGTAGCTGGGTTTACAGTTGCCCAGCATCACACTTGGCTAAGTTTTGTATTTTTTGTAGAGATGGGGTTTTACCATGTTGCTCAGGCTGGTCTTGAACTCTTGGGCTTAAGCAATCCTGCTTCGGCCTCCCAAAGTGCTGGGATTTTGGGTGTGAGCCACTGCGCCCAGCTTACTCTCCTACTTTTTTCATGAAACATGCAGCTCTTTGGTTTTTCAGATATTTCTACAACTCTGACTGAATGCCAGGGAAGATTCTATGTGCCAAGATCCAGCAGTGAATGGTCCCGGTAAAATCACTGTCCCAACAAGGTGTAATCTAGAGGAGGGAGACAGGAAACAAACAAAATGGTTAAGTCAAATGTATCTGTGCTGGGTGGTGATAAAAATTTTGGAGAAAAATAAGTCTCCGAGGGGATGAAGAATGCTGTGTGGGGATTGTACATCCATGTGTAGGGCAGTCGGGAAGCTCTTATGATAGGTGATATTTGGATGATGACCAGTGGCAGGTAAGCGTGCGATCCCCTTGGATTTCTGGGGAAGGAGCTTTCCTGGCTGAGGAAGAGGTACATGCAAAGGTCCTGAGGTGGGCATGGGCCTGGTGTGTCCAAGCAACTGCAAGGAGGCTTGTGTCGCTGCAGTGACCGGACAGGAGGGAGAGAGACCACAGGGCGTGTGTGCTTGGGTGAGCGGGTGGGGGGCCAGATCACTCTGGGTCTAGGGGGCCATCATATGGACTTTGACTTTGACTCTGTCAAAAATGGGAGTGACTAGAAGATTGTATACGTACAATTGATAACACTTATGTGTTAAAGGCGTTGTGCTGACTCCTGTGGGTAGATGTGCCAAAAGGGTAGAAAAAGATAGAAGACCAAGCCAGGTGCCTCGGCTCACACCTGTAACCCCAGCACTTTGGGAGTCTGAGGCGGGAGGATCGCTTGAGCCCAGGAGTTGAAAACCAGCCTGGACACCATAGTGAAAAATTAGAAAATAGCTGGGTGTGGTGGTGTGTGCCTGTGGTCCCAGCTACTCAGAAGGCTGAGGCAGGAGGATTACCTGAACCTAGGAGGTCAAAGCTGCAGTGAGCTGAGATCGCACCACTGCATTCCAGCCTGGACAGCACAGTGAGACCCTGTCCCCCTCTTCCGCAAAAAAACAAAAAGGAAGAGCGATTATGAGGTTCCTGAGGCCATCTAGACAGGAGGTGGCGGGGACTTAGAGTGGCAGCTGAAGTTGGGGCAAAAGAGGTTGGACACTTTATCAATATACTTTGAGGTTTGAGTCAAAAGCCCTTTGGCTGGGCTGTTAGAGGGTATGGGGTATCTTTATGGGGTAATGAAAAGATTCTAAAATTAATGGTGACAGTTGCACAATTCTGTGAATATCCTAAGAACAATTGAATCGTATGGTATATGAGTTATGTCTCAACAATGTTAACAGAAATGAGGATTTGCAGATGGATTTGGTGTTGGGGTCTGAGAAGGAGAGGAGGCAAGGAAGACCAGCCTGGGCAGCTGGAAGGATGGTCTTCAAGGAGGAAAGCAGACAGAGGAGGGGCAAGTGTTAGGGGAGGGCTAAGAGTTTCAGGAGTTCAGTTGTGTTTTTTGTTTTGTTTTTTGAGATGAGGTCTTGCTCTATTGCCCAGGCTGGAGTGCAGTGACATGATCACAGCTCACTGCAGCCTCGAACTCATGGGCTCAAGCAATCCTCCTGCCTCAGCCTCCCAAGTAGCTGGGACTACAAGTGCACACCACCACACCTGGCTAATTTTTAAATTTTTTTGTAGAGATGGGGTCTTGCTGTGTTGCCCACGCTGGTCTCTAACTCCTGAGCTCAAACAGTGCTCCTGCCTCAGCCTCCCAAAGTGCTGGGATTACAGGTATGAGCCACTGGGCCTAGCCCAGGAGTTCAGTTAGGTCTCGGCTGTGATCAGATATGCAAGGGGATATGGGGGAAGCATTTGGACACTCAACACTGGCTCTGGGGAGAGGGCCGCAGGATGAATGACAGGAGCACCTGGCTGGTGAGTGACAGGGGGAAGACAAGGGGCAGGAGTGAGCCCTGGACCCCTGATGCTCCCAAGTTAGGAGGGGAGGAGCGGCCAGCCAGGGAGGGGACGTCCCAGAAGCCAGGAGGTTCTGTGTTTCATTTCCTCACCGGAAGCAGAGAGCATGGGCACAGAGAGACCTTTCTTTACTGGGCAGAAGCAGCAGTGCCAGCCCAGGGTACATGACAAGTGCCTCAGCATGTGGGATCAGGGAGTGGGGATGCTGGCAATTGTGGATTGGAGGCTCTGGGTGGCAGGAGGCTGCCTTGGGGCTATAGCTGTTGCCATGTACAAATAAGAGCCAAGGGCTGCTGGGCATCAAACGTTCAAGAGAAACTGGAAATTATGAGATTTTGATTGGCTTTTCAAAATGTCCATTTCATTTTAAAAACAAAAACCTACATGTGCCTAACCACACAAGTCTGTGTCCCCACCTGGCCTGTGGCCCGTCACTGTGTTCTGCTTTCTAACACAGGGAGTTACTGCCAGGGGCATGGAGTCTCTGTCAGGCCTTTTCCTAAGCAGGTGTACCCTGGGAGAGGCATGGGCTGTTCAGGGTGTCGGTGCACCTGCACTGGTGTTGACCCTTAGTGTGATGCCAGGCAGGGGCCCTCAGCCCCCCAGGATCCAGCTGGGTCTGAAGTTGAGGGAGGAGGTGGAATCCTGCATGAAGAAAGCTCTGCTGGCTGAGAGCCTGGCTCCCACGCTGACTGTGTGACTGTGGGCAACTTATTTAATGATCCTAAGCCTGAGTTTCCTCCTCCGTAAAATGGGTTCATAACAGTGCTCACATTTTTGGGCCACAGCGAGTATTTAATAAGACTGTACATAAAAGCCGGGAGTGGAGGCATGTGCCTGGAGTCCTGGCTGCTGGGGAGGCTGAGGTGGATCACTTGAGCCTTGGAGTTCGAGGCTGCAGTGCGCTATGATCATACGTGTGAATAGCCATTGCCCTCCAGCCTGGGCAGGATAGTGAGACCCCATATCTAAAAGGAAAAAAAATATTCTACACGTACAGAGCTTAGGGTGTTACTTGACACATAGACACTCAGTAAATGTGATGAAATGCATTTTGCGTGAATATTTCGGCTCTGGCTATTTACATTAGTCCAGAAGGTGAACCCTGTGCTACTTAAGTTTTTATAGCAGCACTGCGAGCGTAAGCAAAACCAGCCACAGTGCAGCAGAACAGTAACAGGAGAGCCGGCTGGGGCCAGAAACCAGCAGCTGGACAGCGCTCTCATGGAGGCAAAGCCTGTTCTGACCCCAGCTCCAGCCTTTTCTAGCCCTGCGGCCGCATCGTCCCCTGCACTGCTACTTCCTGTTTGAACAATAGGACCTCAGTGCAGCTTGATTCAGCGAGCGTTAAATGAAATAACGGGAGAATGGACTTTGGCTCTGACCCCGGCCATAATGTTTGCTGTTATTACAAAGTGAGGGCCAAGATTACAGCAGATCCGCACACACGGAGGTTAGAGGTGTTTTGGGGTATTGTCAGAGAGAGACTAACAGAACTGTCTTTGGACCCATGGATGGTTTTGTAAGGAAGTAGTGCCTAACGCAAGTTGTAGTAAAGACCCATGGGTAAATGAAAACGCCTGTCCTGGGACCCGGGAGACCGGGAGGGAGCTCCAAGGCTCTTGGCCCAAGGGCGACTTGCTGGGAGGTGCCTCCTTCCAGCTGGGAAGCCAGTGCCCAGAGCAGATGCCTCTGCTCCGCCACAGCGCTTTGAAATGGTGACTCAGGCTTCATGCACGCCCACTGCTGCCCGTCAGAACTCTCGGCTTCAGCAGTTAGCTTGGAAGGCAGTCGTGAGCGGGGTATTTTGGGCAGCATCTCAGCAGAGGGGCCCCAGCTGTGCGGGTGTTCTCCGCCTCTGCAGGCGCTGCCTGCCCTGCAGAACTCCCTCCTCGCGGCCCGGGGAGGCCGCAGGGTGCAGTTGGGATGACCTCCCTGGCTTGGTTGGCTCCAGCCTGAGCCTTTGGGGCCGGGCTCCTCAGGGCAGCAGGCGCGACCCGTGAAGACGTCAGCGATTCCAGCGCTCTCCATCATCGCTCGTGCCTCCTGTACTGGAGGTTTTCACACTGCGCGCTTCCTCCACCCTCTAAGGAGAATGAGGTCCTTCCCCCGGGCTCCCTTTTTTCATGCAGAATGGAGTCAGGGGAATGGGCCGAGTGGAGAAAATAAGCAGAGAGCCGTGAGAAGGGGGAGAGGGCTCTGGCCGGCCCAGCTGGCTCCAGCACATTCCTTGGTGGGGAAATTAGAGTGAAATGAGTGGAGAAAAAACTAAAACATGCCAGAGAAGCTCAGGTGGGCTGTGAAATAAAAAAGCTGAACAAGAGGAGGAAACCCAGGAGGGACTGAAACTCACAGAAACTGGGTGCCAGGAAGAGTATGTTTTGGGGGATAGGTGGGCCGGGTAGGGAGTTAGTGAGAGAAAAGCAGCAGAACAGATTGCAAAGTGCGGAAGAACCGAGGGTGAAAGGGAAGGAGATGTTAGATGTTACTGCTGCAACTTCCCTGTAAATCTAAAATTATTCCAAAATAAAAAGTAGAAGACCAGGCACAGTGGCTCATACCTGTAATCCCAGCACTTTGGGAGGCCGATGCGGGTGGATCACTTGAGGTCAGGAGTTTGAGACCAGCCTGGCCAACATGGTGAAACCCCATCTGTACTAAAAATATAAAAATTAGCCAGGCGTGTTGGCAGGTACCTGTAATCCCAGCTACTCAGGAGGCTGAGGCAGGAGAATCGCTTCAACCAGGGAGGCGGAGGCTGCAGTGAGCTGAGACTGTACCACTGCACACTAGCCCAGGTGACAGAGTGAGACTCCATCTCAAAACTAAATAAATAAATTAATTAATTAATGTAGATTTTTAAAAAGAAAGTATTGCTATGGACTATGAATTAGATGCCCTAAAAGCTTTTCCAAGAAGCACAACTAAAGACAGGAATTGCTTTTTATCACCTTTGGTTCGTGAATCCTAGTATTTCTTTCTATGTGGGCCGCGTACAGCCTGGTTCACATGGGGCCTGGCGTTTGTGTGGGTTACAGGAGATCTTTTTATTCTCTGAAATCACACAGTGATTAACGTGTTCCCTTTTAATAGGATGTGCCATGTTCACCTTGATATTTGGGTTTTTGAAGAAAACCTGTAAAAGCTGTAAAACCCGAACCATGAGGACACCCCAGGGGCACACAGGTCAGTCTGTTGGACACTGCGTATTTCTCATTCGTTTCTTCGCCTCCTTTGGTGATATCCGGCCTTACTG
Organism: Homo sapiens; assembly: GCF_000001405.40. NCBI lineage: Eukaryota > Metazoa > Chordata > Mammalia > Primates > Hominidae > Homo > Homo sapiens. Next base: position 130,774,783 of record NC_000012.12, on the reverse strand, counting down.
CTAGGGAGGACATTTGGGAAAATCCCTTAAAGGAAGTCTGGGTCCCTTGGCAGAGTCATGTAATCTCCCATCTCCTGGCTGCAGATGGGATTGATAGTCTTTGACCATTGATCTTAAGCAGGATGCATGGAGATCTCTGTGAGCTTCCAAGAGACAGACTGCAAGTCTGCAATGCGGAAGGGATGTGCTGCGTCCTCCGGCCCCTTCCCTGGCTAAAATGGCTCCTTCATTTAATATCCTGCTTGCTTTTTTTTTTTTTTTTTTTTGAGACAGGATCTCTCTCTCACCCAGGCTGCAGTGCACTAGTGCGATCACGGCTCACTGCAGCCTCAACCTCCCAGACTCAAATGATCCTCTTGCCTCAGACCCCTGAGTAGCTGGGACCACAGGCGTGCACTACCATGCCTGGCTAATTTTTGTATTTGTAATTTTTTGTAGAGATGGCCATCTTACTATGTTGCCCAGGCTGGTCTCGAACCCCTGGGCTTGAGTGATCCACCTGCCTTGGCTTCCCAAAGCGCTGGGATCACAGGCGTGAGCCACTGAACCCGGCCTGCTTGCTCTTTTGATATATTCCTGATTCATTAAGGTTAATGCATCTGTTAAAAAAAATAAAAGAGAAGAGAGACTTAAGAGAAATACCAAAGGTTGTCTAAACCGTGTTGAGATTCCGATTTGAACAAAACCAACTGAATTTTTTTTTTTTTTGAGATAAGCAGATACATTTATTATGGACTGGGTATTAGAAGATAGTAAGGGATTGGTGTTAGTTTTGTTGGATGTGATAATATCACGGTGTTATGTTAATTAAAAAGTCTGTCAGTTTACAAAGCATCCGGAATACCCTCCTCTTCACAGCCTCTTTAAAGACCTAAAAACCTAAGAATGAGCTCCCAGGCAGCACGCAGCGGTGCGCGTCGTGGGGCCTAAGAGGGACAGAACACTCTTAGGTCTGTCACTACCACTGGCCTTCTTATTTCTCTCTCACTGTGCTTTAAAAAAATATCCTAGGACGGTCTTCCTGAGCTCAGAGTGGGGGATCCCTGATGTTGGCACGTCACAGGGTGATGTTGATGACACAGAGCCTGGTGAATGGATGCGGCTGTCTTGAATCAGTGCGGTGAATGCAGGCGTAGCTCAGGGGACGCAGTCGGTGCACATGAATTCAGAACGGTAGCCCTGCCAGCCCCACTGCCTTCCCGGCCTCTGAGAGGGGCCGATTCAGGGTTCTCGGTGAAGTGTTGGCTTCCCAAGGCTGCGTTAGCAGGGAGCTAGACTTAGTTTCCTCTGAGCAAGAAACATAATCATCAGTGGATGAGGGCCCTCTCCAGGCTGCAGAATCCTTTCTTTGGGGAGGTTGCTGGGCTTGTTGATGGTGAAGACTCAGCAGCCATGTAAGAAGGACTTAATGAATCCCTGGGGAACCGGGTTGTCCTCGGAGCTACAGATAAGTTATCCGAAAATCCAGCCCCCTTTCTTTGCTGTAATATATATGTGCTTGTGTGTGTGTATTTTTTCCTTTTTACAGTAGGGACTGGTGGCCAGGTGCAGGGCTTGTGCCTGCAGTCCCAGTACTTTGGGAGGCCAAGGCAGGAGAATCACTTGAGGCTAGGAGTTCAAGACCAGCCTAGGCAACATAGTGAGACCTCATCTCTACAAAAAATAAAAAAATTAGCTGAGCATGGTAGCTAATTCAGAGGCTGAAGTGGGAGGATCATTTGAGTCCAGGAGATGGAGGCTGCAGTGAGCTGAGATCATGCTACTGTACTCCAGCCTGGGTAACATAGCCAGACCCTGTCTCAAAAAAAAAAAAAAAAAAAATTAAGACAATAGGAACTTGTTAAAAATATCACAATTGTTGAATTTCCACATGAGTCCCCCCAACACTTTTACCTTGTCCTCTGTCTTTCTGCATACACCTGCCTGCCTCTCCATGACTGGAGGTGGCTGGAATAGTCACCTTATCTTTCCCCAGATCTTTCCCAGATGGCTTGAAATCCCCCAGTGCGGGGTGGCCTCACTGGGAGTCTCCTCTGGAAGGCTGTGTGTCCTTGCTCTCACGCTGGGTCCTGAACCTCCTGTGTCTTGGAGGCCCATGTTCTGGAAGTGATCAGTGATGTGGTTTGGATATCTCCCCCTCACTGTCTTGTGGTAATGAGTGAGTTCTCGCTCTATGGGTCCCTGCAAGGTCTGATTGTTAAAAAGCCCGGCAATGGGCGTGGTGATGGGTGCCTATATTCCCACCTACTCGGGAGGCTGAGGCAGGAGAATAGCGTGAACCCAGGGGGCGGAGCTTGCAGTGAGCTGAGATCGCACCACTGCACTCCAGCCTGGGCAACAGAGCGAGACTCCGTCTCAAAAAAAAAAAAAAAAAAAAAGCCCGGCAATGTCCTACCCTTCCCCACTCCCCCGTCCCACTCCATGTGCTACACCTGCTCCCCTTCCCCTTTCTCCATGAGTGGAAGGAGCCCAAGGCCTCACCAGTTGTTGGCACATGCTTCTTGTTCAGCCTGCAGAATCATGAGCCAAATAAACCTCTTTTCTCTATATATTGCCCAGCCTCAGGTATTCCTTTAGAGCAATGCAAAGTGGACTTAGATAGTCAATGAAACAAAGGGGATGTGAGGCTGGTGGCCCAAGTCAGCTGAGGATGCTGGGCTGAGAGCATACCTTCTCTTGCCTGCTGGTTTCCATGGCACGAACCCCTTTCTTTCCTCACTGCAGCCACTGTATGTAATCAAGTCCCATTTTCTCAGCACCTAGAGCTGTACTGGGCATGAAATAGATGTTACTTGAAGGAAAGAGCCCAGGTAGCACAGTCAGCAGCAGAGGCAGCATGTGTCGCCCTGTCTGACATCGCGAGCCTTTTCAGAGACCCAGGGGCTGCTACCAGCTAAGGCAGTGTGCAGCCATTCAGCAAATATTCATCAGCACCTGCTCTGCGCGAGGCCTGGCTCTAGGTGCCCTGAGCAAGCCAAACAGGGAACTTGCTCACCGGAACTTAGGTTCTAGTGCAGAAGATCGACAGTAAACCAGCCAGCCGAAACCCCATACAGCTCTGAAATGAGAGCAAGAGAAAGACTGTGAAGAATTGGGCGCACGGTATTGGGATAGAGTGGCCAGGAGGTGGTGGAGGTAGGGGTGTTCACCACAGTGGCCAGGGAGAGGCCAACTGAAGGGAGGACGGCATGTGAAGAAGGTGGAGGAGTGGGGAGAAGACCCCTGGCTGTGGGAGCTGTGAGGGCAGAGGCCGTGGAGCAGGAGCAACTTGGCAGTTTAAGGGACAGAGTGAGGGGTCGAGTGCAGAGTGTGTCGAGCTGGGGAGATTGGTGGGACCGAGGTAGAGAGGAGGGCAGCGGCCAGAATGTGTCGGGTGTGTAGGTCATGGCGGGGAGTATTTGGAGAGGAGTGTGGGACCCTGGTTAAGTTTAAGAGACAGGTGTTCTGGTTCAGGGAGGCAAGGAGAGGGCAGAGAAGGAAGGCTGTATTTGGGTATTATCTGGGAATTAGGGAAGCAGTAAGGAGGAGTGTGGGTTGCCAGGGTAGAGGCGAGAGATTAGGAATACATTTTACATCCAGAAAGGTGAGAGGGGACTGGAACCTCTAGAGAGGTAGGTTTGGGTAGCCATTAAGGGGAGGCGGATGGCCAAGAGAAACACAAACGAATCAGGAACTTGGCTTGTAGTCTCAGGTTTAGCATCCACTGCTGTGCAGACTCAGAGAAGGCACTGACCCCTTCTGGGCCTTAGTACCAACTATAAATGAGATAGTTGAATGAGGTTGGTAGGAGACCCTAACCAGCATAGGAGGTGATTTTCGGTACAATTGGATGCTAAAATGTAATTTTCAAAAGGTGGAAAACAACTGTTCTATAAATATAAAATAAGCACATGTAAAGGATTGTATTTAACTCATCAGTGAACGAGGGAACTTGTAAGATGTTGTATTTAACTCATCAGTAAACGAGGGTACCTGTAAGATGTTGTCTTAGTCCACTTTGTGCTGTTAGACCAGAACACCTGAGGCTGAGCAATTTATCAAGAATAGAAACTTCTTTCTCACAGTTCTGGAGGCTGAAAATCAAGATCAGGATGCTGGCGTCTGACAAGGGCTTTCTTGCTGCATCCTCACGTGGCGGAAAGTGGAAGGGCAAGAGAGAGCGAACCCATCCTGAAAACCCCAGATTACAGAGGCACTAATCCATTTATGTGGGTGGAGCTCCCATGACCCAAACACCTCCAAAGGCCCCACCTCCTGACAATGTTGCACTGGGGATTACATTTCCAACACATGAATCTGGGGAGACAGATTCAGACCACAGCAGATGTCAAGGCTGGTTCAAAGGACAATGTGAAGAACAAAGGCATGCTGAAATGAATTTGATAATAGATGCAAACTTGGGTAACATCCTACAGGACAATAAGGTGTAAGTAATACTTGGGATCATCTTTCCTTAGACATGAGCATCAGTTGCATCTACAGTGAACAACACTGATTACATTGCCATAGAGGAAGCTTTGTGTTGCTCTCAGATAAGAAGCATGCACACTGCTGTATTCTCTACATGAACTTCTATTCTACAGTTGTAAAATAGTTCAGTCAATAGAAAGCCAACCACAGAGACACACCTAGTGGTTTGTTTTTGCCTATTTTTAAGTTTTTAATATTTTTTATAACAGATATAACATTGAATCCATAGTGAAGTTAATCACTTTTTAATTACCCATTTTTCTAATAATTAAATCAACAAGGGAGTCTCCTTTGGGTACCAATCAATCTCTAACCTTTCTAAACTTCTTGTTTGAAAAAGAGAAAGGCAGAAGTGGGCCTCAAGCATGACGCCTTCAACTGACTGTACAAGCTAGCTGCAGTTTGATGATACTGTTGAATTTTCTTTATTATATTGTTACCTTTTATTAATGGCAATGGATATATTAGTTTTCCATTTTTGGTTGAGATATGAGGCTTCCTTTAAAACATATTTAAGTAAAAAAGAAAAGTGAGTCAATGTGTTTAATTAAACAGCCAAAAGTATTCAAATGATGAATGATATAGATGGGATGAATAGAAAGTCATAGAAAATTTATGGTGATCACTGAAGGTTGAGAAAAACCCAATCTGATGAGCACTCTGCTCCATGTCAGGTCCTGCCTGTTGTGCTTGTCTCCCAGACTGTCTTTTAACTCTCACCTTCTTACAAATAGTTGAATCTTAATAGCTATTATTACCTTACATTTAACAAAATAGGCATATGCATATTTTTTCATTTTCTCCCTCTCCACTAAGGAAAACTTCAGAGAGAGAAAGAATTTCTCCAGGGTCAAGCATCCAGCTGAGCATTCCAGTAGAGAATGGCAGTGCTGGAATCCCCCGCTGTTGTCCGGCTTCAAGACTCTTTTGCACTGTCTCCCAGCCCTGCTCCCATGGGAGTTGTGGAGAATTCCCAGGGTGAAGAAAGAACCTGGGGATAGAGCCTCCTTTTTTCATTTTTTCTTTCTTTTTTTTTTTTTTTTTGCGATGGTCTTGCTCTGTCACCCAGGCTTGGAGTGCAGTGGTGTGATCTTGGCTCACTGCAGCCTCAATCTCCCAGGTTCAAGTGATCCTTCCTCCTCAGTCTCCAGAGTAGCTGGGACTACAGGTATGCACCACCATGCCTGGCTAATTTTTGTGTTTTTAGTAGAGATGGGCTTTCATCATGTTGGCCAGACTGGTCTCAAACTCCTGACCTCAGGTGATCCACCTGCCTCAGCCTCCCGAAGTGCTGGGATTATAGGCATGAGCCACTGTGCCCGGCCTCATTTTTCTTTTCCTTTTTACAGAAATGGAAATCACATGGTAGGTCATAAGGAGCTGACAGGGCTGGAGTTCCAGTGAGTATCTGCCCCGGCAGTGCGGCAGCAGACGGGAAGGGTGGGAGGTCATCTGAGCTGGTAGGGTGAGAACAAATATAAATCTCAGGGGGGATCCACAAGGGAGCCCATGTCTTTGGTGCCACACAAATGCAGTAAGAGCTGTGGACACCAGGGAATACCAGGGAGTGTTTAAAAGCCCCACAGGCAGAACACACGCAGAGAAAGCAGGAGACTAGGCACTGTGGGTTCTTGGGAAAGAGCTGATTTTAGTTGCAAAAGCAGAGGAAACCCCAGACATTGCATGGCTTTAGGCTTTAGGCTTTAGCCCCACCACCCTCACAAGTCTTCTGTCTCCAGGGGGCCATCAGTGCCTCAGTTCCACTCGGTGCAGACCCCAGGGTTCTTCCCACCCCTGCAAGCCACCCATCAGGGTGAACTGAGAGATCAGCAGAGTCACTTACAACGAAGGGGAATTGTTCTGGGCATTGGTTAGTAAACAGGAGAGCAAAAGGGGAGAAGAAAATTGTGTACAGGCGTTGAGCATCTCTAGCCGAAGAAGGTGAGGCATAGAGGTGTCTTACCACCAGGAACAGATCTGAGTCATGCAGCACCAAAATACGTATTTGAGTCATGGCATCAAAACGTTCCTGGTGGTGAATTCATGTCCGTGCGGGTCTGCAGCAATCTCAATTCTTGCCTCCTCAGAAGAAAGAATTCGACTGAGGGGCATGAGGCAGAAAGAGAGATCGGAGCCAGTTTCAGAACAGGAGTGAAAGTTTATTAAAAGGCTTTAGAACATGAATGAAAGGAAGGAAAGGATACTTGGAGAAGGACCAAGCAGGCATCTTGAAAGGCAAGTGCTTTTTTTTTTTTTTTTCATTTTTTAACCCCTTCCTAATGTCACTGGAATAAGAGGCCTGTCCCAGACCCCAAGAGCGGGTTCTTGGATGTTGGATGAGGAACAATTCCAGGTGAGTGGCAGAGTATAGTAAAGTTAAAATCGTTTATCAGAGACCACTCGGTTACAGAGTAGGATGTCCTCCAAAAGCAAGAGAAGGAACGCGCACACCTTAAATACGATTCTTATTTATATAGGTTAACAGAGCTAAGAAGAGAGGTCTTTTGTGCTTTATTACAGAGGCTGGTGATCAGCTTCTGACAGGCTATTAGTATTATTTTCCTATGTTACTACTGATTTCAGCAAGGATTTACGAATGTACTATTAACCTTAAATCAAAACCTACTCTTAAACTAAGAATGCTTTTTGTTCTTAAAATATTAAGAGATTGCCATAAAATTCTGCGTCTTTATTTAGTTAGCATCATTAACTTGTTCCCTCAACCATAAACATCTTGTGCCCAAGAGTGCCTACCCCCTGGGGGTGTAACCCTGCAGGCATGGCTATATCCCACATTTATTAAAGACAGACTCACTCTGATTAGGACGCCTCTGACACTAGTGTTTGATCCTAAGAGCAGGATGCCCCAAGCTGACCATGGAGTGGTGATGCTGCTGGTGTTGCCCGCAGACAGGCCTGGGTGCCCCTCCTGTATCTGGCCTTGCCTACTGGGCCAGGTGGATTCATACCCAGGCGGGATCCAGGCTGAGGCTGGAGTTGAAAGGGAGCCATCTGTTTGTGGACCACCGAGCACCAGCAGTCCATCCTCCTATTTTTGTGTTCTTTTGGTAGTGGGGAGGAGTGGATGGAGAGTTGCAGTGTCCTGCTGGGAGGGAGGTGCAGGGGTCATGGGAGGTTGGGCCCACCCTGCACATCATTCTTGGGCTGTCCTGAGCACTCACCCTTTCTGTCTGCCATGTGAGGGAGACATCCCTGTAGCACTCCTCCTCCCGACCCTGCCCCACATCCGAGAGCCCTTTGCCCCTAGGGATTGAAGGGCCAGAGGGCCCAAGCCACCTCCTAGGATTTTTTTCCCTTGCCTTCCCTCCCTCCCATCCTCTCCAATTTCCTCTTCTCCCCCCTATTCTTTCACTCCCTTCCTCCTTCCCTCTCTTCCTCCCTTTGTTCTTTCCACTCTCTTTCCTCTCTCTCTTTCCAAGCTTCCATCAGCAATGCATGATAATTTCATTTGTTTTACATCTCACTACTGGCATGTGACATTGATAATGGTGGTGATGATAGGGATGGTGGTGATGATTTTGGTGATGGTGATGATGATAGTAATGATGATGGTGATAATGATGGTGATGGTAATGATAGTGATGGTGATGATGGTGATGGTGATGACGATGGTGATGATGGTGTTGGTAATGATGGTGATGATTATATGATAATGGTGATGGTGGTGGTGGTGATGGTGATAATGGTGGTGATGGTGGAGGTGGTGATGACGATGGTGATGATGGTGGTGGTGATGTTAATGTGAAACTGGCTTTGTAAGGCCTGAAGCTTATGCAAATTGGTGACCTCTTTAAGAAATACTACCTGGGCTTGAACCCTTGCTGCCCACTGTGTCCCTGCCTGAATCACTTCCACTTTCTGTGCCTCAGTTTCCTCATCCAAGAGTTAGAGCTAACAGTATTAATAGTTCTCCCTCGCAGAGTGAGGATTAAATGGGGTCATGGTCAGCATTTTCAATAGTGCAAATAGTAAGCACTTGATGGGTGCTTTCTGTTTTCAACCTGACTCTGAGGTCTCCTCTATCATACATACACTTATTATTTTATTCCATGGTGAAGCTCACATAACATAAATTAACAATCTTATTAACTACTCCAAAGTGTACAATTCAGTGGCATTTAGTGCATTCCTAATGGCATGCAGCTACCATTTCTGTCTAGCTTCAAAATACATTCATCACGTCAGAAACAAACCCTGTTGCCATTAGTAGTCACTCTCCATTCCCTCCCCACATGAATCTACTTTCTGTCTCTGTGGATTTGCCTGTTCTGGACATTTCCAGCCATACAGTATGTGGCCTTACATGCCTGGCTTCTTTCCCTTGGTGTGGTGCTCGCAAGCTCCATCAATGTTGGAACACGGGTCGGGGCTTCATCCCTTTTGATGGCTGAGTGACTTCCCAAGGTATGGATATTCTGGCATTGAGATTGTTTTAAGTCCCTGGGGTGGAGGTGTGGGCAGGAGTGAATACACACTTCCAAGAAGCTGCTCTGAAGAAACTCAAGCTGCTGTCCCGCTACCAGCACTCCATGACATCATGAACACGACGACATCATCAACACCATGATATAATCAGCACTGCATCATTAACACCACCACATCATCGGCACCATGACATGTCAACACCATGACATCAACACCACCATGAAATCATCAACACCACATCATTAACACCATGACATCAACACTACATCATCAACACCAAGACCATCATTAACACCGTGGCATCATCAACACTGCATCATTAACACCATGACATCACCAACGTGACATCATCACCATGACATCATCAGCACCATGATATCAACACTGCATTAACATCATGACGTCATCAACACCATGACACCATCAATGCCACGACATCAACACCATGACATCATTAACACCACATCATTAACTCCACGACATCAACACAACATCAGCACAATGACATCACCACGACATCATCAACACCACATCACCATGACATGATCAACGCATGACATCATCAGCACTGCATCATTAACACCATGACATCATCAGCACTATGACATCATCAACACCATGACATCATCAACACCGCATCATTAACACCACATCATTAACACCATGACACTATCAACTCCATGACATCAACACAGTGACATGAACACCACATCAACACCATGACGTTGTCAACACCATGACATCATCAACACCACATCAGTAACACCATGACACTATCAACACCATGACATTAACACAGTGACATCATCAACACATGACACTTTCAACACCATGACATCATCAACACCACAACAACACATCATCAATACCACATCATTAACACCACGACACCATGAGCACATCATGAACACCATGACAGTATCAACACAATAACATCATCAACTCCATGACATCATGAACTCCACAACATAAACACCATGACATCAACACCACATCAACGCCACGACATCAGCACCACGACATCATCAAATCCATGACATCATCAACCCCATGACATCATCCACACTGCATCACCAACACCATGACATCAGCACCATGACATCATCAACACTGTGACATCATCAACACCACATCAATAACATCACGACATCAGCACCATGACGTCATCAACACAATGACATCACCATGACACCATCAACATCACATGATTAACACCGCATCATTAACACCATGACATCAGCACGACATCATTAACACCACGACATCAACACCACACCAACACCATGACTTCATCAACTCCGCATCATTAATACCAGGAAATCATCCACACCACGACCTCAGCAACCCCATGACACCATCATCAGCACTATGACATCGTCAAAACCACGATATTATCAACACCATGATATCAACACATCAACATCAACACCACATCAGCACCATGACATCATGAACACAACATCATCAACCCCATGACATCATCAACACTACATCATTAACACCATGAGACCAGCACCGTGACATCATCAACACCATGACAACATCAAAACCATGACATCAACATGGCATCATTAATACCATGACATCATCAACACAAGGACATCATCAACACTGCATCATTAACACCATGAGATCAGCACCGTGACATCAACACCATGACAACATCAAAACCATGACGTCAACACGGCATCATTAATACCAAGACATCATCAACACAAGGACATCATCAACACTGCATCATCAACACATCATCAAGACCATGACATCATGAACACCATGACATCATCAACTTCAACACCACGACATCATCAACATAGAAGACTCCTGTGAGCAAACGCAGAGTTGGGGCTTCTCCCCACCACTGAGTGAGCAACACTGCTGTAGCGGACACCAACAGGGGCATCCTCCGATTCTATTCTGACCCCTCTACCTGGAGACGGTGTCTGATCACACAGGGAGAGGGCTCAGTCCTAAGACCTCCCCCCCTACTCCAGACATGAGCTGCACGTCTGGGCCTTCTGACCAACTTCTTGATGTTGGGGTTCCCACAACCCCCTCTTTGGGTTTGATTAATTTGCTAGAGTGGCTCACGGGAGTCAGGGAAACACGTTTCCTGGTTTATTATAAGTGATATTGCAAAGAATATACATGAAGAGATGCACAGACGAGGTACGGGGAAGGGGCGTGGAGCTGCCATGCCCTCCCTGGGCAGCCCCTCCAGGAGCCTCTGCGTGGTCAGCTCTCTGAAAGGTCCCTGAACCCTGTCCTCTTGGGCCTTTGATGGAGACATCGTTGGACAGGAATGATTGACAACCATGTAGAAATGCAACTGGATACACAGGGCGTGGTGTAAACTCAGCAGGGCTTGTCTGTCCAGATTCTTCTTTTTTTTTTTTTTGAGACGGAGCCTCACTTTGTCACCCAGGCTGGAGTGTAGTGGTGTGATCTCGGCTCACTGCAACCTCTGCCTTCCAGGTTCAAGCAATTCTCCTGGCTCAGCACCCCCAGTAGCTGGTTTTACAGGCACGTGCCACCATGCCCGACTAATTTTTGTATTTTTAGTACAGATGGGGTTTTGCCGTGTTGGCCAGGCTGGCCTCGAACTCCTGACTTCAGGTGATCTGCCCGCCTTGGGCTCCCAGTCTTGGGATTACAGGCATGAGCCACCACGCCTGGCCCAGACTCTTCTCAGCTTCTCGGCAGCATTTCTTCCTCTAGGGGATGAGGCAGAACCCACCCTGGAATGAGGATCTTCTGACCCACAGTCAGATTAGGGTCTTGAGATTCAGCTTCCTGAGGCCTAAACTGCCCCAACGTGATAACAAAAGGCTATAACCAGGGCTGTGTGAGTTAGGAGGCAGGAGCTGTGGATGAAGACACACACATTTATTTCACGGTGAAGCTCACATAACATAAGTTAACAATCTTATCAACTACTCCAGAGTGGACGATTCAGTGGCATTTAGTGCACTGTGGACGGATGATTCAGTGGCATTTAGTGCACTGTGGATGGAAATGCAGGGGAGTTGATTGCCCTGCCACTTGCTCCGAGCCTCTGAGAGGTGACTGCCACACCCTTTGGCATTGAACTCTACATCCTTTGGATCCGTCAGCACCTTTCCAGCAATTCCTTGGGTCAAGCATGTGGGATTCACTTGCTCTTAAAATGAATGGTTAACTGTGCCTGGGCTGGTACAACTTGGTGCTGTGTGACCCCAGCCGTCCTCAGCCCTCCTTCTCACACCTCCACCTTGGCCAGTACCCACCTGGATTTCTCTCTGGTCCTCCAAGCTGCTGAACTTGTCCCCTCCGCAGGGCCTCCAGCCTGGCATGCTCTTCCCTGGGAGCGCCGCGTGCTACTTCTTACAATTTTGGGTCTTGCTCAGATGATAACTCCTTGGGGCAGCCTTCCCCGACCACCCTCCCCAGGCACTCCCTGCCACAAATGTCCCCACTGCACTTACGCTGCGGGGAGTTCTCTATCCGCTTCCTTGTTCACCCTCACTGGTCTCCCCAGGAAAGCTCCAGGAGGGAGGCGCTGGTTCTGTGTATTCACCTGTGCTGGGGCTGGCACTCCAGGCAGAGCTGTGGCGGAAGGAAGTGGCCCGAGACAGCCTGATTCCATCTTTTGGTTTCTGTGTGTTTCCTCCTCATAGACCCGCACCAGCGAACAGGGAACCTGCAACCAGGGGGTGGACACTGAAATAAAAACAAAGTGAGACAGAAACTTCTGCTCCTGCACCGCGGCTGCCCCTGAGTGCTCAGTGGCGGGGCTGTGGCCGCCTGTGGTCGCGGTGCGGAACTTGCCTTGCAGGATGCTGTGCGGGGTAGCCTGGACCCCACCATGGAGGGTTAGCCTCCTGTCCCCGGCCCTCCAATGCCTGCACAGGGCGGGTTCTGCATGGCTGTCCAGGGGATGATGCAGGCGTCCAGATGCGGGAAACGGTGACTGGATGGAGCGACTGCTCTCCAGCCTTGTCCTAGCAGACAGCACCATCTGCTGGGCCCTGGGTTTGTGTCTGCAACTGGATGGGCTCTAGCGGGGTTCTGCCCAATCTAGCAATTCGAGGTGGCACATCTACACCAATATCCACCTGCTGTTTACCAGACGCCATGCCAGGCAGGTGGTCAGCAGTGTGCATGCGACCACTTGCTCACGGCCTGCACTGAGCTGTGTGTGGAGAGGGACCTGTGGGACCTGGGTGCTGCTTGTGGTGCAGGCCCAACCAGGCTCAGGGAGGGGCGTCTGCTGCTCTGAGGCCTCGGGGGGTGCCCACCCGCCCAATGGTCACCCACCACGTGCGGGGCAAATGCCCACCGCAGTGCTCACCTCCAGACAAACATCGCTGCCTTCCTGCAGCTCCGTTCCAGGCAGGGAGGCACAGATGAGACGTGGTGGGCAGATGAGGTTGTTTCAGGTTGTGTTAGACAGTGTGGAGGAAATCAACAGAATGCTGTGGACAGTGCCCCGGCGGTGATGGGCAGATTAGGGACTGCACGCAGGAGTCAGTCACGGGAGGGGAATGGCACCACTGTCCCAAAAACAGCAAAAACGAGTCCAAGCATGGCACTGATGGGACATCAGAGGAGACAAAAGGTGGTGGCTGTTGGTGGTGCAGTGAGGGGAGGAGGCTGGGAGGGAGGTGGAAGCTTGGGCAGGGCCCGTTGGGCTTCGCATTCTATTCTAAGCACCATGGGAAGCTGTCACCGGGCTTTAGGCAGCGCGACGACAGGATCCGATCGAGGCTTTCCGTGTTGCTAGCAAAGGAATTCAACATTCCTGACATGGGTGAATGGAGAGAAAAGTGATGGGGCTCTTTCCAGAGGTCAAGGTTAAGGGGACTCTCATGGATGGGATGCATCCTGGGACCAGCAAAGTGGGAAGTGGTCGCCTCGCCCAAGCCTGTGGGGACCAGAGAGGGAATGGTCCCCGGAGGCCCACAGAGTAGGGCCGAGGACAGGGGAGGACACAGGAACACGAGGGGCTGCCGAGGGAGCAGGAGGTGCAGCCGCCCTCAGATCTGGCCTGCAGGGGTGGAGCAGGAAATGACAAACACCCACCTCTTCTCCTGGGGATGGTGGAGCCTGAGGCACCACGTCCACGAGGTCCTCTTGGGGTGGAGGCAGACCTGGAGGGGCAGACACACTCTCAGCTTCCAGAAAACCTTGACTCCAAGAAGTCACACTGAGAGATACCCCTGTCGCTGGAGAGATCTCCTTTTCTGATATAACCACTTTATTCCCATATCTTTGGGGTGTCTGGGGAGGTGACTCAGTCCCTCCAAAGGGAATGAGCGTGAACTGGGAGGGTGTGTTGGACCCAGGAGACTTTCACGGCGATAACCACATCTCCCCTTGCCCTTTCAGCCTCCTTCAGTGGGACCCACTTCCCTTCCCTGCACCGAAAGGGGGTGGCTCGTGAGTATTTTTAGATGAGGAACCTCTGCCCATGCAGTCCCAGGCAATGAGCTGCGCTCTCAGTGTAGCTTTCCACTTCACTCCCCTCTAAGCTGCACCCTGCTGTGGGCTGAGGCTTTAGCAGGGGCCGGACCAGGGTCCTCTGTCAGCGCCCTGCTCAGCCCTTCATAGGCTGGTTGTGGTTTTGCTCCCCACAGCAGGCAATGCTGGCACCAGGGAAGAGGGGTAAAGAGACAGGGCTGGGCTCGCTTGGCAGGGCTGTGGTGCTTGTGTGGGCTGTGGTGGTTGGCAGGGCTGTGGTGGTTGTGTGGGCTGTGGTGGTTGTGTGGGCTGTGGTGGTTGGCTTTAGGTGTCAGCTTGGCTAGGCCATGGCACCCAATTATGTAAACACACATGAATCTCAGTGCTCCCGGGAAGGTATTCTGTGGACATGGTGGATGTGCCCCGTCACCTGACTTTTAGTAAGGGCAAATGCCCTCCACAGCGTGAGTGGGCCTCACCCAGTCAGCTGAAGGAAGGAGACATTCTGCCCCAAGACTTTAGCCTCAGCCTCAGCCTGGGTTTCCAGCCCGTTGGCCTGTCCTGCAGATTTCAGACTTGACAGCTTCTAATCACATGAGCCAATCGCAAAAAGAAATCTCCTATCTGGATCCACATCTACATTTATATACCCATATCCATACATATATCCATGAATACCTCCATATCCATACCTCCATCCATGTCCACGCCTCCATCCACATCCATGCCTACATGTACATACATGTCTACGTCTGTATCCATGCCTACATCCACATCTGTGCCTACGTCCACATCCATATCTACACCCACATCCATATCTATACTCACGTCCATGACTACACCCCCATCCATATCTACACCCACGTCCATATCTACACCCTCATCCATATCTACACCCACGTCCATGACTACACCCACATCCATATCTACACCCACATCCATATCTACACCCTAATTCATATCTACACACACATCCATATCTACACCCACATCCATGCCTATGTCCACATCCACATCTATACCCACATCCATATCTACACCCTCATCCATATCTACACCCACATCCACGCCTACACCCACATCCATATCTACACCCACATCCACGCCTACACCCACATCCATATCTACACCCACATCCATATCTACACCTACATCCATGCCTACGTCCACATCCATATCTACACCCACATCCATATCTACCCCACATCCACATCTACACCCTCATCCACATCTACACCCACATCCACATCTACACCCACATCCATAGCTACACCCACATCCATATCTACCCCATATCCACATCTACACCCTCATCCACATCTACACCCACATCCACATCTACACCCACATCCACATCTACACCCACATCCATGCCTACACCCACATCCACATCTACACCCACATCCATATCTATACTCATGTCCATGACTACACCCCCATCCATATCTACACCCACGTCCATATCTACACCCTCATCCATATCTACACCCACATCCATGACTACACCCACATCCATATCTACACCCACATCCATATCTACACCCTAATTCATATCTACACACACATCCATATCTACACCCACATCCATATCTACACCCACATCCATATCTACCCCATATCCACATCTACACCCTCATCCACATCTACACCCACATCCACATCTACACCCACATCCACATCTACACCCACATCCATGCCTACACCCACATCCACATCTACACCCACATCCATATCTACACCCACATCCACGCCTACACCCACATCCACGCCTACACCCACATCCACGCCTACACCCACATCCACATCCATATCTACACCCCCATCCACATCTACACCCACATCCATATCTACACCTACATCCATATCTACACCCACATCCATATCTCACTCTCATCCATACCTCCGTCCACATCCGTGCCTACATCTGTATCCATATCTACAGCCACATCCATATCTACACCCTCATCATGTCTACACCCACATCCATTTCCAAGTCCATGTCTATATCTATACCCATAGCCACCTCTGTACCTATACCCATATCCATTTCCATATCTGTATCTATATTCATAGCCATATCTGTGTCTATACCTATATGTACCTCCATACCTATATTCATATCTACATCCAAATTTATTTCCATAGCCACATCTGTATCTATATCTGTATTCATATCCATATCTGTATCTATACCAATATCTATGTCCACATCCATATCTATGCCTAAATCTGTACCCATATCTGTATCCATATCCATCTAGATCCATATTCCTATCTGTATCTATACCCATATTCATGTCCATATCCATACCTCTCTCTATATCAATATCCATATCCATATTCATCCATTCCCGTGCTTATGTCCACTTCCATATCCACGCATGTCCTGTTACTCTGCTTCCCTGGGGACCCCTGGCTGAAACAGGAGGCTTCTATTGAACTCACTGGATGTGGCAAATTAAGAAAGGTTTCTCTTGTTCTGGGGTCTTAGGTGACCCCTGCTGGTCCCCTCTGTTGGTGATTTCCTTGACCCTGGGGTGCTGCCCTCTCTGCAGCGTCAGCCTCTACTGGTTCTTGAAGAGAAGCAGCAGGCCAGCCCCATCCCTCTGGATTTATATGTGGGGGCAGATCTCTCGGTCATGGGTCTCTCAGGTGCTAGCACCACAGCATGGAGTTATCTGAGTTGTCATCTCAGAGCAGGAACTCATCACCAAGGAGAGAGTGCCAAGCCATGCATGAGGAATCCACTGCCATGATCCAACACCTCCCATCAGGCCCCACCTCCAACACTGGGGACCACATTTCAACATGAGATTTGGAGGGGACACACATCCAAACCACATCACCACACAGTTGTGGTGATAAGATATAAAATCTATCATGGCAAAGGCAAAAAATAAAAAGAAATGAAGTTGAGTTTAACAATCAGTGGTAAGTGGCAGTTATAACCACTGTGTCTTCTGTCTCATAGTGGAACACCGAGGCATGGGGCAGCTTCCCATCACCTTACCTTTGATGATGGTACCTCTTAGCTTTCTTCTTGGGGCCTCCGTCTCTCCATTTGTAAGCAGAATATTGGATTTGCTAGTTCCTGCGGTCCTCCCAGAGTGACATGCTAGGCTGCTGACTGGAATTGCGGAGGGGCCAGAGCAGACCGCCCCTAGAAGGGTCCGCCCAAGTAGGAAATGACAGCCTCCCTGCCTTGTCATCTCCTCCTCCAGAGTGGACGTATGGAGACTTCACTGCACATGTGGGGATTGTGCTTGTTGACCTCGTAGTTCCCTCTGAAGAGGGCATTTGGGTCTCAATAGAGGCCCAGTTGCTGCCCAGGGAAATAAGAAATTCTATAACATCCACAGCTTATGTGGCCTTAAAAACTCAAAGAAGAGCTGGGTGCGGTGGCTCACTCCTGTAATCCCAGCACTTTGGGAGGCCAAGATGGGCGGATCACAAGGTCAAGAGATTGAGACCAGCCTGACCAACATGGTGAAACCCCATCTCTACTAAAAGTACAAAAATTAGCTGAGCGTGGTGGTGGATGCCTGTAGTCCCAGCTACTCAGGAGGCTGAGGCAGGAGAATTGCTTGAACCCGGAAGGCAGAGGTTGCAGTGAGCTGAGATCGCGTGACTGCACTCCAGCCTGGCAACAGAGCAAGACTCCATCTCAAAAACAAAAACAAAAACAAAAACAAAAACAACCAAAAAAAAACACACAAAGAAACAAAACCAAAAACAAAGACAAAAGAAACCCCCAAAAAACTCAAGTCCATATGTTTAAATATTTGACAACCATTGCCCTTTTGGGGGATTCGAAGGGAGCAGGAGGTCTTCAGGGCTGCTGAGGCGGAATTGGCACCATTCACTCAAAGCTTATTGCTTTCTGAGCTCTTGTCTGTTAAATGTCCCTGGACAGTCCTAGCCAATGAAACTCACCTTAGTTTGCTTCAATTTTCCTGTCTCTGTTCATTCATGACCAAATGAACTATTTTGGGGAGAGAGAAATTGCCATTCCTGGTGAATAACAAGTTAGTAGATCATTGGAGGCCAATTCAAGGCCTGTTAGGAGCAAATCCAGCCTTTGCAAGGATTATTTCAAAACCTGGCATTTCCGTCGAAAAATCAAACTGGGCTTGCTGTTGACCTGACCATGTGTGTTGAGACCACAGTCCTCCATCTTACTTGGGTCATGTTGACTCATACATCGGTAGTTTGGAACCCACTTTGTCCATGGAAATGGTGGTGTTGGTGGAAAATAAAGCATGGACAATTAAAAACAAAACTTCTGAAGTTACTGTCTGATTTTTTTTTTTTTTTTTTTTTTTGAGATGGAGTCTTGCTCTGTCGCCCAGGCTGGAGTGCCGTGGCGCGATCTCGGCTCACTGCCAGCTCCACCTCCCGGGTTCACGCCATTTTACCGCCTCAGCCTCCGGAGTAGCTGGGACTACAGGCGCCCACCACCATATCCGGCTAATTTTTAAAACATTTTTTTTTTGTATTTTTAGTAGAGACAGGGTTTCACCATGTTAGCCATGATGGTCTCCATCTCCCAACCTCGTGATCCGCCTGTCTTGGCCTCCCAAAGTGCTGGGATTACAGGCGTGAGACACTGTGCCTGGCCTGCTGTCTGATTTTTAATTTACCTTTGAGCCAACTTTTAAAATCAGTCTCCCTAATAAATGAGGGGGGTTGAGGGGTGAAAAGGAGGAAGACATCCCAGCAGCAGGCTAGGTGCCAGAAGGAAGCTGTCCTGGGGTTAAATGCTGGCCAAGGCTATTACTGAAATGGGTAACTCACATTCAGATGATGGAATCTGGCTGCATTTAGTGAGCTCTTGCATGTGTATATTTTTATGCCATATACTGCACTTCCTTAAACTCAAGGTATTTGATGCACTTCACGTAGTGGTTCTCAGCAGGGAGGCTGCAGCTAGACTGCTGTCATTTAAATACAGTGTCTGCCACTCACTAGCTGTGTGGCCTAGCACTGGGCTTGGGGTGAGGGGAGTGAGGTGCCAGGGGCAGTGCACGTGCAGGCAGACCCCTGAGCAGGGTGCCTTCTTAAATTCCCGGCCCCAGGCGCTTCACTTGCCTCGTCACAGTCCCAGCCCTGGAGTGACCCGGAGCCTTGTTTAGCTCTATACCTCAGTCTCTTCATCTGTGAAAGGGGGGTGACTGTGACACCCACCCCATAGTGTTCCAATGTTGGGGATAGCTGAATTAAAAGGCTGGAGGTATTTAGGATGGCTCCTGGCACACGGCAGGCGCTGGGCGAGCATCAGCTGTCACTCAACACACACAGAGGCTGCTTTCTCAAGGGCAGGAAGCAGGGGACCTTGAAGCTTTTCCTTCTGGTGGTTCTGGAGTTTCCATGCATGTGCTACTTGGAAGCCACTGACTTTCAACATCAAGCTCCTGCTGCACCCATTTTCTGGGGCTGGCCTGGTGCTTGGGAGCCTCATTCTTGCCTTGCCAGGGTCTGCCTGCTGGACTGGCCACTGGTAGGCTAGAGGAGGCTGCAAGGATGAGTGGAAGGGAGGACCTGTTGCCCTGCTTCCCTCTGGTTCCTGCTTTACTTCCTGTTCCTGCCTCATTTCCTGCTCCTGCTTTCCTTTCTGTTCCTGCCTCACTTCCTGCTTCTGCTTTACTTCCTATTCCTGCCTCTTTCTGGCTCCTGCTTTACTTCCTTTTCCCCCTTTAGTTTCTGCTCCTGCTTTACTTCCTGTTCCTGTTGTGCTTGCTGCTCTGCTTTCCTTTCCTGCTTTACTTCCTGCTCCTTTGCTTCCTGCTCCTGCCTCACTTCCTGTTCATTCACTTCCTGCTTCTGGTTTACTTCCTGTTCCTGCCTCACTTCCTGCTCATTTGGTTCCTGCTTCTGCTGCTTGTTCCTGCCTCACTTCCTGCTCCTGCTTTACTTCCTGCTCCTTTGCTTCCTGTTCCTGCTTCACTTCTGATTCCTACTTTGCTTCCTGCTTCTGCTTGGCTTCCAGTCTCGCCCTTCAGCTCCCACTCCTCATCCTGCTCCTGCCACTGCTGCCCCACAGCATGACTTCCTGTTGGTGGCAGGTGGGCTTGACCTTAGGACTTTAGCACCCAGAATGGGGAAATAGGCAGGAGAAAGGGGTCTCCTAGAAAGGCGGAAGGCGGGGACTCTGTGGCTGTGGGAATGTGGGGATGCCAGGAGCCTCCTACCCTGCTGGTGGGAGTGAAAAATGGTGCAGCCACTTTGGAAAACTATTTGGCAGCTTCTTAAAGAGTTCAACAGAGTCTTACCATGTGACCCAGCAGTTCTCCTCCTAAGTATTAAACTAGGAGAATGAAAAACCTACCTTCACACAAAGGCTTTCTACAGATGTTCCTCATAGCATTATTCCTAATTACTATAGAAACTTCAAACGGCCTGGATGGCCATCCGCAGGTGCCCACCTGAGCAAGTGTGGCCCATGCGCCCTGGGACTCACTGCCCCGCTGTCAGAGAGTATGCGCTGCAGCTTCACGCCACAGCAGGCATGGCCTCCGAAATAGTGCCTGACATGGAAGAAGCCAGATGACACTGCAAGACTTCATGGATAGGAAATTTCTGGGAGAGGCAAAACGGTAGAGACAAAAAGTAGATCCGTGGTTCCCTGAGGATGCGGGTGGGGATTGACTGCCAGGGGTACAGTGAAGCTTTCTGGACTGATGTGGCTGCCTTAGAACTGGATTTTGGTGATGGTTGCTTAATTATACGTTTACTAAAAGCCATCCAATGCCATCTTTACCATGGGTCAACTGTATATTCATTATAATCCTATAAAGCTGCTTTTAATAAAATCATTGTCCAAATATTTAAGGTGGTGGATATCCCAGTTACACTGATTTGATCTTTATAAATGATATGAATAAAATGATCACATGAACCCCCCACATATGTACACCTGCTATGTATCAGTTAAAAAAAAAAAACAGTGCCTGGCCAACATGGTGAAACCCCGTCTCTACTAAAAATACAAAAAATTAGCCGGGTGTGGTGGCACACGCCTGTAATCCCAGCTATTTGGGAGGCTGAGGCAGGAGAATTGCTTGAACCCAGGAGCTGTAGGTTGCAGTGAGCCGAGAATGCACCACTGCACTCCAGCCTAGGGGTCAGAGCAAGACTACCTCTCAAAGAAAAAAACAAAAAAACAAATAAAAAGCAGTGATTGTCCCCTTCTCCGTGCAGGACTTGGGACCGGGACCTGCCCTCTCACGGGCGTTTGGGGTGTTCTGTGTTCGCTCCTGCAGGCCTGCGGAGCATGGGGTGAGCAGCAGAGAGCGCTCTGCCACAGCTCCCAGGAGAAGCTCGCGCCCAGCTGTGGATGCGGCTGCTTTGTCTCTGTGGCAACTGTTTTCTTAAAAACCTTGGGTCAATAGAATCTGTGTCAATCAAATCCCATTTTCTCCTTGACCTACGTGACCCCTTAAGAGCTGTGTACGGTGCTGCTGAAGAGCGGCCTCGGGGACTTAAGGCCTGGAAATCCAGCGTGTAGGAGTGATCCGCACACAATGGCACCTGTAGGGCGTTGCTCTGGGGCATCCCTGCAGAGAGTGCTTTTGTGAGATGGAGACCATTCAGGCCCCGTGGAGGATCCCAGACAGCAGGGGGCTCTGGTGGTCCACGGGTGGGATGAGCCCGCCGGCCTGTGCTTTCCTGCACAAGGGCCTCCTGAGGGGAGGACTCCAGGGAGTTTCCCACAATGCCCAGCAGCTCTGAGTAATCCTCCTGGGATGGGAGAGAGGGAGCACACGGAAGAGAATTCCTAGGTGACCGTGGCAGGGACAAACGGCTCAGCAGGTGGCTTGTCCGGAAGTGCTGTGGGAGTCTGAGCTCTGGTGGAATCCCAAGATTAAAAAACAATAATAAGAAGAAAACAGGCTGGGCACGGTGGCTCAGGCCTGTAATCTCATCACTTTGGGAGGCCGAGGCGGACAGATCACCTGAGGTCAGAAGTTCAAGACCAGCCTGGCTAACGTGGGGAAACCCCGTCTCTACTAAAAATACAAAAATTAGCTGGGTGTGATGGCACACACCTGTAATCCCAGCTACTCAGGAGGCTGAGGTAGGAGAATCGCTTGAACCCGGGAGATGGAGGTTGCAGTGAGCCGAGATCGCGTCACTGCACTCCAGCCTGGGAGACAGAGCGAGTCTCCGTCTCAAAATAAAATAAATAAATAAATAAATAAATAAATAAATAAAAGCAAACCCACTGTGCTAAAGGAATGTAACAATGCCCTGACAGTCATCTCGCTAAGCCTCTCTTGATAAGATGAGGCTGGCCAGGTAGTGAAAGGGTTTAGACCTGGTTGGAAAGCGACTGTGTCTACATGAAATGGGGGTTATTTTATCCTCAGGCTGCTGCGGCATCCACATGCCTGCTCTGAGGTGGCGGGACACGGTTCGTGACCAGCTGAACTGAGGGTGGGGTGGGAGGACTGAAGGTTTGGAAGCTGTGAGGATAATGATGGCACTGGCTTTGATCTTGTTAACTGTGAGATGCTGCTCAGACACATTGGGGTGAGGTCTGTGGCCAGCTTTCACTATGGGTGTGGACAGAGAAGGGGTTTGAGTTGGAGACAGACGGGAAAGTTATCAGGGGGAAGTGACGGCCGACCACCTGAGAGTGGTTTCACTTCCTGGAGGATACACATTTACATATATTAAAAAAAGAGCTGAGTGCCAGACCCTGTAAAAACAATCTGAAAATCAGTCAAAGAAGACAGATCTAGCTAAAAAGACGGAGAAATCCACGTGGCCAGAGTAAATAAATGAAACAATGCAATGAAAGCAGCTCTTCTCATCAACAATTTTTATGGCAATTTTGAAACATCTA
The DNA here is from genome assembly GCF_000001405.40 of Homo sapiens. NCBI lineage: Eukaryota > Metazoa > Chordata > Mammalia > Primates > Hominidae > Homo > Homo sapiens. The sequence continues at coordinate 130,751,583 of NC_000012.12, read as the reverse complement.
AGAAGGGGGAAAGAATTGTTCTGTAACACGGACGAACCACCATCTGGATTCTGCGGTTAGCATTTGGCAGCATCCATCATCTCACCGTCACTCTCTCCATCATGGAATCCGTCGTAGTAGTCTTTAACCAAAAGCAGCTTTTAAAATTCTGAAATTGAATTATAGACTCAATTCTAACTTTCAATTACACAATTGAAAGTTACGTCGGCATCCTAAAGTCCCTTCCACTCCATAGGGTAATATTTAGATCAAATCTTCCTAATGGTAAATGTCCTAGAAGCCAGTGCAGCTCACAAATAAAGAATCTCATTTCAAGAGAGCAACTGTGAACTCAGGGTAATGAAATCTGTCCAAATACACAGGTGATTGAAAAAGCGTGCCAACCTTTCATTGTATGAATGGAGAATACCTTGGGCCTCTTCAAGCTGGGACCATGCAGGGCAAACCTGCCTCCCATTCTATTCAAAGTCACCCCTCTGCTCAGAGATAGATGTATATTCTGATTGCCTCTTTTGGAAAGACTTATCAGAAACTCAAAAGAATGCAACCATCTGTCTCTCACCTACCTGTCACCTGGAAGCCCCCAGTGTAGGGGACTTGCTTTGAGTTGTCCCCACCTTTCTCTACAGAACCAATGTACTTCTTACATGTATTGATTGGCATCTCATGTGTCCCTAAAATGTATAAAGCCAAGCTGTGCCCCGACCACCTTGGGCATGTGTCATCAGGACCTCCTGAGGCTGGGGCATGGGTGGGTCCTCAACCTTGGCAAAATAAACTTTCTAAATTAACTGAGATCTGTCTCAAATTTTCAGGGTTCACAGTTAGTTAAACATGGGACGATCGAGGTAGCCAATACTCATGTGTGCAAGGCACTGTTCTCAGCGCCGTTCACGGATTCCCTTATTTCAGGTTCATACAAACCTACGCAAACCAAAAATAAAATTCTAAGGCCCCCAGCCTTCTGAATGGGCCCTTCCTCTCGCCTAAGGGCATTCCAAATTGAACCTGAAAAACTAGTTCAGGGCATGATGGAAAGCGCAGGTCAGTCATGCCTCATTTTCCTATCCTACCTTTTTTTTTCTGAGATGGAGTCTTGCTCTGTCACCCAGGCTGGTGCAATCTAGACTCACTGCAACCTCTGCCTCCTGGGTTCAAGTGATTCATGTGGCCTCAGCCTCCCAGGTAGCTGGGATTACAGGTGTGCACCACCATGCCCAGCTAAATTTTGTATTTTTAGTAGAGATGGGGTTTCACCATGTTGGCTAGGCTGGTGTTGAACTCCTGACCTCAAGTGATCCTCCTGCCTCAGCCTCCTAAAGTGCTGGGATTACAGGCGTGAGCCACTGCGCCTGGCCTTCCTCTCCTTCCTTTTGGAACTCAGGAAAAGCTGATTAGCATTTAACATCAACGCAGACCCTAAGTCTGAAAAGAAACATTTACAGTCTATTTTCTCTGAAGTCTGCTACCTGGAGGCCTCATCGGCATCATGAAACCTTGCTCTCCACAACCCCTTATTGTAACCCAGACATTTATTTCTATTGATAGTAATGCTTTCAACCTGTGAACCTAGAACATTTGACGGAGGTCTCAGTTACTATTTAGAAAGTTTATTTTGCCAAGGTTGAAGACACACACCCATGACCCAGCCTCAGGAAGTCCTGATGACATGTGCCCAAGGTGGTCGGGCACAGGTTGGTTTTACACATTTTAGGGAGACATGAGACGTCAATCAATATATGTAGGAAGTACACTGGTTCGGTCTGGAAAGGTGGGACAACTGGAAGCAAAGGCAGGAAGACTCGAAGCTGGGAGGGGACTTCCAGGTCACTGGTAGGTGAGACACAAATGGTTGTATTCTTTTGAGTTTCTGATGAGCTTTGCCAGTGGAGGCAGATCAGATATGTGTCTATCTCAGTGAGCAGAGGGATGACTTTGAATAGAATGGGAGGCAGATTTGCCCTCAGCAGTTCTTAGCTTGAGTTTTCTTTAGTGATTTTGGGGGCCCAAGATATTTTCCTTTCACAAACCAACTGCTAATCAGAAAATTTTAAATTTACATTTGACCTGGAAGCCCCACCCCTGCTTTGAGTTGTCCCACCCTTGCAGATGGAACCAATGTAAATCTTACATGTATTTGGTGGAGGTCTCGTGTCTCCCTTAATATGCATAAAAGTAGGCTGTGCCCCCACCACCTGGGGCACAGGTTCTCAGCACCCCCTGAGGGCTGTGTCACGGGTCATGGTCATTCATATTTGGCTCAGAATAAGCTTCGAATATTTTACAGAGTCCGACTCTTCGTCGATACCTGTGGGGCATCAGCGCTCTCATCATTCCGTTTTATGGATGAAGAAACTGAGGCCCAGAGAGTTTAGGTGACCTGCCCAGGGTCCCACAGCTGGTCAGGGGCCATGCTGGGATTTCACCAGAGCCCAGATCTCTGGCACCTGTCAGCACACCATGCTGCCTCCCAGACAAAGCAAAGAGGTGCCATCTTAAACCCTCCAAGTTAGCCGCGATCTGTAAAAAAGGATGATGCTTCCTGTTGGCAGGGATGCAGCGAGAGAGGCCTGCCCACAGGAATGTAAATCGGTGCATCCCGGAAGGCTGTTTGGCAACATGACCCAAGAGCCATGAAATGCGTGTGTCGACTGATCCAGGCATTTTGTTCCCAGGAATAAATGGCCATGAAACAATGCAAGAGGTGGAGCCAATGTCCTATCCAGGGGTATTCGCCGGAGAATTTGACGAGTGAGGCACCAAGCAGCAGAAGATGCTTATTGTATACATTATGAAATGCTCCTGTAATAGTAATGTTCACAGGTCACGATTTAAAGAAAAATTTATATGATGAGAAAGTGTTTACTCTGTAGAACACATCAGGTTACAAAACAGAATTTAGGAAAACAAAATAAAATCACAACCGTCTTCATCTACTGTTATATGTGTATACAAATACACGTAATTATAATGTATGTATAGTCCATAAAATAATAACATAAAATACATTGGAAAGGTAGGTCCCAAAAATACCAGCAACGGTTATTTCAAAGAAGGGCTTTTTGGGGTGGACTTGACATTTTGCTTTGGGCTTTTTTGTGTCTTCTGCAAGGGGCATGCATTACTGTATTACCTTAGGCATCTGAATGCTATCCTTCCATTCTCATAGTGGTAGTTACAGAAGAGGCTGCAGTCAGCTCAAACGCTTCCCTTTTTTATTGCGGGTGCAGAGGCTTCGAGGGAGAGGGAAAGCTGTCAGTAGGTGGCGCCAGAGGGTGGCAGTTGTCTCAGGCTGCGTCAGGGCTGGTGCGAGCCAGCCTGGCCTTAAAGTGAAGCCCCTGGTTCTCTGCCATCCCATGTGCAACTGGTGATTTTGCAATTTCTGCATGTGTGTGGGGCCTGGCTCCCCTGTGGCTGGAGGCCTGCATGGAGCAGGGGGCATGCCAAGCTAGACAGTGACAAATTACTACCATCGAGGGCACCTAAGCACACCTTGGGCTCTATAAAGCACAGCCAGAGCCAAGTGCTGCCCTTAAAAATCAGATAATCTCAGGCGGTTGTGAAGCAAAGTGAAAACAGGAAAATGCAAGGGGCGGAGAAGCTGTCGGTGGAGAGAGAAACAGTGGAGAGTTCTGCCAAGAAGCTTATGCAGCTTTTTCCTCTGAGGGGACAGAGAGGCTGGGAGAGTGGAGAGCTGACCCTGTTGGTCTAAACCCTTTCCTATGGAGGGAGCAGGAGTGAAAATAGCAACCCTGAGGACACGGATACTTTAGGTCAGTGTAGCAGTTGAGAGACTTTGACCTGGACATAGAAGCCAGAGATGTATGGGTTCAGGCTCTCAGAAAAAATGGAGTCAGTTTCTCCCTCCATTAATGAGAATAGATAAACCCAGCTCAGCTAAATTCTTTTTTTTTTTTCTGTTGCCAGGCTGGAGTGCAGTGGCACGATCTCAGCTCACTGCAACCTCTGCCTCCCAGGTTCAAGCAATTCCCCTGCCTCAGCCTCCCGAGTAGCTGGGAGTACAGGCGCCCGCCACCACACCCCACTAATTTTTGTATTTTAGTAGAGACAGTGTTTCACCCTGTTGGCCAGGATGGTCTCCATCTCCTGACTTCATGATCTGCCTGCCTCGGCCTCCCAAAGTGCTGGGACTACAGGTGTGAGCCACTGTGCCCGGCCAGCTCAGCTAAATTCCAAAAGTGTTTATTGACTACCTTGGAAATGATCATAATGATGATAATAGTAATTACAATTGCCACCAACATTTATGAAACCCTTACTGTGTTAAGTACTTAACATGGGTTATTGCATTTAAGCCCCACCATGGTCCAGCAGGTGGATATGACTGCCATCATCCCCGAATTACACATGAGGGCACTGAAGCTTAAAGAGGTGAAACAACTTTTCCAAGGTCACCCGTGGCTAGGTCTTATTGCACACTTAATAGGAGCCAAGGAGAGTGAGTCACGATAGGGCAGGTTATGCTGCTGTAACAAACACATTGAAAACCTCAGTGGTTGAAAAATATGTTTATTTCTCAATCATGTTATATGTCCATTATATGTCATCAAGAGGGCTCTGCTTGTTGTAGTTCCTAGGGGTCTGGGTGGAAGGAAGCTCCATCTGAAAGCATTTTTCCATGTGGGTAGAGACAAGGAAAAGATCATGGTAAACCACACATGGACTCCTAGAGCGCCTCACCTGAAGTGACATGCACACCAATGACTGCTCACAGTGTGTTGGCCGGAGCAGGTGCCATGGCTCTGCTTCAGTCAGTAGAGGGGGATGGGCACGAATATGTTCCTCTTGCAAGAAAGGGAACCAAGTATCTGGTTTCCTTATTCTCCATAGCAGGGGTCCCCACTCTAGCCACAGAGTGGTGCCATTAGGAACCGCACCACACGGCAGGAGGTGAGTGGTGGACGAGCGTGACCACCTGAGCTCCGCCCCCTGTCAGGCCAGCAGCAGCATTAGATTCTCATAGCAGCTCAAACCCTGTTGTGAACTGTGCGTGTGAGGGGTCTAGGTTGCCTGCTCCTTAGGAGAATCCAATGCCTGATGATCTGAGGTGGAACCCCTCCCCACCTCGGTCTGTGGGAAAAACCGTCTTCCATGAAACCGGTCTCAGGTGCCAAAAGTTTGGGGACGGCTGCTCTCTGGCTCCTATTAACGTGCATTGGTTTGGAAAAAGTGCATTATTTTATTTGATTTTACAACACGCTGTGTCAGGCGTTATTATTATTTTTGTTTTATGCAAGAGAAAACAGAGTTTCTGTAGCACACCCGGCTCACATGGCTACTAAGTGGAGCAGGTATGATTCAACCTTAGCTCTGTTCCAGCCTCAAAGCCCAGTTCTTCAAAAACAGTTATATCCCATGGCGGGGAGGGGGTCTCAGTAGATATGTTCCAGGAAGAGTACGCTTCTTGGTTTATAAAATAAGATATGATATTAAATATTTGGTATTTAAATATTGCATTTAAATATTCGTATATATTTAAATACAATTTAAACATTACATTTAAATATTCATGTATATTTAAATACAATTTAAAAATTGCATTTAAATCTTTGTGTATATATTGTTCCATTATTTAAATATTGTATTTAAATATTGTACATGGTATATGTATGTTATATGTACATACATGTGTATATACACATATCCACATATATACACATATATGTATATGTAACATGTGTATATATACATATACATATATATAACATATACAATATTGAATATTATATATATATGATATACATATATCACTTCTCAGGAATGTGTTTAAAGAGAAAATGTAAATTTTGGGTCCCTAAGTTCAACACAATATTTTAAACAAAATGATAAGTGGACAAAATCTCAACTCACACTCAACATGCAATGGGTAGAGCCTTGAAATCTTGTGTAGATATTTTGAAAAGGTCACCCAGTGTCAGCAAAAGAACCGGGCATCTCACCAGGCATCTCAGACGTTATGGCACTAAGGGAGAAATCCTGGAGCTACCGCATTCAAAACGACGGTTTGTAACAATCTCATGAATTGCTTGATGGCCAGGGAGTGATGTTCTGAGATTTCTACCTACTAACACAACAACGCGTTGTGTATATTTAGGGCATGTACTGGTTTTCAGTTATGTTTTAGGAAATTGGGTGGCACGTTTGGGTTTATGTGTAGCATGGAATAGCTTAGTAATAGAAAGAAACTAGGATTCTGGAGAGGACTTTCACAAAGAAATTCCGATATTTTGGGAAGAGATTGTTGAGGTACTAAATGAGAGATGAATAGTGGAATCAAGTATGTGGTACAGTTGAAAAATACTACAAATTCTTGAGTCCCTGACATCAAGACATAGAATGGGAAATAAGACCTACGCACCTGTCTGTGTGTGCACAGGTATGCATGTGTGTGCACATATGCTTATGTTCAGATGGAGGCTGTCCGTCTGAACTTAAAAAATAAGGACTAATCAAAATATCCTCCAGGGACTCTAAGAAATAACCGAGACAGGGGTTGGGGTGGCCTAAGAGACTCTGTTATGTACGCTGTGGTAATAAACCTGTGAACAGCACATTGCTATGTTAATTCACACTTGTAGACATGTTGGCAACACATACGGATATTTAGTCTTTGGAAGACTCTGGGGAAATCTCCTGTGTGAAGCATAAAACCCCTAGCATTACCATAAAATGATGTTTCTTCTTTCCAATTATACTGGGCTTTTTGGAATCGTCGTCTCTTAACTTAAAGGATTATCTTTCAGCGGTAGAATATTCGATCTTTGAGCAATAGGTTGTTGCATGAGATGTATTTACACCAAGATTTCATCCTGGCCCTTTCACTGGTACCATTCTTTCTTTAGCTGCTTCTGCCCCAAGAGTCTTATCGTCCTCTCATTCCAGTGTTGTGTATTTTAGTTGCTGTTGTTTCTGGATCATGCATTAAGCAGTAAGCATGATATTGACAGTTTTCTGTGTCCTTTCCTGAGGTGGGCTGGAGAGGATCTGTTCCTGGAACTAGATTTCCTTTCTGGATCTGTTGACAAATGAATCTCACACACAACTTCTCTGCTGGCATCAGCATTTGCTATTCCCCATGGAGTCCAGGGTTCATAGCTTTTCTGGGCATGAACCCTATGATCTATCAGCCAACTGGACAAACAGACCAGGCAGAAGAGCTGCTCGCAAAGCCAGAAACGTGTGCATGAGCTGCTGGGTGGCTCAGGGAAGGTGGGCTGGAGCAGCTTGGCGCTTAGTTACCAGTCTCGTGGAGACCCTCGCTGGTGTTTTAAACATCCTTCCTGCTGGGCTCACCTCTTAAACACATCAGCAGTATCTCAGTAGCGAAGTAGATGTGGAGGACGCTGACTCTGGGAAGGAGAGGAGGAGTGGTCAGCCTCATGCAGAGCCTTCCCCCAGTGGGAATGTCACCTGAATTAGGGCCTAAGAGCTGCTCATATTTTAACTGAAAACTACCTTGTGGGGAGAAGGACAGGAAGAAACCCTAAGAAAATATAGTGCGGTCTATTTTACTACAACTATATCTGGAGCTTAAAATGAAAAGGAAGAAAATTGTTACATTCGTTTAAAATGGGTTTGAGCAAAGCAATAGAATACATGGCTAACAGTGGCTTAACACATAGGGCTTTGTTTTTCTCACAAGAGGAGGGGTTTGAATATGGTCAACTGAGAGCAAGGATTCAATGCATCGAGGATGCCTGGCTGTCGTTCTTATGATTCTCTGGGCCTTTGCCTCGTGGTTGAAGGATGGCTGCCACAGCTCCAGCCATCACATCTGAATTCAGAATGGGAAGCAGGAGAATGAGGAATGAGGGATAACACTAATTTCATTTGTTTCCTCTTATAAGGAAAGCCAGCACTTTCCCAGAACTCTCTCCTCTCTATGCCCGTCAGATTTTTGCTTAGACCTCATTGGCCAGAAGAGTGTAACACAGCTACCTGTTGCTCCAGCAGAATCAGGGTTCACTGCCACCCTGAATTAATCAGTATATTTCTGTTTATATAGGAAAAGGGGTGAATGGATATCAGAAAGCATTAGCAGTATCTGTCCCATTAGGGGTACTGAGTTTTGCCTAATGACTTTCTCCTCTTCTGTTTAGGAGAACTGTTCACCCTGTACCTCACCAGGGAGAGGGCGATGCCCTCTGCAAGGGTTCTCTCCACCAAATCCAAAGGTCATCAGTGCCACAGAGAATCCCAGCCCCTCCAGCAGGTGCCCAGGGATGCCAGTCTGGACAGACACCCAGAAATCAGTCTACTGGAGGTGAACAGTGAGGGCCTGGGGTGGGGTCGGTGTTCAGGTAGCTCAGAGTAAATGCCCTTTGCATTACTGGCCTGTAGATAAATGAGCCTGGAGAGCATGGCCCCCAGGAATGACACAAAGAAAAGAGCTTTCTCTGTCTTTGGGATGATTTAGAGATTTTTCTACTGCCTTAAAAAACTTTTATTATTTTGATATAATTTAATGCAGAAAAGCAGCAAGAATAGTGTAAATAACTCCTTCAAACCTTTATCCAGAATTATTAAACTGTTTATATTTTGCCCCAATTTTTTATCATTGGTTTCTTGGTATCTATCTATCTATCTATCTATCTATCTATCTATCTATCTATCTATATCTATTAATCATCTATCAATCTATTGATCATCTATTATCTATCATCTGGCTATTATCTATCATCTGTCTACCTATCACCTATCTATTACCTTATTACCTATCAATTATCTATCTATCCATCTTCTATCTGTCATCCCTCTATCGTCTGCTATCCATACAGAGAGAAGAGAGGGAAATAGAGGAAAGAGATTTTCCCCCAGAATTATCTATTTGAAAGTAAATTCAGATATCTTATCCTTTATCCTTAATATTTCAGTGTGTTTTTTTCTAAAAACAAGGAGATTCTCTTATACCACCACAATACAAAGTTCAAAATCTGAAAATCTAATACTGATACAATACTATGACCTAATCTGCAGTCCCTATTCTCATTTGATCAACTGCCCCAATAACTTCCTAATGGCCACTTTGTTTCCCAGTCCAGAGGCCGACCCAGGATCTCACACTGCATGTGTTGGCCACGTGTTCCAGTCTCCTTCCATCTGGAGCAGTCCCCGTCTCTTTGACCCGATTGAAGAGTATAGCAAGTTACTCTGCAGGCCGTCCCTGGGTTTGGGTTTGCTTGGTGTTTCGTCATGATTTGGTTTAGTTGTGCGTCCTTGGCAGGCCCATGATATGTAGATAAGTTACTGTGGAAGTGACGTCCTGGCCTCAGTATCCCTATCAGGACGCGCAGGACTTTGGTCGGTCCCGCTGCTGGTGATGTTGACTTTGGTCGCCTGGTTCAGGTAGTGTCTGTTATAGATTTCCCACTCTGAGGCTACTGGTTTCCCCTTTGTAATTAATAAATAGTTCATGGGGAGATGCTTTGAAGCTGTGTAAATATCTGGTATTTCACCCATATATTAGAGGTGCAGCCCCCATAGCTTTTTTACCAGTAGGGATATCTAAAATTTAGAAATCTTTGATCATTCCTGCCAGTAGAGGTATGCTAAATATATGTATATGATCAAAATGTTTGGAAAAAACTTTGACCAAAAACAAACAAAACATTTGACCAGGGAACAGCAAACGTTTTCTGTAAAGAATGAGACAGTAAATATTTTAGGCTCAGCTGGCCTTATAGTCTCTGTCACTACTAGTTAACCTTGCCATAAGAGTGCAGAAGCTGCCATGGAGAATATGTAAGCAATTAGCTGTGACAGCGTTCCATTAAAACTTCATTTATAAAAACAAGCGGTGGGCCAGAATTGGTTCATGGGCCATAGTCTACTGATCTGCACCTTATGCCACAGTCAACTTGTTTGGCCCTGAAAACTCAGAATTCCTCCTTAGGGGTGATATTTCTACTCTCTAGCCTCTGACCTAGAAGCTTTAGGGTCTTAATTGCTGGCACATAAATTTGCAATGAAGGAATCAAATTGTGCAGCAGCCTGTTGTATGATCTCAAGGGCGCTGACATCAACTGGGCTTAGAACGGCCAAGTCCCCTTTGCCTGTGTCAAGAGGTTTTCCTCTAGAAACTTGTATTAGTCTTTTCTCATGCTGCTAATAAACACATACTCGAGACTGGGCAATTTACAAAGGAAAGAGGTTTAATGGACTCATAGTTCCACCTGGCTGGGGAGGCCTCACAATCATTGCAGAAGGCCAGGAGAAGCAAAGGCATGTCTTACATGGCGGCAGGCAAGAGAGAAAGATCAGCTCTCGTGAGACTCGTTCACTCCCACAAGAACAGTATGGGGAAAACCGCCCACATGATTCCGTCATCTCCAACTGGGTCCCTCCCACAACATGTGGGAATTGTGGGAGCTACAGTTCAAGATGAGATTTGGGTGGGGAACAGCCAAACTATATCAAAATTATTATAAAGAAGGACCTCAACCAAGAGCTGACACACATGGGTTTTGTTTGTCTTGTACAGTTTTAAATTAATCTGAGTTATTTTTGGTGGGCATGGGCTCCTCCAGTTCCCACGAGCCCCACTCCCTGCTTCTGCCTCCCGCCTCCCCGCATTTATGGGTTCCGCTTGACCGTGAGATGATGTTTCTTTTCCACCTCTTTGTGAGGTCTTGACAATTAGGGAATCATTTTCTAGAATTCCTATCTCTTGCAGCCATAGGATGCTAAATCCCAAAAGGAAAATTCACCAAATCAGGATGTTTATATTTAGTGCCTCAATTAGCCACACTCCAAGAAGAGAATTTTCATCATTGTAAGGCACACTCCAGGGAACCCAGCGCTTCAGAAGGATGTGGCTCTTTGCTTAGTTTGTTTAGCTCTGTCTGGTTGTGCAGATTGGGCAACATAACCTGGATCGGCCAGGACACTTCTGGATCAAAGTGTTGCACCCACAGCCGGTTCTTGGTGGCACAAGAGCCCAGGCTTCTAGTCCCAGGGTGTTTCGGGTGGGCGCCAGCAAGTCAGCAGCCGAGGGGAATGAGTGTTCTAGGCTTGGGGGTTGGTTGGAGACAATCTGTTAGTTTATTTTCTCAGAGAGGGAGGTTTGTGGGCAATTCCCACAGTGGGACTAGATTGAGATAGTCAACCTTCTGTGTGATAGCTGCCACACAGGCTTGACCAGCAGTGGGGTTCTTGCTCCTGGATTTCCAGCCAATGGGGCAGGGGTGTCAGCCAGTGAAACACACAACGTGAAGATGTCCGGCACTGGCGGAAACATGCAGCGTGAGCACATGTAGGAACGTATCTGGGGAGACGTATATATGTGGACTCTGTAGGAATCTGTCTATCGGGGAAGGATGTGGGGGTGCTGGAGACCCACATCTCAAGCCATCTCTGTGTATTCTGTTTTTTTTTCCTTTGCAAAGAGGATTGATACGTATTTTAAAAAGTTGAAGTGGATGTTTCATGCTCATGTTTTGCAGCCCTGATTTTGGGGTTTTGGAAATAGTCCAGCAAAAGTTTGCCTGATTCCATTAAAAAATCCAAATACAGACTTTCTCATCGCAAGAGAACCTTCTCTTTACCAGAGCACTGGGAGCACCCAGACCGTGGAGGGGACCCTCTTAGGGGGAAAGGTCAAACTGGAGTCACTGAGCTGAAGCCGCTCGGTGTCAGGTGGAACCAAGTGTCCCCAAAGGGCCCTCTCCTGGGCTTCCTCCCGTGGGGGCCCCTCTGCGGGGATGGGGTCACTGGCCGTCTCTCACGCCCTGCTTTCCCTCTCATGCTGTATCTGTGGTCTATCCTTATGCCTGGCAGGTGTCACCAACTTTAAGTTGTGCGACTTGGGGCTCACACACTCACACCCTTCCAGGGTGGGAGGGACGAACAAGCGGGTGAAGCCAGACAGAGGATGCTGGGGTGGGCAGGGGAGCGGAGGGCCCAAGGACAGTGGGCACCCCCTGCCCAGAGGCTGCCAACTGCTGGCCTGAGGGCAGAGGGCCAGTGTCCCTAGATCTGGTTTTTCAAGAGAAGTCAGAAATCTGGAATTGCGTGTGCAACCCCCAGATTTTTAAATCTTGCCATCAAATTCAGTTTAAAAATTGGGTGGACCAAAATGTATACAGGCTCAGTTCCACCTCAGGCTGCAGGCTGACTTGTGGAATCAGTTCAAGGGCACTGTAAGGTCATAGTTATCCTGGAGGACGTGTTAGTCTCTGGGTTTGCTGAATAATCCAGCTGTGCCAGTTAGGCCTGGGCGCAGCTGCTTCTACAGGCAAAAATAATAGTGGCTTAGACATAGACGTTTACTCCTTTCTCATGTAACAGAAATCTAGGGCTGAGGTGGGCAGATCATCTGAGCTGAGGAGTTCAAGACCAGCCTGGTCCACATGGTGAAACCCTGTCTCTACAAAAAATACAAACATTAGCTGGGCGCAGTGATACACACTTGTAATCCCAGCTACTTGGGAGGCTGAGGCAGGAGAATCGCTTGAGCCCAGGAGGTGGAGGCTGCAGTGAACAAAGATCATGTCATTGCACTCTAGCTGGGGCAACCAGAGTGAAACCTTGTCTAAAAAAAAAAAAAAAAAAAAAAAAAATTCCAGAAGCTAGTTTGGCAGCTCCAAGAGGGACTGAGCTTTTATCTTTTTGCTTTATCATCCTCATGTGAAGACTCCATTCTTAAGGTGACCTCATAGGCCAGTATGGTGGCTGAAGCTCCAGCCATCACATCCACATTCCAGGTGGTAGACCAGAAGAAGGGGAAATGGGACAAGAATGCCCCTCCCAGAGGGGCCTACCTTTAAGCAGCCTTTCCTGCAGTTTGACACACAATCTCCTCTTATACTCATTGGCTGGACTTAGATGTGCAGGAACTTAATTAAGGAACTTAATTTTTATTCTGGACAGCAATGTGGCCAGATAAAAATCTGGGTTCTATTACTGGAGACAATTATAAGGGTAAATATTGTGTGGATAAAGAAAATGTGGCACACATACACCATGGAATACTATGCAGCCATAAAAAAGGATGAGTTCATGTCCTTTGCAGGGACATGGATGAAGCTGGAAACCATCATTCTCAGCAAACTAACACAAGAACAGACAACCAAACACCGCATGTTCTTACTCATAAGTGGGAGTTGAACAATGTGAACACATGGACACGGGAACATCACACACCGAGACCTGTCGAGGGTGGAGGGGCTGGGGGAGGGATAGCATTAGGAGAAATACCTAATGTAGATGACGGGTTGATGGGTGCAGCAAACTGCCATGGCACATGTATACCTGTGTAACAAACCTGCACAACAAACCTGCGCATTCTGCACATGTATTCCAGAACTTAAAGTATAATAAATTTTTTTAAAGGTAAATATTATGTAGCATCTAACTTTTATTTTTAAAAAAGGAATTCTTCACTTAGGTGATCTCATGGGGGAGGTCAGAGGGAGGCACTGGACCAGTTTGAGGGGACAGCGCATGACTCCCTCCTGCCTCGGGTCTGAACTTTCCTGCAGTGACCACCCTTCCTCCCGGGTCATAAGGAATTCTAAAAACAACAAGCAGACCGACAAAAATGACGATGGTGATGGCGCGGGACTTACCTGCAGCCTCTGTCTGCCGTCTCCTGCTTCTCCCTAGGTCTCAGTGCAGATGCCTCCTGCCCAGGGCGACTTTCTGCATCCCTGGAGTGGCTCGGGACCCCTGTTCTGTGTTCCCACAGCTCTCAGCACTTTTCCTTCATGCACGTTGCTGCAGTTTGCAATGACAGCTTCTGCGACTAGAGTGCTGATGCCAGTCCCTCCCCAAGGGCAGGCCTGAGCCCACTGCTTTCACCGTTGTGTGTCCCAGTGCAGGAGCCTGCACGTAGGGGCCACGCGACAAAGAATTGCTGAATGAATGAGTTACCACAGGACCCGATATAAAAATAAAGGGAACTATAAGACCAGATGATAAGCAAAATAAAAAAAATAAAACTGGAGAACTAAGAGAGCTAAAATCATGTAAGTAGAAAAATTTAATAGCTCAAGAGCTAGATCTCAAGGCATCTTCTTTTTAAGATAAGGAAAGCTAAAGGTGGGAATCAGTAGCGGAAGAACAAAAGGAGGAAATAAAATAGTTAAAACAGGGGCAGTAGAGAGACGGCTGGCTCCAGCTCTGACGTGTAGGAAGCCCAGAAGCCATCATTTACTTCCAGCAAGAAACAGCTGAACAGGCTCAGAACCCGAGGATGTCCTCGGCCCCCTCAGAGAACAGGTTGTGGATGAGCCACCACCCCGAAATCTGGAAGGATGGGTGAATGCAGGCCTGGGGCAGAAGTCGTGGAAACCTCGAATGAGTGGGGGAGGATGGGAACACCCCGGTGGTGACTTTGCTGAGCTGCTGGAGGTTGAGTGTGGAAGCTTGAGAGTGAGAAACCCTGGGGCCTCCCTCCTAGGGGTCCCTCACACTCCTGCGGTTCAAACCTCCAGGAAGCCCACACGTTCTCACAAGTGAAGGTCCAAGAAAGATCCCCGTTGGCTCTGGAAAGGGGAGCAGAAGAGTCACCCTTGTGGAATCTGCCCAGAGTGTTCTCCCCAACACAGGCTTGCTCCGAGGCCTGCCGAGGCTGGGGAGGCACTTCTTCCACCCCGGCCCTCTTTAGCCTCCCTGTCTCACCCAAGGGGAACAGAAAAGCTACGTCACTGGAGGAACACTTGTGAAGGTCATAGCCCCTAAAAACGGAGACTCCATCGTGGGATGACTGGATGCTTTCCTTCCCCCACACCTCACCGCCACACATACACGGCTCCGGTGCCGTAACCCTGGGTTCCAGCCGAAAGGGCTGCAAGATGTGGACCCTCCCTGAGGAGGAGGACTTAGGGAAGCCCCAGGTCAACAGGTGAGACACCAGCAGGGACGTTAGAGGAGCCGGAAGCCTCCGGCACCGGCAGCTGCAGCAACCAGTCAGCACAACCCAGGCCCAGCCATGTACGTCCTCAGGCTGCAGCCCTGCTCACCTCAGTCCTGTTACCTGGCACAGCATGTCTGGTCTCAACAGAAAATTGCAAAGCCTGTAAAAAGGGAAGAGAAAAATACAGACAAAGTAACCATCAGAGCCAGACTTAAAGATGACACAGATGTTGGAATTACCGTACAAGGATTTAAAAGAACTACGATTGATGTGTTAAAGGCTGTAATGGAAGAAGTGGACAACATGTAAGAACAGATGGGTAAATGTGGCTGCAGGTACAGAGTTTCACGTGTGCAGGATGAATACGTTCTGGAGATTGAATGAGCGGCATGATGATTATGTTTAATAATACTGTATTGCAGACTTAAAACCTGCTAAGAGAGCAGATCTGAAATGTTCTCATCACACACAAATACCAAAAGGTAACTGTGTTGCTGGCTGTGTTAGCTTGATAGTGGTAATCATTTCACAGTGTGTAGGTGGAGCAAAACATCACATTGTATACCTTAAATAGATATGATTTTTATTTGTCAATTATACGTCAATAAACTTGGGGGAAAAAAGAACAGATGGGTAGGTAGAGAAATGAAAATGCTAAAAAGGAATCACAGAAAATGCTAGAAATGAAAATCACTGAAACAAAAATGGTGAAATCCTTTCCCGGACTCATCGGTAGATCGGGCGTGGCCCAGGCGAGTCAGTGAACTTCAAAGCAGGTCGGCAGAAACTTCCCAACCTGACATGAGAAAAACACAATGGGAAAACAAACAGCAAAACAAGTCAAGTCGAAACAACATTCAACAACTGCGGGACAATATCAAACGTGTCATATACGTATAGCTGGAATATTAGAAGGAAAAGAGATTAGAGCAGAATAAATATTTCAAGTAATAAGGGCTGATAAATTTCTGAAATTAATGTCAGAACCGAACCAAAGATCCTGGAAGCTCAGAGAACACCAAGCGGGAAATATACCAACAGACATGGCTGGACATGGTACAGTCACACCGCGGAAAACCAATGGAGAGACAGCCTTGGGAGAAGCCGGGGGAAATCACCTGACTTGTGCAGGAACAGGGATAAGAATTCCAGGGGAATTTTCACCAGAAACCACATACGCAAGAAGAGAGAGGAGTGAAACATTTAAAGTGTCAGGGACACACACACACACACACACCCCAACCTAGAATTCTATATCCACCAAAATTATCCTTCAAAAATGAAGGAGAAACAAAGACTTTCTCGGACAAAAACAAAAACAGAGGGAACCAGGGAAATGAAAATTAAAACCACAGTGAGATATCACCTGATGGCCATTATTAAAAAGCCAAAAAACAATAGATGTTGGCTTAGATGCGTTGAAAAAGGAGGATGTGTACACTGCTGGTGGACATGTGCCTTAGTTCCACCTCTGGAAAACAGCATGCAGATTCCTTAAAGAACTAAAAGGCGGTCCCATCACTGGATCCAGCAATCCCACTACTGAGTGCACAAAGGAAGTCATTGTAAGAAAAACACACACACACACAGCGGTGTGTTTATTGCAGCCCAGTTCACAATTGCAAAGATATGGAGCCAACCCAAGTGCCCGTCAGCTGATGAGTGGATGGAGAGAATGTGGTATGTCTACACCACGGAATACTTCGCAAACTCAGCTGTAGAAAAGAATGACAGAATTTCTTTCACAGCAGCTTGGATGGAGCGGGAGGCCATTCTTCTAAGTGAAATAACTCAGGAATGGAAAACAAGGACCACGTGTTCTCACATATCAGTGGGTGCTAAGCTCTGGGTATGCAAAGGTCGACAGGGTGATAGAGTGGACACTGGCGACTCAGGAAGGGGAGGCTTTGCAGGGAGGGAGGAAAAACTACTCATTGGGTACAATGTACACTACTTGGATGACAGGTGTGCTACAATCTCCGACTTCACCGATATACAATTCATCCATGTAACCCCAAACCACTTGTACCTTGAAAGCTATAGAAATAAAAAAAAATGTATAAAAACAGAGAGAAGTCACCACCACCAGACCTGCCCTGCAAGAAACATTAAAAGAAGTTCTTGCGGGAAAAGAAAAACAGTATGTCAGAAACTCAGATCTATAGAAACAAGAGTGTTGGGGAGGGAATACGAGGTGGTAAGGTCTTTGATTTTTCTTACTCTTAATTGATCTAAAATAGAATGTCTTGCTTGGCATCATAATAGTAATAATGCATTGGATGATTCTAGATTCTGGTTAATTGAAGTAAACGGCCATGTCACAAGGAACGGGAGACGTAAACCAGGACGCCCCACCACAAAGAGTCTGCACTCACTCGGGCTGGAGCCGTGTTATTCCAAGGTGGACTATAGTTCAGGTGAATGTCCGTGGAGAGCTCCAGCACAGGCACTGGAAAGATTTCGAAAATGTATATAAGTGAAGGTCAAAGAGAGAAATCATATCAAACACTCACCCAAAACCAATAAGGGCAGAAAAAAGGATATTAAGAAAAAAGTATGAACGACACTATGTCCACAAATGTAATAATTTTTTTTTTTTTTTTGAGACGGAGTCTTCCTCTGTCGCCAGGCTGGAGTGCAGTGGCACGATCTCAGCTCACTGCAACCTCCACCTCCCAGGTTCAAGCGATTCTCCTGCCTCAGCCTCCTGGGACTACAGGTGCGCGCCACCACGCCTGGCTAATTTTTATATTTTTAGTAGAGACGGGGTTTCACCATGTTGGCCAGGATGGTCTCGATTTCTTGACCTCTTGATCCACCTGCCTCAGCCTCCCAAAGCGCTGGGATTACAGGCGTGAGCCACTGCGCCTGGCCAAATATGAGAATTTAAATGAAATGGATCAATTCTTTGATAGACCCAATCTGCTAAAACTCACTCAAGAGAAACAGGTGATCTAGATAGTCCCATATCTATTAAAGAAACACAGTGAACACTTAATAAGCGTGCAAAACAAGCACGGCCCAGGTGCTGCAGCCAACATCATAGTTAGTGGCGAGAAACTGGACACTTTCCCTCTAAGATTGGGGACAGGGCAGAGATGTCCCCTCTTACCTGTTCAACTTTGTATACTGCAAGTCCCAGGTAGTGCAGTAAGATGAGAAAAGGAAGTAGGAGATGTACAGATTGGGACAGAAGGAATGAAACTGTCTTTATTTTTATTCGTTTATTTTTTTTGAGATGAAGTCTTGCTCTGTCGTTCAGGCTGGAGTGTAGTGGTGCGATCTTGGCTCACTGCAACCTCCGTCTCCTGGGTTCAAGTGATTCTCCTGCCCCAGCCCCTCCAGTAGCTGGGACTACAGGTGTGTGCCACCACACCTGGCTAATTTTTGTATTTTTGTATTTTTTTTTTTTAGTAGAGACAGGGTTTCACCATGTTGCCCAGGCTGACTCCTGACCTCAAGTGATCTGCCTGCCTCAACTTCCCAAAGTGCTGGGGTTACAGGTGTGAGCCACCACACCTGGCCTCAAGAAATTTTTAAGCACAAAGTACAGTATTGCTGACTGCAGACCTGATGTAGTGTGCCAGATCTCTAGTGCACACTCACCTAGCGTGGCTGAGACTTTACACCATTGATCCACAGCTCCCCGCGCTCCCTCTCCAGCCTACGGCAGCCACCACTCTCCTCTCTGCTTCTGTGAGGCATTTGACAGTTTCAGAGACCTCATCTAAGTGGCATCATACAAGATTTGTCCTTCTGAGACTGGCTTATTCCACTTGGTGCAATGTTAAGGTCCACCCGTGTTGTTGCGTGTTGCAGAACTGACGTCGTTTGAAAGGCTGTGTAGTATTCCACGGTGTGGATCGTGGACCATGTCTGGTGTATCCATTCATCTGTTGATGGACGTGTCAGTTGTTTCCACACCTTGGCTGTTGCAAACAGCGCTGCGTGAAGTCCACATTCTGTCTATGGAAGTCTTGCAGGGTGGGGAAGAGCACAGTGGTGGGAAGCATGCGCAGAAAGCAGGAGGTGGTCGTTGTGAGCAACGCACCTAGGCTGAGACGTGCACTGGGAATAGGACATTGCGTGAGGCATCTGCAACGGCCCAGCCTCTTGTAACAGCCAGGTGGCCCCTACCTGGCCGATAGCTATTGATCACGAAGCCAGCGGCGTCCTTAGCCCAGGGTACTGCGCAAACAACCAAAGCTTGCTCAGGAAAGACTGGATAGTTCGACAAATAACTCAGACATTGACTACAGACGTCACTGGGGGGATTCTGCCCTGAGTCCCTGTGAAGGGATTGGCCAATATCCTCACCACAGGCTGGACACCAAACCCCCTGGCCTGGTCTGTCTTCCTCTTACGTTGTTCAAGATAGACTCCTGCTCATTCCACGTGGCGCCGTCTTGTTCCCTCACAGTTTTCTGAGATCAGAATCATTATTTGGTAAAGATCCTGGTTTAGGAACATTCTAGATTAGCTCTCGGGATGGCCTCATCCATGGTGTTGTGGGGGCTGCTTTCTCCAGGAAGCCCTCCTGCTTCCTGCTTTATCTAGGCCCTTTGGGAGGGGCTCTGTGCCCCCATGGCTCTTGGGACAGGGTCCTGTGTGTTCCTTGTATTCAGTTGGAAGAAACCTCCATCCACCATCTTTATCACTTTAAACTGCACATTGCATACTGGAGACCTACACACAAGAGAAATAATGGGAAGATGCCACATAAACACACAGATCTCCAATTTGTCTTAAAGACTCAGAAGGTTCCTTTCTTAGGTGGCGACCCACCTGGTGGCCCTGAGCAGGTCAGTGACTGTGTGCTCTTGGGTCCACCCCCTTCACTTCCTGCTCTGCTCCGTGGCCCCTGAAAATACACCCCCAGGCTCTCTTGCTGGGTGGCCGCAGGGAGGATCCATGCAGGAAGCTATGGATCTCCAGAGATTGGCGAGTGGGGCAGAGAAGGGCCAGGGCATTTCTCCTGCTGTCTCTGCTCAGAGCACCACCTATGCCCGTGGATCTCTTGTGGCCCCAGCTCCCCTGGACAGCACCTTCTTCTGTGGCTCCAGCTTCTGGGGAGCAGCCCCGTCCTGGGCTCTCCCTACCTACCCAGCCTATGGTGTTGGCTTCCTGCTGTGGTCTCTGGGGTGCCTCTCTATCATGGCTGAGTTGTGTCTTCCCAGATCTATACATTGAAGCCCTAATTCCTAGCACCTTAGCATGTGACTGTATTTGGAGACAGCGTCTTTAAAGAGGTGATTTAATTAAAATAAGGTCATGAGGGCTGGCTCTGACCCAATAGGACCAGTGTTCTTACAAAGAGGAGATTAGGACACAGATATGCATGGAGGGATGAGGACACAGGGAGAAGATGCCATCTGTAAGCTGAGGAGAGAGGCCTCTGGAGGAACCAGCCCTGTTAACACCTTGATCCAGAACCTCCAGCCTTCAGAGCTGCGAGATAATATGCCTCTATTGTTTAAGCCACGTGTCTGCTGTATTTTGTTATGGCAGCCTGGACAAGCTCATATACTCACCATCCTCTGTTTGGCAATGGATATCAAGTTCCTCCGATGAAACTACCTAGTGTTTTCTTATCACTTTTATTATAGTAGAAGTAAGAGGAAAGTGACATATCTTTAATCCTATGTGTCTATCAAAAGCTGGAAGATACGAGACCCCAGGGCGACACGTGTCTCTTGCTAGGTGTTGACTCTCCCATGTGACCTGCTTAGTCCCTGGTCAGCATCTGACTTTGCAAACCCTGATTTAAGCTTTCAACTGTTCTGCTAAAGCAGTATCAAGAAAGACGAGTGCTTTTTATTTGAGTTTATTGGGTTTCCTGACGAGCTGGGTAAACTGATGCTGGTTTCATCGCTGGGGCCTTCTCTGTAATTGGTGGGACACATACATTTTTGAAATTTCTGTACCAAAGGAAAAAAAAAGTCCAAAATGTCTCTACTGCTCCTTGTTCATGAACATGGGTCTCCTCTGCTTTTAGGTGAAATATTCTCAGTGTTTTTTTTTTTTTTCACGTAATCAAGGAGATGAAACAATTCAGAGCTGTCTAAGGCCGTCAGAAATGTCTCCAACCAATCTCCTTCAGGGTTTATCTGTGCTTCGCTATGTTGGGCTTCAAATCATTCTTTTTATAATTTTTGGAGAAATTCCAAAGTCTGTAAACAGCTCTTGTTCTTAAAGGGACTGAAGAAAAACACACACACTCTAAGCAGAAGGAAGATAAAATAAGAGAAACCGCGTCTCTGGGACTTCTGGGTTTGAACATGATGTCTTTGTAGATGTGAGCACAGGGGCTGAGCCTGATGAAGCGCCAGGCACGTGGGTTCTAAGCGGCTTTTTGCTTCTCTGGGGAAGTGTATTAAGAGTGATGCGTGGAAACAGCCAGTGGCCAGCGTGTGCCCCTGCCCCTTCCCGGGTTCCTTCTCTGCAGGGCAGCTGCCTTCTTGTTGGCTGTTACCAAACGATTTCATCCCTGAGCCAGTGGAGAATTGTGATGTTTGACTTTGCGCTCCGCTGGGATGACTGTTAGAGCCAGCTTTTAAAAACAGCAGACACCAGGCCGCGTTGCTCTGCCCAGATCCCTCCAGTGACTCTTGTCTTGCTCACAATGAAGCAGGAGTTCTTGCACATCTAAAAGCCACACCAGCTGGCTTCCGGGTCCCTTCTCTCCCTCCCTTCCTCCCTCCCTTCTTCCTTCCTTGTAACCCATCCATGCTGGCCTCTGCAGTTCCTCAGACATGCTGTACATCTCCTCCTGGGGCCTGTGTCCTCACTATTCCCTCCACCAGGCACGCGTTCCTCATGCACACCGGCTCCCTCATTCCCCAGATCACTCCCTCCACGGCCACCTTCCCAGGCCCTCCCGTGCCACCCCAGGCCCATCTCTCCCCAGTCCCTGGTTTCTTAGCACTGATTGTAACTGCCTTGCTAGTGTTGATTGGTATTTGTTTACTGTTTGCTTTTCCGTCCTGAGCACAGAGGCCCGGTGAGAGTAGGGGCCCTATCAGCGCCTCTGCTGAACTCTGGGCACCGCGGGCAGTGCATGGCACAGAGTCAATGCTTGGAAAGATGTCCTGATGGAATGACCCCGTCCTTTAAGTAGAGGGGCCAGGCAGATCCTCACATCAGCCCTGAGGCACGGGAAGACCTGCTGTCCTGCATCCACTCTGCAAGCTGACCAGCCTGGGCAGGAAGAATGCCTGGAAGCAGTTTCAGCGCAGGGGTGGGGAGGAGGGGTGGGGGAAGGTGGGGGAGGGGGTGAGGGAACTTTCTCTACTCCAGCCACAGAGTCCACAGCAGGAGAACCTTCTCTACTCCAGCCACAGTGGTCGGCCTGTCTCTCCCCCTTTCTTCCTCTCTTTCTTCTTCTGCTCCTCTTTCTCCTCCCCCCCCTCCCCACCCCCGTCACACCCACCCCTGCTGGAGGTGGAGGAAGGCCTGTCTCACCTGCAGAGGGAGACCGGGTGTGCACTGTGATGGGACGCAGGCCCCCTTAGCATTTCCTGAACTCGGGGGTAAGTTTCCCCAGTAGCTGGGCCCGGTGGTTCAGCCTTTCTTACTGTGCCCTGAAGGACTGTGATTTTCTGTTTTTCTCAGGTTTTGAAAGTAACCTTTATTTTTAAAAAGTTAATGTATGTGTTATAGGAAACTGAAAAACACAAGAAGCAAGCGCGGAGTCACCCACAGCCACAGCAGTGTACGGCGGGACGTGGGACTGTGATTTTCCAGCCCAGGAAGAGCTGCTCGGTGGCAGCCCCGGGACATGGAGCCATTGCTCAGACAGCCTCAGTGGGAGCTGCTGTGGCTGTTGGGACAGGTGTCTCCACAGGGAGTGTGAGTGCACGTGTGTGAGTGAGTGCGAGTGTGAGAGTGAGTGCGAGTGTGAGTGTGAGTGCGAGTGTGTGAGCGTGTGCATGCAAGTGCGACTATGTGACTGTGAATGTGAGTGCAAGTGAGTGTGAGTGTGTGTGTGTATGAGTGTGAGTGCAAGTGTGAGTGCGAGTGTGAATGTGAGTGCGACTGAGTGTGTGAGCGTGTGCATGCAAGTGTGACTATGTGACTGAATGAGTGCAAGTGAGTGTATGAGTGTGAGTGTGAGTGTATGTGAGTGCAAGTGTGAGTGCGAGTGTGAATGCAAGTGCGAGTGAGTGTGTGAGCGTGTGTATGCAAGTGCGAATATGTGACTGTGAATGTGAGTGCAAGTGAGTGTATGAGTGTGTATGAGTGTGTGAGTGCGAGTGTGAGTGTGTGTATGAGTGTGTGATGTGAGTGCGAGTATGAGTGGTGTGAGTGAGTGTGAGTGCTAGTGCGAGTGTGAAAGTGCGAGTTCGAGTGTGACTGAGTGCAAGTGAGAGTATGTGTGCGAGTGCGAGTGTGAGTGCAAGTGAGTGTGTGAGTGCGAGTGTGAGCGAGTGCGTGACTGTGAGAGTGCGAGTGTGTGTGTGAGAGTATGAGTGTGTGAGTGCGAGTGTGAGTGCTAGTGTGAGTGTGGATGCTCCACCTTCCCCCTGGCACAAGGCTCTGGATGAGAGGAGAGCTCTTCCCACAGTCCCAGAACCCAGGAGTCAGGGGACCTGAGATACCAACCTTCCATCCTGCACGGCGCAGTCTTACTTTGGTGGATTATCAAGGGCCGATTTTGTCTTCGATGCTTGCATCCTATGTGGATATATGTGCATGTGTGTGAATATGTGTAATATGTGTAATATCTAACATGTATATAGTATAAATTTAGTGATATTTAATAATAGCTTTTAAAAATACCTGTAAGATTTTATCGTAAATACAGCAAATTTACCCTTTTTAGGCTTAAGTTCAATGATTTTTACTAAATAATAGAGCTTTGAGTAAAAGAGAGATAGTGGTGTAAAAGGGATCTTTCACTCCCAGACTCTCAGTCCCCAGCCTCTCTCCCTATGGAGGTAACCGCCATTCCCATGGTGGGCATCCTGTAACAGTCAGTACACATACAGGCATCCTTGTCTAATATGCAAATACAAGACTACATAATACCATTCTTTTTTCCCCACTCAGTATGTTTTGGAGATCGTATTGTAGCACCACCTCATTGGGGGCTGCTCAACTGTGTGTCTATATCCTTTGCCAATTTTTTTCTATTGGATTGTTGGTCTTTTTCTTATTGATTTGTAAGAGCTCTTTATATATTAAGCAAGGTAGTCCTCAGCTTGTCAAGAGACAGACTTATGAAACCAATGACGCTTAAATTTCAGAGACCTCCCTTGCATAAGCTCTCATGAGACCCCGGAGAGGACCGAGCAATGGGTTCACAAAGTTGACTCAGGTTTATTTTAACTGCAAGCATTTAAAATGATTGTATCTTTCCACCGAGGTTTTCCCTGGTGTGAGTGATGTCAGAGAGGCTGTGGGCATTTTTGGGGACTAGGCTAAGATAAATCTAAGTTACAGTTACCTTGAATTTGAATTTAGAGGGATGTGTTTTAACTGGTTTGCTGTCACTTCTGGGTCTGTATTATCAGCAGCCATCATGGTACCACTTCCTGTCATGCTTCCCCCACTCTCTGTACTGAATTATTCTTCATGACCCTGTGTGACCAAAGCTTTTATCATCATATAACATGTATGGTATTTGGCACCACAAACATGAGTAGCGGGTGAGAAAGGAGGTTTGAAATGGGTGGAGACCAAAGCCAGTCTGTGGCTAATTCTTTCAGTCTTCAGATATAAACTGCAAATGGGGGATGTGGCTGTCACCAATGCACGGTGAGAAGAGAAGTTCTTCTGTCCGGAATATTCTCAATAATGCAGCAAACACAAGTATGAACCATCTTAAATTTATTTTGTTTCTTAATGGTATTCAAATAAAAAAGACGTCAGAATTCCTATGCTTAAAGGACACACTCTATAATAGTAGCCTAACAGCAAGCCTATTTTTACTACAACTCTACTTGAAATAAATTCATTAAAAAAACCATTTTTTTAAAACTTTCGTTTTAGTTTCGAGGGTACAAGTGAAGGTTTGTTACATACATAAACTTGTGTCGGGGGGTTTGTCGTACAGATTATTTCATCACCCAGGTATTAAGTCCAGTACCCAATAGTGATCTTTTCTGCTCCTCTCCCTCCTCCCACCCTCCACCCTCAGGTAGACAGTAGTGTCTGTTGTTTCCTTCTTTGTGTTCATAAGTTCTCATCATTTAGCTCCCACTTATAAGTGAGAGCATGCAGTATTTGGTTTTCTGTTCCCGTGTTAGCTTGCTAAGAATAATGGTCTCCAGCGACATTCATGTTCCTGCAAAAGACATGATCTCATTCTTTTTTATGACTGCATAGTATTCCATGGTGTATATGTACCACGTTTTCTTTATCCAGTCTGTCATTGATGGGCATTTAGGTTGATTCCTTGTCTTTGCTATTGTGAATACTGCTGCTATGAACATTCACATGCATGTGTCTTTATGGTAGAATGATTTACATTCCTCTGGGTATGTAACCAGTAATGGGAATGCTAGGTCGAATGGTAGTTCTGCTTTTAGCTCTTTGGGAAATCGCCATACTGCGTTCCACAATGGTTGAACTAATTTACGCTCCCACCAACAGTGTGTAAGTGTTCCCTTTTCTCTCAATCTCACCACAATCTGTTATTTTTTGACTTTTAAATAAAAGCCATTCTGACTTGTGTGAGATGGTATCTCATTGTGGTTTTTATTTACATTTCTCTAATGATCAGTGATATTGAGATTTTTTTTCATGTGCTTGTTGGCCACATGTATGTCTTCTTTTGAAAAGTGTCTGTTCATATCCTTTGCCCATTTTTTAATGGGGTTGTTTTTTCTCTTGTAAATTTGTTTAAGTTCCTTATAGAGGCTGGATATTAGACCTTTGTCAGATGCACAGTTTGCAAACATTTTCTCCCATTCTGTAGGTTGTCTCCTTACTCTGTTGATAGTTTCTTTTGTTGTGTAGAAGCTCTTAAGTTTAATTAGATCCCACTTGTCAAATTTTGCCTTTGTTGTGATTGCTTTTTGTATCTTTGTCATGAAATCTTTGCCCTTTGCGCAGGTCGGTATCGCCAAGGTTGTCCTCCAGGGTTTTTATGGTTTTGGGTTTTACATTTAAGTCTTTGATCCATCCCGAGTTGATTTTTGTATATGGTGTAAGGAAGGGGTCCAGCTTCAATCTTCTGCATATGGCTAGCCAGTTCTCCTAGCATCATTGATTGAATAGGGAGTCTTTTCCCCCATTGTTTTTGTCAGCTTTGTCAAAGATCAGATGGCTATAGGTGTATGGCCTTATTTCTGGGCTGTCTATTCTGTTCCATTGGTCTATGTACCTGTTTTTATACCAAAACAGTACTATGCTGTTTTGGTTACTGTAGCCATGTAGTATAGTTTGAAGTCAGGTAACGAGATGCCTCCAGCTTTGTTCTTTCTGCTTAGGATTGCCTTGGCTACTCAGGCTCTTTTTTTTATTCCATATAAATTTTAAAATAGCTTATTCTAGTTCTGTGAAGAATGTCATTGGTGGTTTGATAGGAATTGCATTGACTCTGTAAATTGCTTTGGGCAGTATGGTCATTTTAATGATATTGATTCTTCCTATCCATAAGCATGGGATGTTTTTCCATTTGTTTGTATCTTCTCTGATTTACTTGAGTAGTGTTTTGTAATTTTCATTGTAGAGCACTTTGACCTTCCTGGTTAGTTGTATTCCTAGGTATTTTGTTCTTTTTTGTGGCAATTGTGAATGGGATTGCCTTTCTGATTTGGTTCTTGGTTTGACTGTTGTTGGTGTACAGGAATGCTAGTGATTTTTGTACATTGCTTTTGTATCCTGAAACTTTGCCGAAGATTTTTATTAGCTGAAGGAGCTTTTGGGCTGAGACTATGGGGTGTTCTAGATATAGAATTATGTTATCTAGGCCAGGTGTGGTGGCTCATGCCTGTAATCCCAGTACTTTGGGAGGCCAAGGCAGGCAGATCATGAGGTCAGGGGATCAAGACCAGCCTGGCTTACATGGTGAAACCCCATCTCTTCTAAAAATACAAAAAATTAGCCAGGTGTGGTGGCACATGCCTGTAGTCCCAGATACTTGGGAGGCTGAGGCAGGAGAATCACTTGAACTCGGGAGGTAGAGGTTTCAGTGAGCCGAGATCGTGCCACTGCACTCCAGCCTGGGTGACAGAGCGAGACTGTCTCAAAAAAAAAAAAAGGTTATGTCATCTGCCATCAGAGATAGTTTGACTTCCTCTCTTCCTATTTGGATGCCCTTTATTTCTTTCTCTTGCCTGATTGCTTTGGCTAGGAATTCCAGTACTATGTTGGATAGGAGTAGTGAGAGAGGGTATCCTTGTGCTGGTTTGTCTTGTGCTGGTTTTCAAGGGGAATGCTTCCAGATTTTGCCCATTCAGTTTGATGTTGGCTGTGAGCTTGTCATAGATGGCTCTTATTATTTTGAGGTATGTTTCTTCAATACCTAGTTTATTGAGAGTTTTTAACATGAATGAATATTGAATTTTATTGAAAGCCTTTTCTGTGTCTATTGAGATAATCACATGGTTTTTGTCTTTAGTTCTGTTTATGTGATGAATCATATTTAGTGATTTGTGTGTGTTGAAACAACCTTGCATCCCAGTGATGAAGCCTACTTGATCATGGTGGATTAGCTTTTTGATGTGCTGCTGGATTTGGTTTGCAAGTATTTTGTTGAGGATTTTTGCATTAATGTTCATCAAGGGTATTGGCCTGAAGTTTTCTTTTTTTGTTTCTGTTTCTGTCAGGTTTTGGTATCGTGATGATGCTGTCCTCATAGAATGAGTTGGGGAAGAGTCCCTCCTGCTCAATTTTTTGGAATAGTTTCTGTAGGAATAGTAGCAGCTCTTCTTTGTACACCTAGTAGAATTTGGCTGTAAATCCATCAGGTCCTGGGCTTTTTTTGGTTGGTAGGCTATTTATTACTGATTTAATAAATCAGAGCTCATTATTGGTCTGTTCAGGGAATCCATTTCTTCCTGGTTGAGTCTTGGGAGGGTGTATGTGTCCAGGAATTTATCTGTCTCTTCTCAGTTTTCTAGTTTGTGCACATAGAGTTGTTCATAGTAGTTTCTGATGGTTATTTTTATTTCTGTGGTATCAGTGGTAATATACCCTTTGTCATTTATAATTGTATTTATTGGACCTTCTCTCTTCCTTTTTATTAGTCTAGCTATTGGCCTATCTACCTTACTTATTTTTTCAAAAAACCAACTCCTGGATTAGCTGATGTTTTGATTTGTGTATGTGTGTGTGTGTGTGTCTTGATTTCCTTCAGTTCAGCTCTGATTTTTGTTATTTCTTATCTTCTGCTAGCTTTGGGGTTGATTTGTTCTTGTTTCTCTAACTCTTTCAGTTGTGATGTTAGGTTGTTAATTTGAGATTTTTCTAACTTTTTGATGTTATGAATACTTTTAGTGCTATGAATTTCCCTCTTAACACTGCATTAGCTGTGTCCCCAACATTCTGGTATGTTTATGTTTGTTTGCATTAGTTTCAAAAATAACTTCTTGATTTCTGCCCTAATTTTATTATTTACCCAAAAGTCATTCAGGAGCACGTTTTTAAAATTTCCATGTAATTGCATGGTTTTGAGCAATTTTTTTAGTCTTGACTTCTATTTTTATTGTGATGTGGCTTCAGAGTGTGTTTGGTGTGACTTCAGTTCTTTTGAATTTGTTGAAGATTGTTTTATGTCTAGTTATGTCATTGATATATGCCATGTGGCAATAAGAATAATGTATATTCTGTTGTTTTGGGGTGGAGAGTTCTGTAGAGGTCTATCAGATCCATTTGGTCCAATGTTGAGTTCAGGTCCGGAATATCTTTGTTAATTTTCTGCCTTGATGGTCTGTCTAATACTGTCAGTAGAGTGTTGAAGTCTTCTACTATTATTGTATGGCAGTCTATGTCTCTTTGTAGGTCTCTAAGAACTTGCTTTATGGATCTGGGTGCTCCTGTGTTGGGTGCATGTGTTCTTAGGATAGTTAGGTCTTCTTGTTGAATTAAACACTTTACCATTATGTACTGTTGCCTTTTTTGATCTTTGTTGGTTTGAAGTAGGTTTTTCTGAAATTAGGATTGCAACCATTGCTTTTTTTTCTGTTTTTAATTTGCTTGGTAGATTTTCCTCCATCCCTTTATTTTGAGCCTATGGGTGTCATTATGTGTGAGATGGGTCTCTTGAAGACAGCATACCATCGAGTCTTGCTTTTTTATACAACTTGCCATTCTGTGCCTTTTAGATGGGGCATGTGGCCCATTTACGTTCAAGGTTAGTATTGATATGTGTGGATTCAATCCTGTCATTGTGTTGTTAGCTACTTATTATGCTGGCTTGTGTGTGGTTGCTTTATAGCAACACTGGTCTGTGTGTTTAAGTGTGTTTTTGTATCAGCTGGTAGTGGTCTTTCCTTTCTATATTTAGTGCCCTTTTCAAGGTCTCTCATAAGGCAGGTCTGGTGGTAAATTCCCTCAACATCTGCTTATCTGAAGAGGATCTTATTTCTCCTTTGCTTAGGAAGCTTAGTTTGGTTGGATATGAAAATCTTGGTTGAAGATTTTTTTTTCTTTAAGAATGTTAAATATAGGCCCCCAATCTCTTGTGGCTTGTAGGGCTTCAGCTGAGAGGTCCACTGTTAGCCTGATGGGGTTCCCTTTGTGGGTGACCTGCCCTTTCTCTCTAGCTGCCTAAAAAAGACATTTAAGCCTTCAATAATAACTTTAAAAAGCCAATTTTGATCATCATGCTAGAGGAAAGAGTTTTCTTTCTGTTCTCTCAAAAGAAAACAAAATTATAAAATCATTGTCATCTGGAGAAGTAATCAAAGATTACACAAATAGTGTTAAAAACAAATATTATACAAATATTATAAGGTGATAGGTAGCCCAATTACCCTGATTTTATTTTTATACTTACATGAATGCATCAAATTAGCACATGTACCCCTAAATTATGTACATTTATCATATATCAATAAAATTGATATTATAGTAGAGTCTTAGGCAGTTAATTACAATAAATATATGCTATTTTTCTGGATTTTGTGATATTTGTGGGATTTGTCAACATTTTAACATCTGGAATTTGTTGTGATTTATTTTCTTATTCTCGATAAATGATCATTTGTGTATTTTGTATTGGTGTTCTTTGTGTTTTATTTTTCTTAACTAGGGCTCTCCACATTATATAAACTCCAGGCCCCACAAAATTGGACCCACAACTGAATCTGAAATATGTGTTGCAAATATGTTATCTCAGTTGTAGCAAATCTTTTGGTTTTATTTGTGGCATTTTCCCACTGTGCAGAAGTTTACATTTCCACGTAATCAGATTTAATCAGCATTTCCTTTTATTGTTCCTGAGTTTTCTTAGAAAGTCCTTCTTCATTTGACAATAATGAAAAAAATTCATAAGTTTTCTAGAATGTCTAATTTTTCTTTTATATGTTTGAATACTTGATTTATCTGGAATTAACTTATGTGTAAGAACTTTTTCCCTTAATTATCCTGTATTCTGACAATTATTTATTGAGTATTCTATATTTTCTTATTGATTAGAAATACTATTTTATCATATATTAAATTCTCATATGTAATTGGATTTGTTTATGGACCACCCAGTTTGTTCTATGGGTCTGTCTGTTCATGTACCATGACAAAACAATTTTATTTATATATTTATAATATATTTTAATGTCTGGTAAAACTAGTTTTCTTTCATTACTTTTTCTTGCCTTCAATAAAATGTCTGGGTTATACTTTTGTGCTTATATTTCCATACTAAGTTTAGAATCAGCTTCCAGAGGTCTGGAAAAAAATCTCGGCTTTATGTTGATTGTAATCATATTAAATGTTAAGGTTGATTTCAGGAGAATTTTATAAAATTTAAGGACCCTCTCCAAGTGTGGGGTTGGCTTTTCTTTTTGCTCCATTTTTCTTTTATTTTTTCCTCAGTTTTCTTCATATATATCTTACACATTTCTAGGCATGCCTTTCTTTTTGTATGCTATTATAAATGGAATTTTTTTCCCCTTCCATTATACTTCCTAACTGATTATTGCTTTTATATAGGAAACCTATTGACTTTTGTATATTATTTTTGTTCCTCCAAAATAATATGCAATAATATACAAATATATATTTGCTGGGAACCTAAAATAATACACTATTCTATTCAATTATGGAATATATCTAGAGCTCTCCTTTTTTTTTTTTTTTTTTGAGACAGGGTCTTGCTCTGTCACCCAGGCTGGAGTGCAGTGGTGTGATCATGGCTCACTGCGACCTTCACCTCCTGGGCTCAGGTGATCCTCCCACCTCAGCCCCCGAGTAGCTGGGACTACAGACATGAGGCATCACACCTGGCTAATTTTTTGTATTTTTCATAGAGACAGGCTTTTACCATGTTGCCCAGGCTGGTCTCAAATTCCAGAGCTCAAGTGGTCCTCCCGTCTCAGCCTCCCAAAGTGTTGGGATTACAGGTATAAGCCACCACGCCAGACCTATTCTATCCTCTCCTATTCAATTCTTATTTGTAACAGTTTTTCTGTGATTGGTTCATCTGGGTTTCCAGGTAGATCATCATGTCATCTCCAATACTGCCTAGTTTTTAGACCTTTCTGACTACCCTACTACTTGTAAACAGGGCAGGTTTTTCCGAGAGATGTTCCTAGCTGAGTGCTGCACTTATGGTGAACACCCAGCTTCAAAGGCTACTTGAAAGGATTTAGGGGGCTGCACTTACCCACCGGCCTTGGAATTGGCCTCATAGAAAACTTGCTGTGCTTTGTGGAAGCTCGGGCCCGCAGAGGTGCTGATGGTCAGTGTCAGCACAGACCTATTATTAGCTGTCCAGCGACAGGAGATTCCACTTTAATGCTGAAGCTTCAGAACTACGTTGCAAACAAAATGACTGGCATTTTCTCAGACAGCAGTTCCAAGTGGAAACTGTCTAGTTGTGCTGTCTCCATACGGAGGGCTGGAAAACTGTGAATGGCAATTATGCAGCTTTGCATCTCACACTTCCTGACATCTGGCAAACACTCGTTCCATCCAGGACCAGATAAAACAAATGGTGCCTTATTCACAGGAGTCTTTAACGGCCTAATAGACCCGATGAGTAGCAATGCCTTTGTGTGGCCTGTGTGCAGTCCAGAGCTAGCAGGTTGCCTATGACAAGCGCTGGAGGGGGTCAGCACTTTTGATTCCATCACCGAAACTGGTCCCCACCACAGCAGCTCATTTTTCAGAACTGGCTAGCTCCTTCCTGCTGGGTTGAATACATCCTCATTCTTCACAGGCCCAGAATGGCTTCATCTGGATTGTTAGTTACCTATGAAAGTCTCTGGTTTGTTACATTTTTTTCAGTATTTTATGCACAAAATTTACCTAATTTTTGTGAAGTTAGAACATGACACCAAGAAATGGAATCCTGTATTATTTTTCTTTTCTTTCCTTTTTTTCTTTTCTCTTTTTTTTTTTTTTTGAGGCAGAGTCTCACTCTGTCCCCCAGGCTGGGGTGCAGTGGAGCAATCATAGCTCATTGCAGCCTTGACCCCCCTGGGCTCAAGCCATCCTCCCACCTCAGCCTCCTGAGTAGCTGGGACCACAGCCGTGCACTACCATGCCCAGCTAAGTTTTGTATTTTTTGTAGAGATGGGGTCTCACTACGTTGTCCAGGCTGGTCTTGAACTACGAGGCTCAAGTGATCCTCCCACTCTGGCCTCCCAAAGTGCTAGGATTACAGGCATGAGCCACTGTGCCTGGCCCTGCATTCTTTCTATGATTTGACCATGTGTCTCTTGGCAGCTACAGTCAACTCTTTGGTCTCAAGTTGTCCAGCTGAAAAAGTGGGCTCCTCACGCCGAGACCCATGACATGCAGCCCCACACACATGGGATACTGCAGACGACAGTGCAGCCATGACAGAGACTCAGTGGGGCTGGTGCAGACAGCAATGGCCCTGTATGGGGAGAACCCAGCATCTTTGAATGGAAACATTTTTTGCAGCTTATTTGTTTTCGAACCTTGGCTTTTTGGCCTAAATGTTCCATGGCATTCCTTAACAATTAATTTCCTCTCTGCTGAGAAAACAAAGGTGGAGAGTCATTTTCATGCCACTGAATGACCTTTTAAAAGATTGAATCCTTTCTAAGGGGGAATAGCTTTATTTCCTTCTGTCAAATATTTCATTTGTCCCCTAGAAGAGCCCCGTGAAGTAGACATTATGTGATAAGCAGACACGATCGTTTTACAGATGTGGGAAAAGACTGACCTGCTCCAGGCCACACAGATGGAGTCAGGAAGGGGCAGACTGGGTCAGTGGGGCCCAATTCACAGGCACTTTCTACGGTCTTTTCATATGTTTTTATGGAGGTAAAGTTCACATCACATAAAATTAACCATTTTAAAGTAAACAATTCAGCGGCATTTAATACATTCACAGTCTTGTGCAACTGCCACCTCTCTCTTGTTCCAATGTGTTCTCACCACCCCAAAAGGAAACCCCACTCCAGTAAGGAGTCACTCCTCATCTCCTCTCCTCCTAGCCCTCAGCAACCACCAGTCTCCTTTCTGTCTCTATGAATTCGCCTATTTTGGATATTTCATAAAAATGGGCTCATACGATAGATGGGCTTTGTGTCTGGCTTCTTTCCCCAGCATGGTGCTCTCAAGGTCCATCCATGTGGTAGCAGGAATCACATACTCCATTCCTTTTTCCTGGCTGAATAATATTGCATTGTATGGATATGCCACATTTTGTTTCCCCATTCATCCATTGATGGGCACTTGTGTCATTTCTACCCTTTGGCTGTTGAGAGCAGCGCAGCTGTGAACATGTGTGTACGAGTATCTGGTAACCAGTCCCTTCCACGATTTTCTGCAGTCTTGTAGTTTCTGTGACCTGATAACTCTGCTGCAGGGTGAAAAGGAATCATCTGTGGTTTGCCACCTACTCCTGGATACAGCACGTATCTCTTTGTTCCATGCACAGAGGCTGGGGCCACTCTACACGGGGCTTGAAAGAAGCCTCCAGTCTTGCAGCCAAATTCAGAGGCATATAATTCAGAAGCCTATCCGGGAGGCCAAAATGAGTCCTGACTGGGAAAACTCG
Source organism: Homo sapiens (assembly GCF_000001405.40). Classification (NCBI taxonomy): domain Eukaryota; kingdom Metazoa; phylum Chordata; class Mammalia; order Primates; family Hominidae; genus Homo; species Homo sapiens. The sequence goes on along the minus strand of NC_000012.12, from coordinate 130,717,567 downwards.
CTGGACCCGTCTGCCACAGTGTTGAAAAAGTTGTCTTGGGAAGAGGTTTCCTCTGGCTGTCTAGGTTTGAGACCTTTGCGATTCCTTTAAGATCACAAGCAAAACCACGGTGATGGTAGGATGTGTTGGTTTTACTAAGGAGCCCATTTTTTAAAAAACTTGTAAAGTGAGCCTTAATTGGAGAAGCAACAGAAAGCACCTCGGGACAAGTCCTTCCTTTTTGTACAAAGGACCCGTGGTGAGCCCTTCCTTGGAATTCTCGTGTCCTACACTCGAGTCTTGTCCCTGCACAGGGCCATCATTAGTAGGAGCCCTCAGAGCCTCAATTAGGGTATGTGGAGCCCAAAATACCAAAGGGGCTTTCCTCCGCATGAGCTATCTTATTCAGCACCTTTCAGTAACAAGCCATGGGATTTTTACCCCAGGGAAGGAAGCAAGTGTGTGAAGTCCGTGCGTGTTTCCCAGGGTTTTTTCCCTCCTGCACCACCCGGTTGCTAGGTAGCGGGTATATCTGTGCCACCACCTGAAGTTCTGTGGGAAGGGGGAATCTGCGGGGCCACTGGAGGCTTGGGGTGGGGAGGGGAGCCGGACAGGAGAGCAAAGACCCAGGCAGCTTGGGTCGCTCCTCTTCATCACTTAATTCTGAGGGCGCTTGAGTTTCTGAGCTTCCTGGAGTAGAGCCCAGGGCAGCTTTTACTTTGATGTGCTGATCGGTTGCCTGTCGGTTGCAGGAGACCCCCGGCCTCCTGCAGGGAAGATCCTGTGCTGTTTTCCCAGGGATGGAGAGAAAAGCACCAACCCCAAGCCCCGCATGGCTGAGAGCTGTTTGCCTCCATCTCTGTCCGAGCTTTTCACCACAGCTCTGTGAAAGAAACTGGCAGTGAGGGGTATAGCCATCTTGGTGTGTGTATGCGCACGTGTGTGTGCATGTGTATTTGTGTGTGTGTGTGTGTGCGTTCAAACACTGACGTTTCAGAGGCTCTGGTTACTGCTGCATGGCGGATGATCCTCTCTCTCTCCCTCTCTCTCCCTCCCTCTCTCCCTCTCGACCTGCTTGCCTGCCTGCAGAAAACTAATGAATCATGTCTAGCTGAATGCAAGCAGTGCAGACACACCAATGCCCTGCAATGTTGACTGGGCGCCGCCTCTGCCTGCCTCTCGCTCCCTGTCTCTCCCTCTGCTGCTCCCTCCCTCCCTCTCTCCCTCTCCCCCTCCTCCCTCCCTCCTTCTCTCCCTCTCCCCCTCCTCCCTCCCTCCGTCTCGCCCCCAGTTTGTAATCTGACACAGTACACTGCAGTTGTCTCCGAGGTGAACCTCCGGAGCCTTGGCACAGCTCGCTTCTAAAGGTAGGCTGAGATTTATTTTTTTCTCCTAAAAATAGCTTCCCGTCTCCCCTCGCCTTTCTGCACCCGAGCTGCAGCGGCGTTGATCACAGGGGGTTAGCCGGAAACTCTTTGCCCAGACAAAGTTTATCTTGCAGCGGATGGAGAATGCCCTTCAGCGTGGGGTCCGGGGGCGCTGGGTGCGGGGAGCAGCGGCTCGCCCTGCTGGCATGTCGGTGCTGCTTGGAATTCAGGATCGTCTCGGAAGGGAAGGGCTGACGGGCTTCTTCCTGGGTGCCGGGTGTCAGCTGCAGGGGTGCTGTGGCTCTGTCATGGCCCCCACCCCAGGCTTTTAAGAAAGGCCCCTCCAGGCAAAGTTTGGCACCCGATGGACACGGCCCCGCTCGCCTGGGGAGTGCGCCCCAGGCTTCTCAGACAGCAGCGGCTCAGGGCCTGGACTTGTCTTCTTGGGGGCGGGGTGGAGGGGGGGAAGGGGACGTGGGACAAACACATCAGAGTCCCCAGCTCGGCTCAGGTGCAAATGCACAAAGCCCGCAGGCTGCGCCCAGGAATCTGTCAATTCACGTCCCATGGACTGACTTGAATAATGTGTTTGTCAAAACAGATGTTCCCCGGCAGAGTGTGTGCGTGCATGCGTGTGCCTGTGTGAGCAGTGTGCGCGGGCTGCTGGCCGGGGGCAGACTCTCCCAGTGGAAACCGTATTTCACCGGGAAAGGCAGCGCGTACGGGACCACCCGCCCAGGAGCTTAGGTCTGGGTAGGTCCAGGTGGGGGCCCGGACATCTGTCAGCAGAGGCCTCGGTGGAAGCAGCCTCCCTCCTGTCCCCGGGGAGCGCACGCTGGCTGAGGTCGGGGTGGCGGCTGGCCGGAGGGAGGGAGGACTGCTTCACCTCCCGGCCTGGTCACTGGCCCCGGGGGAGGCGGGGGTGCTGGCTCCGTGCCTGCGTGGCCTCTGGGTCCCTGGAGGTTCTTAGGGTGAGTG